>NC_000005.10:158488596-158791627 GCF_000001405.40 Homo sapiens
GGTTTCAGCCAAAATTAGAAGGTACCTGTTGCATGACAAAATGGAGCAGGACACACACACACACACACACACACACACACACACACATATACACACAAGCTATACTGTTACACACCGACACACAGACACATGCTGACAGGAAACACTCAACGACTACCTACTTATTAACTCTTGATGAGACATCTTAGAAATGAAGATTATTTTGTTTACCTCACATTATAGATTGATTTAGGATAGGGTGAAAATTGATATCAGTCAAAGCTCAGGTCAGTTTACGGAGGGAGAGATGGAGTCTGCTGGTGGGCAGTTACTAGAGTGCTTTTCTGACAGCCCACACTCCAAGCAGGGAACAAGACTTGGCTGAGCTAATGAGGATGCTAGAAGGCAGGGAAGAGGGATACTAGGGAGACGGTGGGTGGGTGGAGAGCAGGAAATGGCATGGCCGGCTCTTACACAGGCTCATGTTGCTTGCTGTCATATACAATAAATCTGCTCCAAATGTTAAGAGCAATTAAATAAGAGAGAGAATACAAATGTGGAAAAAAGCTATTGTAATTGGATATTCCAGAGCTTGAGACTCAGGCATAATGTTTTTATAATAGTGTATATAAGAGTCTTCTCTTCAATAGCCTAACAAGGATTAAGTAATTGAAAAACATTATTTCAAAATATTTTCTGGGTTGGATCTTATGTTCCAGCATCTCAAATACACACATTTCCAGTTATGAGAATCTGTCATGTTAGGACAATGAGATCCAGCCTGCAGAACATCTGGCTTCAACCAATGTTCTCAATCTTTTGTTTTTATAAGCAATAAATGTAGAGGGCCAGGTTTGTGTGCTTGGGTGATTTGATTCACTGAATGCACACATAATTTTGGCCACTTGTTATGACTAGTGGTCAGAGGTACCTGACTTCAATCCTTAATTGTTAAAATCATTTTGTTCTTTTCATTTAGTTACCTAAGTTTTATTTTAGGGCCCTGGTGTCTACGTAATATGCTGTCATAGGTCATGATTCAGTCATTTACAAAAATACTTATTGAGAACCAACCATAAGGCAAGCTCACTACTCTCACAAGCTTACAGTCCAGCAGGGGACAGACATGACACAAATCAATACCTAAATGGTTACTTGATTACAATTGTGAAGAGTGCCTCAGAGTAGAAGAATGAGATGCCATCGGGGAGATGCTCAACTGGCCTGAAAGTCAAGCAAGTTGTCTCTGAAAAAAAGCAACATTTAGACCAATAGCTGACTTGGTCAAGTGAAAAAAGAAGAGGTGGAAGGAAGGAAGGGTATTCCAGAGAGAGGGGCCAGTATGTGCAAAGGCCTAGAGGCAGAAGGGAAGAGATGTATTAAGATTTGAGGAACTGGAGAAAGACCACTATGGTGGGATTGTGGGGCACTTTGGAGAGATTGGCAGATGAGAGTGAGGAGGCAGGCAGAGTCTGTGCTGAGGATGAAGGTATTGGGGGACCTAAACTTTGTTCTCAAAGGTGCAATAGAGAGTAACTTGTTGATTAAGCTCTCAGAAAATATTTATAGAATGTATAATCACTCCTTGCAGTTTATTCTCACTGCTGGCAAAAGAGAAAAATAAACACTATTCAGAGTTTGTTCTACTCATGGTGAGTTGGCACAAAGGACAATGCATTTCTTTCATCAACGTTTTCCAAATTTCAGTCTTTTTGACCATAATGATTTTTGCTGCGCCTTCCTAACACCCATATCCTAGTTGATATGATACTCTTCTTTAAACAAAATCATCTTCTTTCTTATACATATTTACTTACAAAAGGAACTTTAAATCACTGCTACAAATGGAAAGTCAGTACTACCTGCCATAAATGGAAGGTAACCATACAAATAAATAGAATGGTAAAGAAGACAATGTTATCACATACTTGAGAGTCACTGTTAGTCTACTGGAGTTCTCAGCCCATGGCCTCCTCTTTATTATATAAAAAGAGAGATTAACAAAAGATAAAATGGGGAAGATATACTAATCCCAAACCGAGACGTTTTTCTTTTCTGACTCCACCAACTGGTTTCAAATAGAATTAAAAAGAAAGCAATGTTCTCACTGTGCAATATAATGTAAGTGATGTCAAGTCAGTGTGCCACATTAAAAAATTCACAAACCACTGATGGCACGTGGCCCATATTTTGGGAAACAGAATTATTTCCTAGATAGTAAATGTAAGCCCAAAGCATATAGTCTTAATTCATTGAACGAAGGAAGGCCAGCCTTTGCCATGGCAGTGAACGTGAACCTCACTTTTTGGAAATGAAGTAGACATTTGATAAACTAGGTAACTTTTCTTGCAGACAAACATTATGATGGACAAAAATATCAGTGATGCTTTATCTGGATCAGGATTTGGCCCAGGTTAACCTTGAGAATAAGCTGACCATCCAGAGAGAGTAGCCTCAGAATGAATCCCATCATAGAGCCAGGCAGACGGAGGGCTGATGTCACAGCATCTAGGGTGGATAGGATTGTGGGGACCATTCTTAGAGGTCAAGTGGAGTCTGACAGCAGCCACAGGAGGCCTGTAACCAGTATGAGATAGACAAGCTCTTATGATTGTTGATGCCATGTTATCATTGTAAACAGAGTTGCCGACTTGTCACTGGCATCAGCAGAGTCAAGTTGTTGGCAGCAGGAACTGGGATTCAAAGCCTCAATTCACATCCTGGGGAGGGCTTGTGAAAGCCAAGCAAAACCTGGGTCCCAGAGGCAATGGCTTATGAGACTTCTACTCAGACAGATACTGAGGCACTAGGGGAATGAAAAGAAAGACTCAGTCATTGAATCTGTAGGCATTTGGCCACCCCGAATGAAGCAGGAGTTCTATAGCCCTTGAAACAAAGACTCTCAATATAGAGGAGAGTCTGGCTGGGCATTAGTTTCTAGAAGCACAACGTAACCGGTTCAGACCCTGAATCTGCAATGAACCCACCGCATTGGTATCACTTGGGAACTTATTAGAGAATCTACTTCTCTGGCCCCATCACAGACCACTGCACCAGAAACTCTGGGAGTGAGGTCCAGCAATCTGTGTTTTAATAAGCCCTCCAGATGATTCTGTGCATGCTAAAATTTGAGAGCTACTGATCCAGAGGAAGCGATGAGAGCAAGTGCGTAGACTTAGGGAAGAACAGGGCTGCTTCCTTGGTGGGAAAGGAACATGCAGGTGTGCCCTCTGTTCAGCATACCAGTTAAGACATTGTCCACCTCCTGTACTGATTTCTCTTTTCTGGGTAATGGCATCTCACATTTTAGCAGTTACTTTCTCTGCCCTGCTACTGTCTGTATATACACAGATAAACATAGTTGCAACATGTAGTCATAGGACTCTCTCAGTAATCACTTTTAGTTTTTATCTATTTTTTCTTTTAGGTAGGCACTTTTGAAAGAATTTAAATACATCTCATAATTTATCTACTGTGGTGGGTAATTTGTGAACATCTTTTAAGGTGTTTGGTTTGTTTTGTCTTAAAGCAAGGGCTTCTCTGTATTGTGCCAAGCCTAATAAGAAACTCAATGCTTGTCCAGTGTTCAAGAGGATAGCCTGCCTGCTTCTTCTCCCTCACCATCCATAATGCAGATGTGGAATAGGTTTGGTGAGGAGGATGATTTTGCAGCAAAGACCTTGGTAGAGGGAGGCAGCAGGAGGAGGTAGCATTATGACCACAAGATGACTGCTAGCAATAGCTGAAGTTATTGCTTCCTTGCTCACATCCAGCAAGGGAGGGAAAGGAATGTCTCTTTGAACCAGTCTTACTGGACCAACATGGGTCATATACTCTCCCCTAGAATGATAACATGCATTGATTGGCTATTTTACAGAAGTCTGAATTTTTGAACCAATCACTAGCATCTGATTATAATGATCAGTTAGCCAAATCAGGGACTTCCTCCTGAACTTGGTGTCAACTCCTCCTGAGTTTTTTGGGCTGAGTTTGAGAGAAAGATGAAACAAAGAAAAGGAGGGCCAAATCTGTTCACTCCAGTTTTCTACTGTGCTAAGCATTTTTCATTCATTTTTGTATTTGATCTTTACAACCAGCCTAAGAGGTTGCTCTTTTTACAGATAAGGAAGATGAAATTCAGAGAAGCTGAATAACTGACTTGCTCTATATCACCACCAAGGTTGACAGAACCAGTGTGCAGATTCAGGTCCAAGAGACACTAGAGGCCTGCTCTTCACCTCCTTGTTGCCTGGTTAGCCACTGTATATGGAGGGGAGCCTACATTTTAGCTTCACATGCAGGGTGTTCAGGGATCCTGGCACTAGCCCAGCGAGGTGGACTCATTTTTACCCCATGCTGAGGAATAATGGGAAAACTCTGGAAAGAACTTGAGCACAGCTCTCAGGTTTCCACGGTTATTTGTCTGTTGTTACCAAACACTAAAGACTTTAAAAATTCTCTATGGTCATATAGGAAAGAAAAATGACCTCATGCTTGCAACCACAAATTCAAAATGCTCTGGAATCTGTAAGACGAACTGCATTTTAATTAGAAAAGAGAAAGAGCAATGAAGACTTTTATTGGATATTTTTGCAAACCCTCCCTTGCCTTGCCTTCAGGCCAAAATGTGACAAGTGCCCTAAATCTGATAACAAACACACACTTCTGAAGTCATTGTTAGCTTTCCTAAAAAGAAAAAAAGAGTCACATTAGTTTTCTGTTACCAATAAGAGTTCAAGAATGCAGTCTTAAAATAAAGCACATGACAACACAAGGAGTATCCTCCATCACACTTCAAAAAGTAAAAATGGAGCTCTCAACCCATTTTCCTCTCTGCTTAGAAACTTTTTTTGTTATGTCAGGTCCTCAGAACCTTGAGCCAGGCAATATTAAAAAGCCTTGTGGTTTATTCCTAAAATCTGGTCATTGATTATTGTCAATGCATTATTCTCAACCACTGGGTCCAACTTCCTAGCTGAAGATGAAGTTTTCCCAACTGACAGTGGAGAGAAATAATAGAATATCAAAGAGCTACCATGTCCCATGATTTGAAAATAGAAACTCTTGGCCTTTGACACAGTAGCTGTTTAATTAAAGGGTGGTGGCAGGCAAAGGAAAGGAGAGATCTCTTATATGTTATATGCTTACTATAAGGCACATGCTTTATTGACAACCTTATATGAATTATCTCATTCAATACTCTCAACAAACCAGTGTAATTGTTATTCTAGTTTATAGATAAGCATACTAATATCTGGAAAAGTTAATTACCTATATATAAGTTATAATGACTTCAACTGCAAGTAGGAGAATATATAGCTGAGAATTTTTTTTTTTAATTATACTTTAAGTTTTGGGTACATGTGCAGAACATGCTGGTTTGTTACATAGGTATACAAGTGCCATGGTGGTTTGCTGCACTCATCAACCCGTCACCTACATTAGGTATTTCTCCTAATGCTATCCCTCCCTTAGCCACTCACCCCCCAACAGGCCCCGGTGTGTGATGTTCCCCTCCCTGTGTCCATGTGTTCTCATTATTCAACTCCCACTTATGAGTGAGAACATGTGGTGTTTGGTTTTCTGTACCTGTGTTAGTTTGCTGAGAATGATGGTTTCCAGCTTCATCCATGTCCCTGCAAATGACATGAACTCATCCCTTTTTCATGGCTGCATAGTATTCCATGGTGTATATGTGCCACATTTTCTTTACCCAGTCTATTGCTGATGGACATTTGGGTTGCTTCCAAGTCTTTGCTATTGTGAATAGTGCCACACTAAACATACGTGTGCATGTGTCTTTATAGTAGAATGATTTATAATCCTTGGGGTATACACCCAGTAATGAGATTGCTGGCTCAAATGGTATTTCTAGTTCTAGATCCTTGAGGAATCACCACACTGTCTTCCACAACGGTTGAACTAATTTACACTCTCACCAACAGTGTAAAAGCATTCCTATTTCTTCACATCCTCTCCAGCATCTGTTTTTTCCTGACTTTTTGTTAAAGCAAGACTCTGTAAATTTTTTTTGGAAAGGGCCAGATAGTACACATTTTAGACTCGGGACTGGGGGCTGTGGGTGTAAGGTCTCTGTAAAGCTAACCTAACTCTGGCATTGTAGCATAAACATATCCATAGATAATATGTAAACAAAAGATGTGGCCATGTTCTAATAAAACTTTATTTATAAGAGCAGACATTGTGCTGGGTTTGGCCCTTCGGTTGCAGTTTGCCAAACATTGGCTTTAAGCAATGCTTCTTAAACTATCTGCAACAAATACCAGTTAATTTTTCCTCTAATTTCCAATATATCATAGATTGATACTTTCATAAACTATAATAAAATGAATTCATAGAAAATGAAACAAAGAAAATATTTACATTCATTTTAAAAAAATTTTTAGAATCAATAGCCATAATATTACCCATCATATTGCTAGAAAAGTTCATAAACAATTATGATTTCTGTGCTTCACTCAATGTGGACCAGTAACAAATGCTTCATGGAATCACACCATGCTATGATTGATACTCTGAGTAGCTATGCTTTAAGGATCAGAATATTTCTCACTGAACAATAAACCCTCGAGGTGGGCAGTTCTGAATGTTTAGCCATGTTCTCAAGGACCCAGTCTTCTTTCATCTCTCCATTTTGTGATGCTCCACATTCGTCTCTCTTCCAGGTTCAAGATGGGGGGCCCCTGTTATTGCATCTTCACACATGATGTCCAAAGCAGGAAGACAGGAAGAGAAGCAAAAAGGGATTTCTTCTTTGGCTACTATCTCTTTTATTGAGCAGGATAAACCTGCCTCAGCAGACTGCTCCTATGTTTCACTGACTGTGAGTCACATGATTCATACCTACACAAGTCACTAGGAAAGAGCAGTAGAGATGCCACAGTTGCCTTAGCCTGGCTGGATTTGTTCCCTCAGGCTGGACCCAGAACCACCTGATAAAACTCAGGATTTAACAAACTAAGAAGGATGCCAGCTCCAGGAATGGGCTTAAGGAAACCTATCTATTTGCTTAAGGATTGAGCTTGCCGTCCTGATCCAGCCAACTCACCAACTGTGCTCCTTCCATTCCAGTATTCTCTCCCAGGAAAAAATTTTTCTTCTACTATGGTTCTGGCTTTGTGATCTGTGTACATTTAATCATTCGTGCAGAGCTTTAAAATTTATAGTGTGCTTCCATGTGTATTATAAAATTTGAATGTTAATTTTACAACGTGTTTGTACCAATTTTATCGCAGAGGACAGAATTTAGGCCTAGGGATGATGTCTAAAATCATGCCACAAGATGTGGTAACATCAGAACCCTGGCTCAGGGCTTCTGACACTTTTCAGTGAGTTCTTCTTGAGGTATTTGGCGCCATTTGCTCTGTACTGATCAGAGCATCAAAATCAGCAGGATCAAAACAACAGCCAGCCAATCTAGGCAAAATCATTGTACAGACAATCATTGGTGTGAACTGACTGATCGTGCCAATAGAATTGACCCTCTTGATTGTATGGATATGGACATTCTCATGTAGGTAGCCAAGTGTCCTGGTGTACTTGGGACTGAGGGGCTTCCCAGAATGTGGGACTTCCAGGTTTCAAACCAGAACGGTCCCAGTTTTCAATTTTAGAACAGGAGAAGTCCCAAGAAAACCAGGGCAAGTTGGTCCCCTTAGTCTCAGCCTCTATCTGCTACCAAACTGTGCTTTCCTGCATTCTTTGCCCTACGAAGTTCACAAGCTCCCAGTTTTCTTAGCAAACCAACAATGTGTCTACTTTTGTTTTGTAAATGACTTTTTCACATTTAAAATATCTAAATTAAGAGAGCCACAGGTATATGTTAGATATTCTTTGCTTCTTCCACAGTTGAGAATTTCCATGGGAAATTAGTAGAAATAGTTTTCCTTGGTTGTGAGGAAATGCATGCAGGAAGACCTTGTAAATTTTATTTCTTTTCTTTTTCTGCTACCAAGCCCAATGCAGGCACTTGGCAGCCAATGTCAGCAGTTAACCAGTTGAGTTGAATATATTTAAAGATGTTCCATCCCCTCCACTGGTTCTCTATAGCTGGTCTTGGACAGTCTGTTAGAAATCATCTAGGACTCTTTAAAAATAAAAACTGCCTGGGCTCTCCCCTGGGCCTATATTGGGCAGGAGGTGGGTAGGTAAGGGAATATGGAATGGGTTTGGGGCCCAGGGACTTGCGCTTTTCACAAAGTTCCCCATGTAATTCCTGACATGCTGCCAGCTTCACAAGCAACTGGCTAGAATCTGTCATTCAACCTTTTTGAGTGACAACTGAAATTGTAATTATGCTGTTAAAAGAGAACCGTATAAAATTGCACAATCGCTTGTCTTTGTCTTTCTTCCCTTCTCTCCCTTTTTCTCCCTTTCTTTTCCTTTTCTTTAGTGGGATCATTCATAAGAACATTGGGGGCAATTTTGGGACATGTTCATGAAAGGAAACTTATAGATATTTAAAGTGAATTTAAACATGCCTTCTAAAAACTCAGAAAGCTACTTGCTACTTAATGTCTGTAGAGACATAAGGCTTGAACAAAATCTCAGAATAAAGAGATCTCTGGGTTCATCCCCAGCAAGGGGACATCTCTGGCTGTGTTATTTACCTGCTGTTATCTGTTACTGTCCTCCAGTCTACCCCGTCTCCATGGTCTACACCCACGTGAGAATCAGTGGACAGAAAGAGATTTGATTTACACTGCTCATTAGGCTACCAGAGCCTCTTGGCTGAGCCAGGCGACCGAGATGAAAATTAGTGACAAATCACAGCCCTGCTTCCTATAATGTGACAAAAGCAAGCCCCATAGCAGTAAAGGTTCTCATTAGGGCCCCTTTAAATGCTCAGACTGATTCTATTTTTTAAGTCACCAGAATAGTTAATACAACGTGTGGGACAACACGATTTCCATTGGGGCGCAATCAAAAAGAAAGCTACTTTCCATACTTTCTTTAATCTCTCTCCTCACATCAACCTGAAGCAGAGCGGAGGTACCCCTGGGATTCTTGCTCATCAGCCCTGCCTCCTACAAAAGGGAGATTTTTGCCTAGACAGCTCCAAAGAGTCTCGATTCAAAGGTAAAACAATTAGTACACATTAATCATCACAAGGATGGTACTAAAAGCATAATCCTCTTAGAACTGGAACAAATTAAATCCAAAGTAGCAACATAAAATCAAGCAGAAAAAACCACCAAGTGAAGGAAGCTGAGAGGACCCTGCTCTGATGCTCCAATTCCCATTGCCTAAGAGGGTGCCCAAGCATCCCTCATCTTTGGTCTTTTCACAAAAACTACACTGCCTTCTTCAGCTGCCTGTAAAACTCAAAAGCTCTTTGTGCTGGGGCCATGTAACCACCTCCTCAGAAATCGTGAAGTTCTGTGAACACCTACGAGTTGGAATTCCACAGGATGGGATCTGATTGATTTTCTAAAAGTGGACAGTTGCTCACAGAACCTGGAATAAACCCACCAAGGACTTGTATGGGAGGAGAAAAAAAAAAACAAAAAACCTTCTTTTTCTGCAAAGGAGAATCTGCTTAAACTTCTAAATGAGGCCTGGACTACGTTTGATTTTGACAAGGAATGGGTGCTCCCTTCGTACCCCACCTGATGACCCCTGCCTCCTTTTGTTAGTGTTTTTCTGAGCTTCAGTCTGTGAGGCTGGGAAGAAAAGCCACGTAATGAAATAAGTAGTGCTGCCAACACCCTCTGTAACAACTGCCAGGCATGTGGGATGGGCCCATCAATAAGAAAGATACAATATTATCTTGAGGCCAATGATGAATGTTTGAAATCCAGGAAGGACAAAGGTATCCTTCTCACTTTGTCTTGGGGTGTCTTTCAAGAGACTCTGGATGTTCTCTTGATTTCTTTCCCTCCTTCCTTTTCACATTTTCCCAGGTTCCCAGCTATATACTATAGTTTTCCTTGTTCTAGAAACAGTCTCATTTCAAGTATACACCTTTCTTCGTGGAAATAACCAGGCTCTTTTTCTCTGAATCTTCAGGGTGTCAGAGTAACAATGGGGCACCAACAAACTCATGAACTTCTCTCTTGTTCTCACATAGCCTAACTGATGCACTGTTATGTGAGAAGACCTCCTTCCCACCAGAAGTGAGAGAGGGAGGGTCAGAGGAAATTAAGAGAACACAGAGCCCATCTTGCCACCAAAGGAACATGGAACTTGCTATGTTATTTGCACACTAAAAGAGAATTATAAAAGATAGGACCATGCTTAAAACAAGGAATTACTGGTGGACTTTCATGTCAGTGTGGGAAATATTGGAGATAAATGTATCTTCCCAGAACCCATACATCCTGCTTATAAAATTGGAACCTCTTCAGATATAATCAGATTCCTTACTATGAGAGTAACCCAATTTACAAATCCAGTTCCTGTAATTTATGTTGAAGCTATTAATATTTACTTGCCCAGAATTTTTAACTATCCATTTTTTTTCTCATCTTTCTCCACTTTCCTCCTCTCAGTATACAACCACTGGAAACGAATTACATAATGCTAGGAAAAAGGCCAAGGAGTCATTGGCCTGAGTTGAGACTCATCCTTGCAAACACCCCAGAGTTCTCCTATCTCAGTGCTGTTTGTCTGTAGGATGGATTAGGGAGGTGTTCGTTTATCCACCCACGGCAGAGTGCAGGTTATGTGATTGTGAACCTTGTGACATTTCCAAGATGGAACATATTCAGCTTTTGATGAGATTATTAGCTTTCCCCTTGTCCGAGTCTAACAAATGAAAACCAGATTTGCATGTATAAATAACAATCAAGCGCTGAAATGATTTACTTAGTAAAGTTACTGTTTTGGAAACTAAATCGATGTGTCATGTCAAGATCTGATCTGCCCTCCACTCACATGGCAAAGGAGACTTCTCCAGGGTCTACTAGAAAAAAAAAGTTGGAATCCTATTAATAGTTTACTCTTGTCACGTGAGAATTACAGTGGAGTTTAGCTATGAGAATAAAAGCTCAAAATAATGTTTCTGAAAACATCCTGATAGTAGCATGTGCTATTTCTTATTGTATTCAAGACACACATGAATAACTCTCCCCCAGAAGGAAAGGAAACAAAGCAAAGGGCAACATATTTTCCCACTGTGTAAATTTCCTTCCTTAAGTAGAAATAGTTAGAATTGGAAGGCAAATCCTATGGTCATTACATTTCAGAATGCGGACATGATGACAGCTTCAAAGGTGTGTCGGGCTACACTTGTGCGTGCTCTTTTTAAAAAAGACAATAGGCATTGAAAATTAAGCACTGCATCAAAGCCTTCCAATTCTATTGAGACGAGTCTATAAAAAACTAAGGGATGCAGGGATATTTCTGTGTAAATTACGTGGAGGGTTCAGTGTATGGGAATCATGGTCTAGAATGCTCCAGAGACCACATACAATTCTGCGTCTGAGTGGTATTGTCAGAGATGATGACTACGGCTAGTATGGAATCATCTGCAGTTAATTCTAGTCACTGTCCTGGCATCAAATCAAGGCTTTTAGTTTGAATTAACTCTCTAAATGTTCAGAGACCTCACTGTAAAGCCACTAAATATAAAATGAACTGGAATAGTTGATAGTACTGAACTGGAGCCCGTTTAGAGTCCAAAGACCAGAGGGCAGAGTAAAATGGGAAAAGATCAATCATTTAGACCAAATCCCAGTTCTTTTCTTTACCAGCTGAACGGCTTTGAGATAAATAGTCTAATTTTTTTAAGCCCCAGTTTCTTCATTTGCAAAATGGAAACAGTAATATCTAACTTGCAAGGGTATTGAGAACTTCAGAGAAACTGCAAGTGAAGTTCTGGGCACATTGTAGACACTCAATAACTAGTATTATTTTATTTACTTACTCAACTTATTTATTTATTATAGCATTCAATGCACCTCTCTATACTTAAAAGTCCTAACCTGGGGGCCTAAAGATATATGGGATCTAAATCCAAACCCCTCTACTGAAATTGTGTGCAAAGGCCTGGGCATAGGGACATTTTCTTGAAGATGAGTGTTCATAATTTTGTAATATTCTACAAGGGTCCATGATCAAAAGAAAGGTTAAAAGCCACTACTTTCCGATTTGGCTTCACCTATGTGTTGACCTCACAGCATGGAATGAAAACAAAAATATTTGTACTTCCTGATTCTTTCCCTCAGTTGTATGTATGCTGCGCCCAGTTGTTCTGTCTCCAATGTAAAGAAAAGTTCTGCGTATATATGGATACGTGGGTGTTCACATGGACATGCATGCTTGTGGGTTTAGGGGATGTTCATTTTATAATGAGCCACAAGTTTGCTGAGAAAGGGCAGAACAATTGTGGGACCAAAGTTGATGACAGATGTGACTGTGGGGAGGAGCCTGGGATACCGTGGGAAGAACACCAAGGGATGAGGCGGAAGGGACTTGGAGGGGAACAGAGTGGGGTAAAGCTAAGAGCCCTTAAGGGTTCATTTTGCCTGAGTACTCGGTGAACACAGAACCTGAGCGGACTTGTGGGAGGGTTGGTACTGGGAGCAGGTGACTGAGTGGCAGGAATGGAGAGGGAGTATGTGGGGAATCAGCAGGAAAGAATGTGTTCTTTCACTAAAGGAGTCACCATGACATGTTCTGGAAGAGAAAATAAATGCTGAAGTTAGAGGCAAATCTTACACATTAGATAAAAGAAGTCTTCATCCAGTAGGCAAAAGACTCACAGAGATTTAGGAAGAAACAAGAAAAAAATCTTGAATGTGTTGCTTCCTATTTCAGCTGGCTTTCCTTGGTCCAAATGCCAGTAGTTTCACTCTCTTTAGGGCCTTGCTTGGCTTAGGGCACAGTGGTGAGGCAGGCTTATGTGACACTAGAGGATAAACACGTCATACTGGGTGGCAGATGAAGTCAACAACTGGAGTTTAAAATATATGTATGTGGCCGGGCGTAGTGGTTCACGCCTGTAATCCCAGCACTTTGAGAGGCCAAGGCGGGTGGATCACGAGGTCAGGAGATCAAGACCATCCTGGCTAACACGGCGAAACCCCGTCTCTACTAAAAATACAAAAAAATTAGCTGGGCATGGTGGCGGGCACCTGTAGTCCCAGCTACTCGGGAGGCTGAGATAGGAGAATGGCGTGAACCCGGGAGGTGGAGCTTGCAGTGAGCCGATATTGCGCCCCTGCACTCCAGCCTGGGTGACAGAGTGAGACTCCATCTCAAAAAAATATATATGTATGTGTATATATATATATATATATATGTGTGTGTGTGTGTATATATATATTTGTGTATATATATATGTGTGTGTGTATATATATGTGTATATATATGTGTATATATGTGTGTATATATATGTGTATATATGTGTATATATATGTGTATATATGTGTATATATGTGTGTATATATATGTGTATATATGTGTATATATATGTGTATATATATGTGTGTATATATATATATGTATGCATGCATACGTGTGTGTATGTGATTTACTCAAGTTCTTGATCAAACTTGTTGAATCCCTCCCTCCCCAAGATATAGATATATATGTACTTATATGCATATATAAAACTAGCAGCAGACATGCTTTCATGTTTACTGTTTTCTAGACACTGTGCTAAGAGATTTTTTTTTAATTCCACTTAACCTTTAAAACTACCTTATGAATAGGCATTATTATTGGTTCCCATTTACAGATGAGAAAACTGAGGCTTACTCAGGGGAAGTAATTTTGCCATGATCACATGCATAGTAAATTATTATGCTGGGACTTTAACTAAAAAAGTTTGATGTTAGAACCTGCAATATAAACCGACACTTTCTATATATTCCTGGGGAAGTTGGAGCCAACTTACAAAATGCTAGGGCAAAAATTTAAGCAGCAGCAGAAGGGAAAGGAACTCAGATTTGAGGCTAAAGACTGATCCTGAGTCTCATGGCACCATTTCATAATATGCCCAAAGTGGATGTATGACATTTTAACCCTGGACAGTACTCTGCCATGTTTTATTATTTCTCTGTACACCAGGCAGAGGAACTCCAAACAGAGAGGAGAGGTCAGCTTCAGAAATAAAACTATTGAGAGTGCTTTTATTTTTTTCTACACTAGTCCCACAGGTCTAAGAAAGTCAAGGACTTGATATTTACCATTCATTGGCTCTACACAAATGGGGATCTGCACTCAGAAGCCACAGAAAAAGAAGAAAATGCAGTTCACCACCTCCCAGCAGTCCTGGTGGTGTAGGAGGATGCGCCGAGGCCAATCTTTGATGGCTGCTGGTTACTTCCTCATGAGCAGTGTTAGGCTGGGGACAGCAGGCCGGAAAGGAGTGCTTGGAGAGTGTCTTGACCTTCACAGATGTCTTGCAAAAGGAAGTCAGTATATTGCGTATCTCTGAAGATGAGAATTTTGGTGAAGTTTCTGAAAGGTCACAGAGCTTCCGAATGCCCAACAGTTTGTCCAGTATTACACACTCTTCTGCCTCTCTTGCTTGTATCCCCTTTCTTCTCTCTAACCCCTGCAGTTTGCTCCTCCCCCCATATTGCTTCTCTTTCTTTCTCTCCTTTTTAGTGATCGAATGGCACACATCTGTGAATAGACAGCCACATCTCTGCTGCCAGAATACAGCTGCTGAGGTGTTTGGGGCTTACTTGGAGAAATGAGGACATTGATCTGGGTGAATGGTAGTAGCTGTACACATACAAAGTACTGTTCACTTCTTTGCTAAGGTTTTATGTACACTCTGAGGATATCAGAGAATTCGGAGAAAATCCATGGCACAGATTGGATGCATAATACATGTACGTACTTGATTTGTGTGTTTATGTACACTTATTTTCTGGCCAGCATATATTCTCCATCATTCCTAAGCGCAGGAATTTCTGGAAATACTCGTGCCTGTCATTTCTATCACTGTGTTCCCAGCTCCTAAAACAATACCTATCATACTGTTTCTAGGGAGGTGGACTTTGGCATGCCATAGGTCCTAAAGAAGTGTGGCCCAAAGCTAAGTTTTCCCTTGAGGATCTCACTAGGGCAATGGATGCTGGGAAAGGATGAGGCCAAATGTCATTCCTGCTCTTTAGTGTCTCAGATTTACACTGGGTGACACTACTTTTCCTTAGTTCATCAGGATCTCCTCACTAGGACCTCCCAACTTAACTTCTGCTATACAATGAAATCTTATTCGTGTGCCCACCACACCTTCTATGCTAGGAAATATCTCTGCATTAACAAAAACTTTACCAATGCAGTGCTTTAGTCCATAAGAGATGCCTTAAGAGCAGACACTGTGGAACACAGAGCAAACCAACAGGGGAGAGAGCTGGAGGTAGGGGATTATATTCTGTTCTTACACAAATTCCCTCATTTTGATATTGCCTTGCTTTATTGTCGCCCAAAGGAAGTCATTTCCTCAGTCTCTGTGGTGATACTTCCTTTACTGGAGGAAGAAAATGACCCACAGGGCAAGAATCAGGTCAGCCTAATTGAAAGAAATAAGATTCTTAAAGAAAACCCTTAAGATCCTTCCCTTCTTCTCCCTACCACCATTTGAAATCAGCATTCTTAGTAGCTTCAGTTTTGAAGAGTTCTAACTCCCTTGTGATGTTTTATGAGGAAAAGCAATTCCACTTGGGGAAGAAAAAGGCATTGCAGCTAGCATATTTGAGGACTATATTTTATTTATTATTTTCTTAAAAACATATATTTTCACACATTTTTTGCTGAAGTTATGTTTATGTGTATCAGCCCTTAGATAAAATGTGTGTACAACATAAATTAGTGAAATTCCCCACATGCAGGGTGGCAATTAATGATGTGTGAAATTTATTGCAAGTATTTTTCCCTTGCATAATGCCTGCATCTAGAGTATTACCAGTTTCTTTATGTATATATCATGCTGGATGTCCTCTTATGTGGCTCTGAAAGAAACATTGGCCTAAGAGCTCTGAAGTTTCATCCTGGCTTTGTCTCAAACTTTCCTTAGGGTCTTGGGCAAGTCAATTAAGTTTTCAGAACCTTGGTTTCTGAAAATTATACTATTTATAATTAGTTTTTAAAGTTATACTAATATAATTTAGGGAGTAAAAGCTCTGGAGCTTGACAGTCTTGGGTTCCAGATAGACTCTTAGAAGCAACATGATTTCGTGAAACTCATTTAACCTCCCAATACCTGTGTAAAGTGGAGATAATTATAGCACCTATCTTATAAGTTTACATGTTAAGAGACATAATCTGTAGATTCCAACTTCAAAGTTGGCTAATCAGACATGGCAGGCCAAAATTCCCATTGCACTAACCAAGCAAAAAGGATAAACTACAAAAATCAACTTTTAAAGCAAAGAAGGGCTATAGAAACAAACAAAGAACTAGACTAACTAAAACTTCAGATTTTCTTTGTAGAAAATCTAATGGTCACTGGAAGCTTTCTTAACTGGAGGCATTTGCAATTTCTGGGTGTATTCATTTGGTTTGCACTGTTATAAAGGAATACCTGAGGCTGGGTAACTTATAATTGAAAGAGGCTTATTTGGCTCATAGTTTTACAGACTATAAAAGAAGAATGGCACCAGCATCTGCTTCTGGTTAGGGCTGCAGGAAGCTTCCAGCCATGGTGAAAGGGGCAGGGGAGCTGATATTATATGGTGAGAGAGAGAACAAGAGAGAGAGAAAGGAGGTGCCATGCTCTTTTGAACAACTAGCTCTCATATTAACTAATAAAATGAGAACTCACTCTTTACCATAGGGACAGTATCTAAGCCATTCATGAGGGATCCTCTCCCATGACCCAAACACTTCCCATTAGTTTCCACCTCCAAAACTGGGGAAGAAATTTTAACATGAAATTTGGAGGGGACAAATATCAAAGCTGTATCACTGGGAGTGACCTAAGAACTGAACTTAAACAAAATTGAGGGATTTTATAAAGGAAAAACAAGTCAGCAGTTTTTTGGCAGTCAAAATCTGGAATGATAAACTGGAAAATAGAGGAGCTCAAATACAAGGGAAATTTGCTGAATTCCAGGAAGGCGTGAGAGACTGGGGCCTGGGAAAGAAAGGAAAAGTGAAAACTCCTGCTGTCTCGTGGGGATTATAGTGTGACCGATTGTATTAGTTTACCTGGGGCTTAGGGAGTTCCCAGAATGTGGGTCTTTTGGTTTTAACGCCAACAGAGTTCCAGGAAAACCGTCATGAATTGGTCACCCTAGGGACTTAGGAGAAAAAGATCTCATTAGAGGGAGGGGACTCTACAAAACGTACACAACCAATAACTTGCATAATATGTGAAGGTAAAGAACTCAATTCGAAATCTAGAAAGGTTAGCACTTTTAGAGTTGAAGAAATTGAGACCTCAAGGCTCCCAGTCAAAAGCCTAGGAGGGTCACATTTGAGGAACCAAAGATGGAATAAATCTTACTAAAACTTCAACCCAATCCAAACCCAACTAATCCCTTATAGGATTATAGGGATTTGTTTATCCCTGTGTCTGTCTAAAAAATGGAAAGGGGAACCCCTATTGGTAGGAAATACCATATGAAGACCTTATAGTTCTTATTCTAAATGTCCAGAATAGAATAAAAATTGCTAGACACAAAATAGGCAAAGAAACAGCAATAAAATCTAGGCAATAAAAATCTAGCAATAAAAAATAGGCAAAGAAACAGCAAGAAAAAAAATCTAGTAGAAACAGACCTGCAGATAATCCAGATATTGAAGTTTGCAAATGAGGAGTTTGAAATAACTATGGTTAATATGCTAAGGAAAATAGAGGTGAAAATTGACAAGATAGATTTAAGAGATGAAAATTTTTAGAATTTCAACCAAGAGTTGTAGTATATAAAGACAATCAAATGAACATTCTAGAACTTCAAATACAATTTTCAAACAGGACTATGGATGTAACAGAAGGCATAATTATTAAACTCAAAGACTGGCCAATGAATAATATCCACAAAGCACAAAGAGAAGAAAGAATGAAAGGAATAAAAGGGAGTATAAGGGTATAAGAGCCATATGAAAAACAATAAAAAGGTTTAATACCTATAGTTGGTGTTACACTAGGAAAAAGGATGGTGAGGCAGACACAAACATATAAATACATAATGGTCAAGAATTTTCCAAAATTTATGAAAGCCATTACACACAGATTCAAGAAGCTCAATGAATCTCTAGTAAGATTAAAAAATAAATTAAATAGGCACATCTTATTCAAGCAGTTAGAAAACAAAGAACAAGGAAAACAATCTTAAAAACAGCCAGAAGAAAAAGATACATTACCTTCAAAGAAGAAATAATTAGACTAACAACTAACTATTCGTTAGCAATTATTAAGGCCAGAAAACAATGGAATTATATCATTAAAGTGCTTATGGGAAAAAAATTACTAATCTATAATTCTGTACTCAGTAAAAATATTTTTCAAGAATTAATGTGAAATAAAGAACTTTTGGACAAACAAAATATGGGATAATTTATTACAAGCAAATAGACATTCTAAGAAATAATCTACAGGAAATTCTTCAGGCTGAAGGAAAATGAACCCAGGTGGAAGCAGGAAAAGATGAAGAATACCAGAAAGGATAAATAGATAGGAAAATATAAACAAATATTGCTGTTTAAGGAACAGTAATAGTGCTGTCTTGTACAGCCTATCACATAAGAGTGAAGAAAATATGTCAACAATAGCACAAAGGGTGGAGAGTAAAATAAAAGTGGTTAAACTCATAAGTGTCTTAAATAGACTGTTAAATTCAGGATTGCATACTGACGTATCTAGGGAAATTATTAAAAATAAAATACAAGAATGTACAGTTGAAACACTATTAAAGAACAAAATATTGAATAAAAGACATATGAGGCATCCAAAAGAATGCAGGAAAGCAGGAATAAGGAACAAAGAAATAAACAAAAAATAGATAACTAGAAAAGAGAAAGCCCCAGTGAGTATCAGTAAGTACAGTCAAGGTACATACCCTAGTAAGATTGTCAAGCTAACTTTTTGAAAAAGACCTAACTATATGTCATTTATAAGAGATAAAATTTGAATATAAGATGGTAGTTAAGTTGAAAGTAAAAGGATGAAATGAAGATGCATCACAAAATACAAACAAAGGAAAGTTGGAATGGCTATATGACTTAGTCCGTTTGTGATGCTATAATAAAATACCCGAGACTGGGTGATTCATAAAGAACAGAAATTTGTTATTTACAGTTCTGGAAGCTGGGAAGTTCAAGATCAAGCACCAGCATTTGGTACCTGGTAAGAGCCTCTTGCTACATCCTCCAAAGAGGCCAAATGCCATGTTCTCACATGGCAGAAGGGACAGAAGGGCATAAAAGAGAGAGTTTTCTCTGAAGCCTCTTTTTAAGGGCATTAATTTATTCATGAGAGTAGAGTCCTCACGAATTAATCATTTCCCAAAAAGTCTCAGCTCTTAATACCACCACAATGGGGATTTAGTTTAAACATGAATTTTGGGTTTCTGTTTGTTTGTTTTTTATTTTACTTTTTTTCGACTTTTAAAAAAATTGAAATAGAGTCTCACTTTGTTGTCCAGGCTGGAGTGCGGTGGCACAATCACAGCTCACTGGAGCCTTGACCTCCCGAGCTCAATCAATCCTCCCAAGTAGCTGGGATTACAGGCTCATGCTACCATGCTCAGCTAATTTTTTTTTCTTTTTTTTGTTGGTACAGACAGGGGTTTGCCATGCTGCCCAAACTCTTGGGCTCAAGTGATCCGCTGCCTCAGCCTCCCAAATTTTTCAACTTTTATTTTAGATTCAGGGGGTACATGTGCAGGTATGTTACCTGAGTATATTGTATGATGCTGAAATTTGGGGTATGAATGATCCCATCACTCAGGTACCGAGCATAGTAACCAATAGTTTTCAACCCTTTCTGCCCTTCTTCCCTCAGTGTAGTAGTCCCTGGTTTCTATTGTTGCCATCTTTATCAACATGAATTTTGGAGGGGACCCCCACATGCAAACCACAGAACTATATAGATAATGAACAAAATATCTTATTAGAATATAGTGATTATTCAATAAATTGTTAACTCAAATTGTTCTTAAGAGAATCTTATAAAAAATCTTAAAATCTAATGCTTTGGGATTCTATAATATTAACTTAGAGATGATTCTTAAATTTTTTTACTGTTTCTTTCAAGCTACCTTTCAGAATCTACCATAAAAACACCATGTTTTTTATTTCCTCAGGCAAATTTTTCAACAAATTATAAATATATTATATATATGTGTTTATATATAATATCTATTATATATGTATCTGAACATTTCAGATTGCATATATAACATAATATACATGTTATATATCTCAATTGAAATAAGAATATATTTGGACATTAAATATTTTCAATTTAAACTCCTTAAAATGTGCCCAGTGCACTTTAAGGAGAGTGTTGTGATGTACCAGCACATTTGAAATTCAGGCATTTGTGAAAACTTGGAATTTGGAGGTTTAATCCTTTAAATTGTTAAATCCTATGTCTGTGGGAATTGAAACTGTAAGGGAGTTTAGATCTCTGTAGGTATCCACTTATTTTGCAAGTGGCATATGTGCAGCCCACAAAGGGTAAGAAGGATAAAGCGTAGATCCTTGGCCTCCTGAATCATTGTCCAATATTCTTTTTACTTTGCTATCGTGAAGACCTTTCTTAAACACATTTAACAAGTGTTTTAAGAGCATTTACTATATGAAAGGCATTGAGCTGCTCATTGCATATACAATAAAGAAAGGCTCTGCCATCGATAGGTTTGCAGTCTAACAAAAAACATAAACCTCAAATTAAAAATGTATTATTTTATTAAACTTTTGATGAGTGCCACAGCATGTGATGTGTTCTTAGGAGAGTGGGATTCAGCCTGGTAGAGGCTTCATAGAAGGCATTCCTTCTGAAGGGGAATCAGAGTTAACCAGGAAATAAAGAGAAAGAAGAATATTTCAGGTGGAGAAGAGAAAGTTGGTGACCTGAGATGGGAAGGAGCTTGATGCTACAGGAGCTGATAGAAAGCCACTGTAGCTGGTGCCTGTGTGTTGGGGGACGGAGAGAGGGAGGGTGTCACAATGTGATCTGCAGCAAGACTAGATATTGAGGGGCCAGATTGTGAAAGATCTTATAGGGCTCACCTGCTAAGATTTTGGAAGTTGTTTGAGTATCACTAAAGAAAGGGAATAAAATGTTCAGATTTATATATATATGTGTGTGTGTGTGTGTATACATACACACACACATATATATTTACATATGAATATATATTTAAATATTTGTCAAGTTTATTTATCTATATTTATGTATATATTATTTATAAATATACTATTTAAATATTTAATATAAAAATATTGAAATATTTGTCATTTATACATAAATATATAAAAATTGGAACATTTCAGATTAATTTATATATAAAAATCAGAACATTTATATATGTAAAATATACTTATAAATATATAAATATATATTTCATGGAAGAAATAGTTATTAAAGGCTGGCAGAGTGATCTTCACACAGAGTGGAAGATGAAAGCTAAGAATATAATGTAAAACTCCAAAATGCAGCTTTTAATAAAGGAAAATATTAGAAATGTTTAGCATGTAGACAACAATCTAACCCACAGTGATAGTTTGCGAAGGTGTCAGTGTACTATGGGAACATGGAGGAGGTATTTAGGATTATATGAGTACTTTCCTTATCTTTTATTTGGTATAATTTTTAAGGCACCAATGTGTATAATTTGTAATAATTACCATCAAAAATAAATCGAGTAGATTTGATAAAGTGTCAAGTTGATTTGTATAAATATATAATCTGAAATATTCACATATATGAACATTTTTATAGATATGTAACCTGATTTTATACTTGTCTGTAAAATTTCATGAGGGCAGAGACAATATTTTTCTTGTTCAACATTGACTCCTCAAACTCTGGCACAGTGCCTGCATATAAACATTCAATAATTATTTGACAAAATAATGGATGATAAATGGATGGATGGATGTACAGATGGATGGATGGACAGATGGACGGATGGATGGATGGGCGGATGGATGGATGGGTGGATGGATAGATGGACGTATGGACGGATGGACGGATGAACGGACGGATAGATGGATGGATGGATGGATGGATGGATGGATGGATGGATGGATGGATGGATGGAAAGAATAATATGGAAAATGGGTTAGAGTAGGGTAAAGTAGAAGTAGGAGACCAGTTCAGAGGCAATGAATGCCCAGGGAAAGGTAATGGTGGCATGAAATAGGTGGTGCAGTGAAGATAAGGTGAATTATACAGATTTGAGAAATTCTAAAGAGGCAGACTTTACATAACCTGATAATGATTTCTAGTTTCTGTTATGAACACCTGGGTGGATGGAGGTGCCATTTATTTAACCTAGGAGGAGCAGGTATGGAGGGAGATCATAAAAGTCTCTCATTGACTTTTGTACTTCTCTGCAGAGAGTGAAGTGAACTCTCTAATCCCTCTTTGAAGCCTGAGGAGCTTACAGGGACAAAGTGTCATCATTGTGCTCAGTGGGAACATTGCCCTGGGCTGTAGATGAGAAGCAAAGGAGAACAATTTACAAATAAAATTGCAGTGTTATTTATTTATTTATTTATTTAAGTATAGGGTGACGGTCTTTGATATCAACTTGTTTACTTAACAAATTTGTCTTTTATTCTCATAAAGGACCATATTTCATGATTCTTAGATGAAAATATTTAACATCTCTGAAATTGGGATATGTCTTACAATTCACAATGCCTGCCTAAGACAAAGGTTTGCATGCAGGTAGCTTATTTGAGAATGGATTTCTAGGGCCAGGAGAGGGCAAGTGAACAAGAAGTGGGGAAAGGTAATGCAAGGTGATGTTATTGAATGGCCTAGCCTGTATGTGACTAGTAATTCACCCAGGACCTTCTGTGGAGAGTTTTATGAAATTTGGCTTAGAATCATCTGCTGTGAGGACATTGTCTACAGTTGGTTGTGGGTTGCTCCATGGAGCATGACCTCCCCACATCCTTAAGTTGCAGGTGTGTAAATGTCAAGGCTGCAGGCATTCTGCAGTGCAGTGTCAGAGAAATTCTGGGGCAGGAAGCAGTCAGAAGCAGGCCAAACACTACACAGAACTGTTGTAGGTGAAGTGGTGCACAAAGGATATGTGCAGTGTATGGTTTAACTGGCCATGCTTTTTCTTTCTTAATTCTACATACAATAATGGTATATCTTACATAACACCTTATATCTTATAGCTTCATAACACCTTAGATTTAATGGAGCAAAATGGACTGTTGACATTGCAAAGATGCATTTTGTTGAGATGAGATTTGAATAAGCAACATTAGTAAAACTAAATTAAGCCATTTTCCACAAGGCAGAGACTGCAATTCTTATTTCTTATTTCTCTTCACTGGAATTGTGTAGGTAAGTTTCCAAAACCAAGACTTTACCTCTACTATGGAAAATATTCTACCTGAAAATAACTAGTACAGTATTCCATCGTATACGCTGGTATAGGGGAGCATTTCTTTTCTTTAAAGAATTGAATCTTTATTTCAAATGAAATCTTTTTCAGAACTCTGTTACATAAAACAGATAAAAATGGAAATGCGCTGATTGAAGCAGAAATGGGGAGGGGGTGTTCCCAGGACCCCACAGCTCTGTTTTCTTATCTCCTGTGTAGGCTTCTCAGGCCTCTACATGGAGCCTTAGAGTTCCAACAATAGGGTTAAGAACATGTAATAGACAGGAGACTTGCTGCCTGCCCCCTGCCCCCAAGGCATTTACGTAGTGTCCATTCATTCTTGTTTTAAAAACAATTCTAACAAACTCAGTAATATGGTTTCCCAGCTTGTAACAGATTTAGAAGCAGTAATTTATATGGAATAAATAGCTATTAAAGGTTGGCGTCATGATCTTCACACAGAGTGGAAGCTGGAAGCTAAGAATATAACTGCAAAACTCCAAAGTGCAGCTTTTAAAAAAGGGTGGTATTCAGAAATATTTAGCATGTAGACAACAATTCGATCCACATCAGTAGTTTGCAAAGATGTCAGTGTACTATGGAACATGGAGGAAGTATTTAGGATTATATGAGTACTTCTCACATCTTTTATTTGGTATAATTTTTAAGGCATCAATGTGTATAATTTAGAATAATTATAAAAAATAAATCAAGTATATTTGATAAAGTATCATTTCAGTTACATGGAACATTTTTGTGAGTAGAATATTGTATTTCTCAAATTGTTGAATAAGCCATACATCCCTGTGTGTATCAGTATTCTTTTACCTCTAAGGGGTAGGAAATGCAAGTAAAACCTGTATATAGATGAAGAAAGTAGTTGAACATCAAGAAGCTTTAGCTAGGGTTTGATCCAGCAGCTTACTATGTTACCAAATACCTGATTTCTTTCTGCTTTCCATTTTCACTTTAGGCCTGGCCCCCTTCATGGCCACAGTATGACTTGTTGCTTTCTCATTCACATTCAGCAGGAATGGGGAGGAAGATAATGAGGAGAGAAAGGGGGAGAGAGAGAGAGAGAGAGAGAGGAGAGAAGTTGGTTCTCCTTCCTTAGTCATTAAGCAAAGATACTCTCTCTGATTGGACCAACATAGTTCATGTGTCCATCTCTGACACAATAACTGTACTATACTGTACTCTAGGGATGAGATTATATTAATCAATTTAGGCCAGTTAGGGCTTGACTATTAGCTGAAGATAGTGTTAATTCCCCCAGACCCCATAGTGATACACGTGGAGAAACAAATGTTCCTCCTGTTACCTGGGAGGGTAACAGACCATGTCCACAGCACTGTTTCTCAAGGTAAGTATTGATCAACTGGACTCTGAGCTCAGTGATATGAGGAATCATTTCTTTTTTTGTCTGTTGCTGTAGCCCCAGCATGAGCACAAGACCTATCATCAGAGGAGCCCAATCAATATTTATTTATTTATGAATGAACAATGGATTTTTTTTCTGTGCGGAGAAATACACAAATTTTTATTTCATTTTCGCACTTCTTGCTACTCCCTGGTTGCAGTTGTTGAGGAGCTATTTCTGGCTTGACAAGAAGCAGGAAGTATCAAGATCAGTCACTGAACAAAAAACATTTCCTCCTGAGGTTTTTAGCACTATTTCCAAAACAAAAGAGAATGAAATCAGTTGGAATAAGACAAGA
This sequence comes from Homo sapiens, assembly GCF_000001405.40. Classification (NCBI taxonomy): domain Eukaryota; kingdom Metazoa; phylum Chordata; class Mammalia; order Primates; family Hominidae; genus Homo; species Homo sapiens. Next base: position 158,513,789 of record NC_000005.10, read on the forward strand.
AGAAGTCAATCATTTATTTCCCGTGCTATGAATGTTAAAAAGAAGAACGAGGAGGAGAAACAGGAGGGGAGGGAATAGAGAGAGGGACAGGGAGAAGAAAAAAAATGGAAAGGAAGAAAGAAAAGAAGAAAGGAAGGGAGAAAGGAAAGAACATCAGGAGAGAGGGAGAGAAGGAAGGGAGAAAGAGAAGGAGAGAGGGAGGGAGGGAGGAAGAACATATAACTAGAATCTAGCTCCAGTGCAAAGGTACTTGGAAATAGTGGTTAGCCTATGACATCATTTGCTGAATGATAGTTCAGTGTGTGTGTGTGTGTGTATTTTCTGATAAACGTCAAGCCTAATTTGAGGCTTTAACATTGACCAAACAGCTATGAGAATGTGGATAGCAAGTTATAAATCACCCAGCCATTTGGGTGTGGATAAAAGTTCCAAGCCAAATACCTGAGTGTCCACTTCATAACGGGTATAATAAGGCTATTTGAAAGCATGACCTAGATCCCAAGCTATACTTTTTTTTAAGAGAACTCTGTGACGTGTTTATATGCACATATTGGAATTGTATCCAAGGGGAAAAAAAACAATTGACTTTCTGACTTTGTAGTCTTTCACTGACTTTTAAGGTATTTCATGAAATGAAGTAATAACTTCAAGATCAAGGACATTTTCCTTTGGGTCTTCATCAATTATTTCACTTTCTCTTGGCAAGGGCCTCCACCCACTTCTTCCAAAGTATCAACCACTGGGCTGATGCTGCACTGGAAAAAATTACTGTCCCTCTCTCTCTCTCTCTCTCTTCCTTTCTGGATGCATGTTCATGCCATTAAATTGTTTTAATCACTTCAACTTTTACTATAGTTTGGCAATAGGTATGTCACTGAATTGTATGTTTCCAGTTTAATGCATTCAGAATGCATTCAAGTAGCTTCCAATGCACTTACTCATTGCTATTCAAATGAGATAACCATATTTCAAAAAACAGAGCTCAGAGAGAGGGATGAGGTGACTAATGGGTTATAGGGGAAAACCATCTATCAAGACACACTGGAGACTGGACAGATGGTGAAGAAATACCCCCAAGTCCATTTCCCCAGCCCTGGAAGGCCCACTGATTTTATTTCCAGCAAACACACACCTTGGCTAGCTTCCCCTCACAAGCTTCTGGCTAATTTTTCCTATATTAAGATCTTAGAGAAGTAGGAAACTTACCTGTTTCTCACACCGAAGTTCATGAAAAAGCCAACCCCATAAGGAGCCAATCTTAGGAGCCCTAAGCAAGTGCTGCCAGTTACAGAGACAGCAGTGGCACAGCACTCATACATAGTGCTGGTTTTTAATGAGTGTTAGTAGGACTAGGACAAAGTGGAGTTTGGGGCAAACATTCAAAGTAAATAAAGTTTGTTCTCTTCACCCTACTTCTATTACTCATCTTTTAGGTCTCCAGGGCATCTTGTAACTCCATGAATGCCCAAGTTTCAGTGCTGAACTTCTCTCTTTCTTTGAGAAATTAAGAAATTGACGCAGCTTCAGGCCGGACATAGTGGCTCAAGCCTGTAATCCCAGCAATTTGGGGGGCCGAGGCAAGCAGATCACCTGAGGTCAGGAGTTCAAGACCAGCCTGGCCAAAATGGTGAAACCCTATCTCTACTAAAAATACAAAAAAAATCACCTGGCATGGTGGCGCATGCCTATAGTCCCAGCTACTTGGGAGGTTAAGGCAGGAGAATCACTTGAGCACAGGAGGTGGAGTTGCAGTGAGCCGAGATCGTGCCACTACACTCCAGCCTGGGCAACAGAGCAAGACTCTGTCTTAAAAAAAAAAAAAAAGAAAGAAAAAAGAAAAAAGAAAAAGAGAAGACATTGACCCAGCTTCTGAACTTCCAAGCCCTTCTTTTATATCAAGTGACCAGGATGATACCAATTTCTTGAGAATGATGTTGGACTTACACTAGACGATATGCATAAAAAACCTTGTAGAACCAGGCACATGTTAGGTGTGTTTCCTCCTCCACATTCTTTCTACCTTGGCCTTTCTTACAAGTTCCAGGGAGCTAACAGTGAGCTTCAAGGCAGAAAAGACTACCCCGTGACCAGATGTCTGGGACCTGAAACTTTAAAGTAGCCTATCAGGCAATTTGGCAATTTTTGTCAAATCCTAAGTGTGAGTCATCCAAAACAATACCGTTTCTAGAAATTTACCCTAAAGAGACATTCACCTAAGTATACAAGATGTGCACAGAAGGATGAACATCACGTCATTGCTAATAATGACAAAGAATTGCAAACTACTGAAACAACTATCAAAAGGGTACTGGCTAAACATGGTATATCCATACAGTGAAATAGGATACAAGTATTTTTAAATGATGTGACAATTCTATTTTTATTGATATTAAAATTTGTTGATGTGATATTCTAAAATAAAAAGAGGTTTACAAATCAGCACGTGTAGAGTGATTTCACATATGAATCTGTTTATCTACAGCTATACTCATTCATACAGCTCTGCAAAATCAGATGGCTACAGAGAGATATCTGAAGAATGTTAAATAGGATTTTAACATTGTTTTATCTCAGAGTAGTGGGGTCTGAAGATATAGTCTACTTTTTTTCTTTTACTTTTCTATGAAAAGTTTTCTATGTGAAAACAATTTTAAACAATAGGCTTATGCCATATTTATCCCAAAACATTAAAACTATCTTTCGACCTGTCCCCTGAAACGCTGAGCATGGATATTTCTACCCCAACTTGTACCTCATCTGTTCTCCACTGCTTATGATTACTTAAGGAGCTGTTTATCTTTCCATGAGACTGAAACCTCCTCTAAAATAAGGGTTGTATCTTTACCCCAGTCCACAGTGCCACACACCATTGCACTAACAGAAACTCAGTGAATGATTTCCACTTTGAAGTCTAGACCTCTGGTGATGTGGAAGCTGTTCCAAATTCTGACGTTGCCTGGCAGTGAAGCCATGGGGAACACCTGAGATGGCTCGTGCTAAAACATAAGTAGCATGATCTTGGAGATTCCTATTTTTCCTAATCTCATTATTCTGAAACCTAACTTGTTCAATGCCTACAAAGCAAATGAAATCAGAGGACACATAGATCAGATTTATAGACTCTAAAATGCTGCAAGAATGTAATGTGAGATTAAAAATGGAAAACTCAGTGCCAACAAAAATAATAGCGACCCAAATCAATAATGATCCTAATAAAAAGAAAGACAATTCTAGTGGGCTCTAAATAACTTCCTATTGCCCTTTGTCTTTCCCTGCCCTCACCTCTGAGCCTTAATTCCTTGTGGACTTAACACTGATACTCAGTTTGGGGATTAAAGCAGGACCTGACCTGGATTTGCTCCACATTGCCAATGCCCTAGATTGAAATGTTAAAGGACTTGGAATAAAAAAGTTGCATTTTCAGTAACGGCTTCATAGTGGCTGGGGAATTAATGTCAGCCAGGCAGTGATTTCCCAGTGGTTGGGTTTGTAGCAAAAGTCTTCAACTTTTATGTGTGGCCTGTTTGAAGTTGAAAATTGTTGTTAGACTCTCCAAAGTTGTTTGAGGTGTCACTCATCCTTCCCTTTTGTGTTGGGGTGAGGATGAGAAGCACAGCGGCTGGGAATAGTTCTGTGACTGCCACCCCCTGAGGCAGGTCCCTGCCAGGGCCCAATTGAGCCCATCTCCCAGGGTATTCAAAGCTTTCAGTGCAATGCAGCTCCGCATCTGTCTGTAGTCTTATCACCCACTACTCTTTTGCAGGAACTCTCCACTCCAGCAAGAGTGAGGAGCTCATGGCCCCATGAATGTGCTGTGCCAATGAGCATCTCTAGCATTTTTATTCAACATACGATTTGCCCTTTTAGGATATTGTGTTTCAGAGAGGCAGCAGCACAGGGAAATAATAATAATGATGATGATAGCATAGTAGCAATAATACCACAGCTAACATCTTACTTAGCACTGATTATAGGCCAAAAGCTGGACATAAGATTCTTTCATTTGGTTGTCTCAATAACCCCATCAGATAGATGCAAATACCTCCATTTTACATAGGACGCAATCGAGGCCCAGGAAGCTTAAAGGAGTTCACCAAGGTTATGCAGCCCATAAATCGGGGTTGGAATTCTTGTAGTGTGACTCTAGAACCTATACCTTTTGTTATTTTCTTCACCTAGGAATGTCTAGTCTTGGGAGCAGAAAGACCTGCCTTTTGGCTCTGTCTCCATCACGTACTGACTGTGTGACCTTGATCAAGTGTCTTTACCTTAAAATCAAGACTCCCTCATCTAAAGAATGTGGTAACACTGTTTTCCTTGAAGGATTGCTAGGAGAATCAGAGTTAATACATGCCAGGTGCCTAACCAATGAATGGTAGCCACGATATTTGTCCTTTATTCAATATCACCCTTTTTTCTTAGATCCTGCCCTATTGCCTCCTTAAAGCACCTCCTTTCTCATTTTTTTTTTTTTTTTTTGAGACCGAGTCTCACTCTGTTGCCCAGGCTGGAGTGCAGTGGCGCGATCTCAGCTCACTGCAAGCTCCACCTCCCGGGTTCACGCCATTCTCCTGCCTCAGCCTCCAGAGTAGCTGGGACTACAGGCGCCCGCCACCATGCCCAGATAATTTTTTGTATTTTTAGTAGAGAAGGGGTTTCACTGTGTTAGCCAGGATGGTCTCGATCTCCTGACCTCATGATCCACCTGCCTTGGCCTCCCAAAGTGCTGGGATTACAGGCGTGAACCACCGTGCCCGGCCACCTCCTTTCTCTTGACAGTGCCACTCATTAGAGGTTTTATGTTCATCCTCAAGGGAGACAAAAGAAGGCTATGAGGAGTCTAAAAATCTAAAGCTTAGGTGTTCCTCTGCTAGTAAACCTGGAAGAACCACACATCTCAATAACTGTGGGCCGGAGGAGGCTAGAAAATACTGGATCCACCCAGTAACTTCCAGTATAGGGTAGAGTAGCAATTCAATTCATGGGCTTGGAATTTAGAATTTAAATCCTGACTCTTCTATGCTCTGGGTGAAGCAAATAGCTGCTCCTGTAAGATAGCACACTCAATGCAATTTCCATGCCCTCCTGGTGCAACATCCACATCATAGAGGCTGGGAAACTAAAAATTGCATTGCCCAGGCTCCTTTGTACTTAGGACATCTCTACAAGACTTGGAGGCAGCCATGAGCATTGTGAGGTGACGGCTATGGGTAGGGAGAGAAGATCTTCATTGTAAAGGGGGCTCCTGTCCTCACATAGCTGTGGTTTCATTCCTAGTGCTCAGTCCCTAGTGTCAGAGGTGCTGTTGATGGGCAATGGAGGCAATAGGTGGTGGGCCTTTCTCCTTGATGTGTCCATATGTGGCCATGCAGTACCCAAACCCAGTTCTCTGGCCCTCTGAGAGCTTAAAAAAAATACCCCCAAAATCATTGTGAGATCTAAAGCATGATTCTCAGAAAATCATATGCAAGGGAAACCGGGAGGGGAAATGGTACGTAACTGAGCCTGTTCCAGGAGAAGGAACAGGGTTTGTGAAGTTTCATAGGGAGCAAAGAACATGCTTTACTTGAGGAACTGAGTGTGATGTTGTGGAGACTGTAAGGAAGGGATCGGGAGAGGACATAGGTAAACCAGATAGCAAATGACCTGGAAAATAGCCTAGAGGTGTTTCGAATTTATTGGGCTTCCCTCAACCTGTCACTTAAAAACCACCAGTCTGGCATACCTAATTTTCCTCACTCAAACCACCCTTTTGCCAGTGTACATAAGATGAATCCAACCAGACTGCAAGCTTCAGGGAGAAGGGGGAACATAAGCCCTACCTCTCAAGGGTACTGTCTTGCCTATGTAGCTTCTCCACAAATACTTGTCAATTGTACTTTGTGTTAAGCAAAGTTGAATGAAGCATGTACTTGTGCCTGGAATTTGTGGTGAAATAGCAAATCGCTTCTATTTGGATAAAGACCTCTGGGCCCCACCCAACATTCATACAGAGTTTGTTCTTTTGAACTAGCATGTGCCCTGAGCAATGAATGCTGTTTACAATGTGAAGGACTTATGGACAGGGTGGCTCTCTCTTTCGACCTTGTTTGTTCTTTTTCTTTCCTATTATGGCATTAATTATTTCCTAACCACAAGGCCTCTTTTTTTTTTAACTTAGAAATTATGCCATAAGTTTAAAAAAGTCATGGGCAGATCTTTTTTGGTTTGTTTACTTTTGTTTTGTATTTGAGTCCTAAGACTTTTGTTTCATAAGATGGTATTTCAGCATTCTAGAGAACACTCTTTAGCCCATTTGGGCATTTCTTTCTTTCTTATTTATTTATTTTTTTTTGAGACAGAATCTCACTCTGTTGCCCAGGCTGGAGTGTAGGGGTGCCATCTCGGCTCACTGCAAGCTCCACCTCCCGAGTTCACGCCATTCTCCTGCCTCTGCCTCCCAAGTAGCTGGGACTACAGGCGCCCACCAACATGTCCGGCTAATTTTTTGTATTTTTTAGTAAAGACAGGGTTTCACCGTGTTAGCCAGGATGGTCTCGATCTCCTGACCTCGTGATCCACCCACCTCAGCCTCCCAAAGTGCTGGGATTACAGGCGTGAGCCACCACGCCCGGCCCCATTTGGGCATTTCTGACAGCAGGTGTGGAGCTAGTATGGAATCACACTGGCTATTGCCCTGTGGACTTTTGGGGACATCCTGGAAGGACTTGGTAGGTTCCTGAGGAAGGATTGAGACTAGAATCAAGAGACGTTTAATGGCCACTCATCAGGAATCTATGTTGCCATTTCTTGGACTAAACAGTAAACTAAAACACTTGGATCTTCAATCGTGCGCTAGGGCTGGCTCAAACCAAATTACGAAAACCAGTAATTAAGTATTCAGGATTTCTTCAAGTCAGGTGTCAAACAATTGGTAGCTTGAAATCATCCACAGTGGGAGTATTTACACCATGGAACTCAAGAATGTTATAAATCAGGGCTTCTTCCTCCCTCCCTGCTTCCAGAGAGCTGGTTTATCAGCACATAACTGCATCTATCCTGTCTAAAAGAGTAGTGTTTTGTATATACAGATTTTTTTCAAAAGGCCTGCACTCAGAAGCACTGGGAGAAAATGTATGATGGTTTAAATTTCATGTGGATGAAACCCACGTGTATATGTTTCCTGGAGAATATATTCCATGATGGAGCATAGCACAGGGTCTGGCACCTAGTAGGTGTTCAATAGACATCTGTTGAATGGATGAAGTTCTGGTGGGTTGACAAGCATCCCTGCAGTAGCATCAGGGAAGCTCAAGCCAATCTCCTACAGGAGTCCTTCCTGAACCACTAACATTTGTAAGTAGCCACAAGACTCCTGTATGAATTATGAAAAGGATATAGAATTAAGCATAATGTCTAGAGTTGCTCTAGAAGCTGGGTTGTCACTCATATAATACTTACGTCACTTTACTTTAAAAAACTTACAACTCTATCCGTGTATTCAGCAACTATATTAAACTTTAAGCTCTGAGAACAGAATTTGTCTGATTTGCTGCTTTAACAAAGGAGGGACTCATAAAATTTTTTTTTTAATGAGTAAAAAATTTAAAATATGCATAATAATCCTGCGTGAAAGTGCAACCCTTTGTGTTTTTTTTCTTTTCCTTTTTTTTTTGGATGGAATCTTACTCTGTCGCCCAGGCTGGAGTGCAGTGGCGCGATCTCGGCTCGCTGCAAGCTCCGCCTCCCGGGTTCACGCCATTCTCCTGCCTCAGCCTCCAGAGTAGCTGGGACTACAGGCGCCCGCCACCTCACCCAGCTAATTTTTTGTATTTTTAGTAGAGACGGGGTTTCACCGTATTAGCCAGGATGGTCTCAATCTCCTGACCTCGTGATCCGCCCGCCTCGGCCTCCCAAAGAGCTGGGATTACAGGCGTGAGCCACCGCGCCCGGCCCCCTTTGTGTTTTCCAAAGTGTTTCGTGGGTATAGCCTTAATGATGCTCACAATATCCTTGTGAGTGGGCAGAATGCAACAATTATCCTTCCAAGCAGCTAATATAGCGCCTGACATGTTAGGGACACTAAACATTCATTGAATTAATTGTTAATTAATCATCCCCTTTCACAGATGAAGAAACAAGCTTTCAGAAGTTACCTGACATAGCTCAGTTTTCGTTAGTATCATTTCTATTTACACTGTGCTGCCTGTCTTCATAGTCCCTTAACTTTAAAAAATGTTTCATTGTGCACTCTCTCTATCACCATCACAGTTCTATCAGATAGGCAGGTATTTTTATTCATGCTTTAGGAGGTTGTAACACAATGGCACAGAAAGTTTTAGTAAGATGCTTGAGATTGCATAGGGATTTGAGGGTAAAGCTTGTATTACAATCTATGTTGCCTAAGGATTCTGAAGCTAGACTGTATATTGCATAAGATTGTATCATATTTTACTGACTCATTCCTTCAAGAAAGACAGATTGGTGAAAACAGGCTAACAAGAAGCGCTGTATCGTAGCACATTCAGAAAGAATTTCTAAATATCGTTATGAACCTTCCAAACTTATTTATTTCACTTGAAACATCTTAAAACATACTGATTATTAGATTTTCTGCTTTGCCACTTAAGTGTACTGAAGACTCAAATTGAAGTTTCAAATATAAAATTACAGGAAATTACCAACTTTCTGTTTTGTGAATGGAATTTTGATTTTTTTAAATAATCTGAGGAGGTGCTGATTTTCCATGAATATGGAAATTCCATGATTGTTCTTTCTCTAGGACTCTAACATTTCCAAATGGCCACAAGACCCCTGTATGAATTATGAAAACGACACAGAATTGAGCATGATGACTTTTGCATTTAGGTTGTAAAACAATATTATTCCCAACACAGAGCCTCATTTCCTATGAAAAGTTTGCTGCCAGTTTCCCACTTTTTCTGTGGACCGCATCACCACTCATTTCATTAAATCCACCAGAAACTCCTGGAAACATGCATGATGTCGGTTTTTTGGTTTTTTTTTTTTTTTTTAATGTGGGGGAAAAGAATTTTGGATGTGGGAGCTGGTTCACATTTCTAAAACATGTTTTTTCACTCTTGCTGTTCCCTTTTGACCTTCCTGAGGATGCATGTGGGTGTTAAATTGTTACCAAAGGGAGGGGCCCTTGTAACTACAACGAGATCCACACACACAAAGACACACTTTCCCACACACAGGACTTGGCTCGGTTGCACTTTCATGGAATGCTGAATGGAAAAGATGCAGGGTGTTTTTGATCTGCAAAAAAATTCAGCCAGTATAGTGGCCATCATTTTCTGTTTTAAAACAGCCAGATTAATATTTGGGTTGGAAGGCAATATGTGTGAGGGGAGAGGGTGTGGCTGGCAAATGTTTCCTCTCTCTTAAAAAAGTATAAACATGATATATTCTGTTTATAAACATTTAAATATTACAAAGAAATATGAAGTGAAAAGCAGAAGTTTCCCCTTTCTCCCATCTCATCTTACTCTTAAGAGTAACTATTATAAGGCTTATTCTTTGTTTTGAATTTTTTCTGTTTAATCAAGAATTGAGATTATATAATTTGTGTTATTTCTTTTGAAGAAAGTTTATCACAAAAATGTATCTTACATACATATCCTACAACCTCCTTTTTTTTTTTCATTTAAAAATGGATTCTGGGTAATTATTTCTGTCAGGGTAGACTTCCAGGACTTCACTTATTCTTTTTTTAAGGGCTGTATAGTGTTTCATTGCATTGGCAGTGCCTTTTTAAAAAACTGATTCTCTATTGGCGAGCATTCGGATGGCTTCCAAATGTTCACTATTACTCATAGTGTCACCTTGAACCTCCGTCTTTACACAGTGGGGTTGTATTGCTCTAAGCTTGATTGATGGCAGTGGAATTTTTAGAGGGAGCGTATTATTAACACTTGTAATTCCAGGGAGGAATATCTGTATTAAAAAAAGAATTTCCATTGATCAACACAAGCCAAGGCTCAGTTGTATGGAAGACAAGACCAGCGCCAAGATATACTCCTATTGTAGTATGCTTAATACTGGTTACTCATTAAAACCACTTTGAGGAGGGGAACTTTCTGAAAGAAATCAATGTCTATACACCACTCTGACAAATTACATCAGAATCTCTGGTACTGGGGCCCAAGTGTCTGTATATTTTTCTAAAGCTCCTTAAGCCAGATTGGGAGCCACTGTTCTGGTGAAAGTGCCTCCAACATAGCAATGAATGTGCCATTGTTCTATGTCTCTCTAAGCTCATATGTTTCATGGCCAAACATAGACAAGCATGTGTGTTTTATATAGTTAGAGTAATACATTTCTGGGATTTTTTCTTTCTTTTTTTTTTTCTTTTTACTTGGCTGTTTGGTACATTTGGCCTCAATTGCTATTAGATAGCCCAGAAACATAGTGTATGTTGTATACAGCTCTGCATACAAATAAGATCAGGAGAATGATCAAAGAGACAAATGGGAACTTTAATGGGGGAATGGTGAGAAGTCCTGGATGTGATTAAATGGAAGATAAAAGGGCCATTAAGCAACTGTGCAGAGTAATTTTCAGACTGAAAAATTGTAGACAGTCCTATATAAATAGAATCCATATAGGGCATTAACTACCAAGGTAAATGACCCTTCATCTTCTTCTCCTATATTTCTTCAATTCACAAAGTTTGGTTGGCAGATGATGCAAGGTATCTGAATATGTGCGATAGACAGAGGGTTGTCTTGTGCTGGCCAGGAGCTACCACCTTATAATACTATAGATTTTCAGTATACTCTACAATGTGCAAATTGCATTCATGTGCATTATTTTATGTGACCCTCACATCATACTTGCAATGTTGGCAGAGAATACAAGAGTACCTTTATTACACAGAAGAAATTGAGACTTGAAGAGAAGGAACGAGACCAAGATAATAGTGTTAGCACATGAGAAAGCTGGAAAAACATTCACTTCTAATCAATGCCCCTGTGGAATTAGCCCCTAAAGTTTCTGGCTCCTAGGTTGTGCTCTTTATGTTAATGTACAAATGTCAGCAGGGGCAAACCAGACAGAGTGGTGTGGACTGTGGCAATTAGAAAAGAACCTTGTGTATGCCTGGCACGGTGGCTCACTCCTGTAATCCCAGCAATTTGTGGGGCCGAGGCAGGTGAATCACCTCAGGTCAGGAGTTCAAGACCAGCCTGGCCAACATGATGAAATCCCAACTCTACTAAAAAAATACAAAAAGTTAGATGGACACGGTGGTGGGCGCCTGTAATCCCAGCTGCTCGGGAGGCTGAGGCAGCAGAATCGTTTGAACCCAAGAGGCAGAAGTTGCAGTGAGCCAAGATCACGCCACTGCACTCTAGCCTGGGCAACAAGAGCAAGATTCAGTCTCAAAAAGAAAAGAAAAGAACCCTATGCAAAGACACTGAAATTTTAAAAATTGTAAGTACAGTGTAAGAAAAAAAATTCTGTATATATAATATTATATTATATGTAAAATATAATGTATTATATTTTACATATAATATATTATATAATAAATATACATATATACGTATATATGTATATACGTATATATGTATAAACGTATATACGTATATATGTATATATATATGTATATACACATATGTATATATATACACATATATGTATATATACGTATATATATATATACATATATATATATCGGGCCAGATTCAGCAGAGAGGCTTTCAATGTGACCCCAATTTTAGAAAATCTAGATTTTGCATAGTAGAAAACTAGAGAAAGAATTTGCCTTAGAAGTTGATAGAAATATTTCATAAACTATTAAGAAGATATTGGAAGTATTTTAAGCATAGATGAATGTGTTCCAGAAGTAGAGACCTTCTAGAATCTTTTCGTGTTTCAAAAGTATATATTAAGACATTTATCTGTAATGCCACTTTCCTCCAATCTCCTCTTTGTTACAAGACCTTGACATTGCTAAGCACGGATTTGACAACCCCAGTAATTTTCAGGAACATAACTTCCATGGTGGTCCAGGGATTGCTATTTGTTGCCCAGAGAGAAAACACATTATGACCCATTTCCTCACGAGTTTGGATTGTTTTCCCAATTAGTCAGTAATCATCTTGCTGAGAATGTACAAGGCAGTGTGTTGGGATGGACCAGTAACTAGGGAATTTCTGAGCCAAAAGAATAGGAGAAAATTGATGTTGGAAACAGGAGGGCAAAATGAAGGCAGCAACACTAAAATTAAGGCAGAGAATGATGGACAGACCGTGGGCTCAGCTCAAGCCTTGAACTCTAAGTTTGAATCCTTTTAACCTTATACATTGAGAAAGTACTTTACATTTTTTCCTTAGCATTTTCTTCTGTTGATTTTCTCAACTATCTTGTGATTTCAGTGGGAAAGTCAATATTGGCTTAAATTTTTAGATGAACAGCAGCAGAAAATGTTTTAATAATTGCCTAAGGGTCTGAGTACAACATTAATAGTCCAGCTGAGACCAGAACTCAGGACTCTGTACTGAAATCCTTGTCTCTGTATCTCATACTTCCTATTTCCAAACTGGATGAGGGCTTGCCTTATGGTGGTGTATATTCGGCAGCAGATGCTTCAATAAACAAGAAAACCTGCCTTCAGGTTCACGTTTGGGGCATGAAGAAGAGGAAGGGAAATACTTCAACTTAGCAGATGAAAAGGAAAATGACAGAAGAGCTGAAGATTTCTGTGTGAGAAAAGATATTTATTTCTCCTCTGACTGCTAGAGAAGGGAAGAGCAGGGAGAATCATAACATGTGTGTGGGTGTAGATATGGATCCTATATTATGTTGTTACGTAAATCTGTTTGTAATCTTTGAGACTGTTTCAGGAATAAGATCCATGAGATAATGCTAGAAGCAAACAGTTTTATGATTTTTTTTAAACAACAAAAGACAGGAACTTAATTTTAACTTGGCTTGACCAAAATTCTAGGACAGGCAATTGACTAGAGAAGCACTGAAGCCTGAGCAAAAATTGTGGTGATTTCTAAGAGCCAACATGGATTCACCAACAATGAACACAATTCCTTTTTTAAAAATTGTATTATCACATCAAGAGATCAAGAAGACATAAATAAAGTCAATCTGAATTTTAGTAAAGCTTTGGGCAGAATTTTTTTTTTTGAAAATTTGTTCCCTCCAAAACTCATGTTGAAATTTAATTCCCAGTATGGCAGTATTGAGAAGTGGGGCCTTTAAGAGGTGATTGGGCCATGAGAGCTTTGCCCTCATGAATGGATTAATCTATTCATGGATTCATGGGTTCATGGATTAATGGATCATCATGGAAGTGGGGCTGGTGGCTTTATAAGAGGAGAAAAATAATCTGGAACTAGCATGCTCAGCCCCTTAACCATGTGATGCCCTGCACCACCTCAGAGCTCTGCAGAGAGTCCTCACCAGCGATCACCTGAGGTCAGGAGTTTGAGACCAGCCTGACCAACATGGTGTAACCCTGTCTCTACTAAATACAGAAAATTAGCTGGGCATGGTGGCACATACCTGTTATCCCAGCTACTTGGGAGGCTGAGGCAGGAGAATCGCTTGAACCCGAAAGGTGGAGATTGCAGTGAGCCAAGATTGCACCATTGCACTCCAGCCTGGACAACAAAAGCGAAAACTCCGTCTCAAAAACAAGAAAAAAAATAGAGAGAGAGTCCTCACCAGCAAGAAGGCTCTCAACAGATCCAACCCCTCAACCTTGGACTTCTTTGCCTTCATAACTGTAAGTAATATATTCCTTTTCATTATCAATTACCTAGTTTCAAGTATTCTGTTATAAACAACAGAAAACAAATGAAAATACTATCAAGGGAAAATTATCTGGGTCAACCTAGAGGAGGGTCTTTATTGGCAGGCCACTTGGTTCTACCATTGACTAGGTTATACTGAAAGTTTTATCAAGTCTCTGCATATGTGCTTATGAAACTTTCAGATAAAGAAAAACCCCAGGGGACTACTGATAGGCTGTTATACAGATTTATCGGATATCGTGCTTAAAAACTTGAAGTAAGACAGTTAATGAGAAAATAAAAAGAAGTATGTGTCTGGGGGGATTGTGGAAGGGGCAGGACTTCCCATGTCTTCCTTCATCTGTGTGGAGTAAGTTAAGGATAGGTGTTATGGAGACCTTAGATCCTCCACCTATCCTTAGGTAGTGCAATGTGTCTGGAAGCTGAACTCTCAGCAGGCACTTTCTGTTTAAGAGGAGGAGCACAACTTTGGGAAAAGAGAAGAGATATTTGGGGCGCAAGCAGCATTGCAATAAAGAATTACAGAGCAGAAAAGAATGTGAGAAGTCAGAAAGCAGGACAGTTAGAACTTCTGAGAAGCATTTTATACGCTACTCCACTTAAACTTACAGTAAGAATTTTCCATTCTTTCTCAATATTTCTGGAGTAGTATCTTTGCCACACAGAAAAGACTAGGCCATATGGGGGATATTGCAAGTAACAAAATTAAGTTTCACAATGATATAATAAAGGGAGAGGCCAGGCGCCGTGGCTCACACCTGTAATCCCAGCACTTTGGGAGGCCGAGGAAGGCGGATCACATGGTCAGGAGTTCAAGACCAGCCTGGCCAACATGGTGAAACCCCATCTCTATTAAAAATACAAAAATTAGCTGTGCTTGGTGGCATGCATCTGTAATCCCAGCTACTCGGGAGGCTGAGGCAGGAGAATCACTTGAACCTGGGAGATGGAGGTTGCAGTGAGCTGAGATCATGCCACTGCACTCCAGCCTGAGCAACAGAGCAAGACTCCCTCTCAAAAAAAAAAAAAGGGGGGGAGAACCTCCGGATTTCATCTTGCCTTTATGTTTTCTCATCTTATATTCTCGTCTTATATCATCTCCTTTATTTCCATGAGTTGAGCTACCAAGAAAAATATCAACAGCCACTGAATGTATGGCTCTATCTGAAACCTCTCTTCTGAGTTCCAGTTTGGAATTCAAATTGTCCATGTGGAATTCACAACCATCTCAAGCTCAATGTATACAATAAGGAAAACGATAACTCTTCACATCCTTGGAAAGGAATCCTGTAGAAAAAGTACTCCATTTTCTTAATTGAAGAATGAGAAGCTCAGTAATGAGATCCCTAAGTCTCTTTTCAACTTTAACCTTTTTTCTGAACAAATGGAATCATCTTGTTCTTCATTGTTCTAAAAAGGCCAGGGTGAAAGTAACCAAGAGGCAGATTTAGATGTCAGAAAAAATGTAGAACTTTTCCCATTACAGCGACCTCTGAAGGTAATGAGGCTCTCATCATGTGAGGTAGTTAATCCAGATCAGCTGTGGGGATGCCATGACATAGATTTCTCCCTGCAAGAAAAATTGTTCTGGACCTCTGAAATTTTTTTCAACTCTAAAAGTTATACACACACACACCCACACACACACACACACACACGTTTCATATGTACACATTTTAAATTAAATGTGTAATTTGAATATTTTGCACAGTCATAACTGCAAATTTTGCATACAAGCCCATCCCACTTGGATGACGAATTTTATAAATTACTATTTCTGTTGTTAATTTTTCCTCCTTTTCTTCAATTAAAAATTAAGTGTACTATATATTTCATCACATTAGACCTCTTAAACTAACTCATTTCTAAAGCTCTTTACAATTCTGCATAACAAAGTTGTCCCTTTTGTCAACTACATGCTGTCCAAGAGTTACTAATGGAGTTGATAATGCAGTTCTTGCTGCAGCCGACTTTGGCACTGTGAAAAGTAAGGACATCATGCTAACCGATCCAAGCCTGTCCCAAGTAACCTTGGTCACAGGGTCTCATTAATCACAATATATTTTCCATAGCAACAAAATCGCACATTCAATAAAAAGCAATTGCTCTTAGCAAGAGTGGAGCCCCAGGAGGTGGAGCAGGAGAGCATTATTTTTTACAGCAGCTAGAGGACGTAAGTTCTATTAGAAGAAAAGGCAGTAGGAAAGCGTAGTATAAAAAATGATGGCTTCCTTACAGCAGGTCCCAAAGGGTAACTGGGCATGTTAGGTGTGGGAGGGGTGCACTTTCTATTTCTTTCAAGGTAAGGGAAAACAGTCATGTTTAGAGCTCTGGTGATTGGTCCCATTTGTCACATGGCAGTGTCTCATCCTAACAGTGCAATGGAAAGAATCATTATAATAATAACAATGGATAACATTTAGTGAGGGCCTACTGTATGTCAGATACTGTACTAAGAACCATACAGGCTTTATCTCATCTAACTCCATAAGAACTCTTTCATGTAAGTCTTATTATCACCATTTTTCAGTTGAGTGAACCAAAGTTTTGTTTGTCCATTATCACAGATGGAAGAAATATTCATCTCCCCAACTCCAGGCCTCACATTTTCAGCCAGTTGGCTCTATTGTCTTCCAAGTCCTGTGCTCCAGTTTATCTCCAACAATGGAATGGTCATTGATCACTGGGGAAAAATCATCATTAAAAGTTGTTATATCTCTTTGCAATTCATCTGGAGGCTTTAAGCCTTCAAACCAAGACTTGAAAACTTGTGAAAGAGAATGAAAAATGTTCTCAATGGATCAGAAATTGTGGAGTTGTGAAATATGGCCTGTGGCCCAAGAAGCTTAGTCTTCTTTAGAATTTTCCACACATGCAACATGAATGGAAATCAGTTTTTGTGGTCCAAATCCCAAGTACTCTGAAGTAGTGAAGTTCCAGTTGAGCTAGTTAGGGAAATTGTTTATAGAATATCCTATACAATATCTGTATTGGAATATGATCTTCACATATGGATTGATAATTGTATTAATGCATTGATGGATGCACTTTAGATGATGGAAGGAAAAGAGTGTACTTCAGGTTGATCCTAAAGTTTGGACAGGACGTGGATAGGTGTGGAAATAGAAGTGAAGCTTGAAGTAGCTGATTCTCCTGCATCTCATACAGCACAGGGGTATGAATCTCAATTTGGCTGTTTACTAGCTGTATAATTTGGGGCAAGTCATTAATTCCTCTATGCATCACTTTCAGTATTCAAAAATGCATGATAATAGGCCAGGCGCGGTGGCTCACTCCTGTAATCCCAGTTACTTGGGAGGCTGAGGCAGGAGAATCGCTTGAGCCTGGGAGGGGGAGGTTGCAGAGAGCTGAGATAGTGCCACTGCACTCTAGCCTGGATGACAGAGTGAGACTCTGTCTCAAAAAAAAAAAAAAAAAAAAAAAAAACCCATAAAAGTGCATGATTATACTGTCTACTCTGTTGAAAGAATAAAGTGAAATAATGGTCTTTGCAGATCAACTCATGACTGGTTTCTCATCACTCAGGGCTCATATCAACTGTGAACTCCCCAGTGAAGTCCTTCCTGACCTCCACTTGGAGACTCTCAACTCTCGGCTGCACCATTCTCTGCTCTATTACCTTGATTTTTTTTTTTTTCAGATATTTGTCACTCTCTGTAACAATCATATGTTTATATTTGTTTAGGTGCTTATTGGCTTCACTCAATAAAATGCAATCTGTTGGAGGTTGGGGAGCTTATGCTTTTGTTCACATCTATATCCTTGGTGCTTAGAACAGAGACTGCCAGAGAGTAGATGCCTGAGAAATGCTTTTCAATGCATGCTTGAATGAATGAAAACGTGATAACCACTGGGATGTTTGTTAAAAAATACAAATGCCCTGGAACCCTAGAGACTTATTCAGAGGCTCATTCTGAGGACTCCAGGAAATGGGAATGTTACAAATTCTTCATTTGCAACTTGGTTTCAGAACTTTCACATTATAAAAATTGTCTTTGCCCTTAAGGAACTTTCAATTTTAAAGGGCAGACAATATCACTGCTTTGTGAAGGAATGACAAACATCTCTACCAATTTGATCACCATAGGACCAAACTTGGGCCGCTTTGGCCCTCTGGAACTACAGAGAAAAAAAATAGAAGGACAAAATGCTTTAAAAGAAAGAGGAGAGAGGAGAGGGGAGGAAAAAGGCAAAGATAGGGTGAGATGAAAAGCACACAATAAGACACCCCTCTGCAGAGGTCTGTTAGAACAATGATAAAGAAATAAGAAAAAAAAATGCAGAAGAAACAGATGTAGCTGCCAGAAGTTAAATACACATCTGTTAAGAATGCTCTTCTCATATGCAGGGTCAGAAAAATATGTACAAATGTAGCACCTCTCTGATTGACAGAAAAACCTCAGTTCTGGCACTGGGAATCTTGTTTTCTTGACAGCACTTTGTTTTAAAGCTGGAGGCAGAGAAATGTCTTATGCATGTCCTTAAACTGGAAGGCCTTTTGTTCAGGATACTTATACCATTTGCAGATAATGATGTGCATAGCAGTTTCAGCTGTCTGCATATGCATTTTTATGTTTTTTTATGACAGCTCTGCGTACTGAACTAAAAGGCCATTTAGAACTGTCAGGCACTGACAAGCATTACCCTTTACATTTACAATTCTGTTAGCGTGCATTGTCAGGTGGGCTCACCAGACTGCAGAAATGTGATTTTCTTTGAAACCTATGTATGACTTTAATTTAATACAGCAGCCTCAAAAAAAAAAAAAAAGAAAGAAAGAAAAGAAAAAAAAAGAGAGTGTGAGCTCAAGAGAGCTTTATTAAGTATTCTTTTTTCATTAATCTCCTACTTTTTTGTTTTTGTAAGACTCTTCCTTTATTCCTTAATCTTTCTTCCTTTTCTCTTTCTCTTCCCTCTCTATTATTTTCTCTTTTCTTCCTTCTTCTCTGTAGATTCCTTCATGTCAAGCAGAAGGCAAGTCAGACTAGGGAACTGACTATACCTGTCTGAGCCATGCCAGACTCTCTCTTACTTTCCATTTGGCCTGGGGTTAATTTTCATTCAAACCAATTTTTAAAAGATGTTTGGCGCAATGTAGTGGAATGACTATCTAGATAATGGGAACATGGAAAGAATTCATTTAATCCAGCTAATGACTTATCATTCCCCATTATCACTACCACCTGTCTTTGAGAGTCCGTTTTCCTCCCCCAAAACATTTTCTCAACAGTCTGGAAAACTGTTCCTATAAAAGACACTGGCAAGCACTGGAAGAGAATTGAAGGCAATGTGAAGAGGTGGTTTTGCACTGCAGGATTATACCATCCACCCGGGGTAGCCGGCCACGTGCATGAAACAGAGAAGTTTCAGCTCAAGCTAGGCTGAAATGAAATGCTGACATGTATATGCTGACCTGAGACAGATTTGCCAAAGAGGGACGAAGCTTCAGTGAGCCCCTCTCACTTGCCTGTCTCCTGTGCATTCTGGAGGTGTTTGGGAGAAGAAGCCAAGTCACAAACAGAATGCACTTTTTAATCAACATTGCTATTAAACTGCTTCAAGAGATCACAGTGAGGGGAAGGGGCCTGAAACTTTCAGTCTCCCTCTTTTACCTTAACTTTGCATTCATAATTTTGTATCCTTTGTCTTATAAAGGATTCCCCAAATTGTATAAGCCTCAGGTCCCATCACCCTGGACTTGTCTCTGCTTCTGACAGCAGCTTCTGCAAGTGATTTAGTGAGCAATGTGTTTGGGGCAGTCAAAGTGAGTTTTCTTTAAAAAGCTCATCTTCACCTGGCCCTCCATAAAGAGCAGGATTTGGCTCGGTGGAAAGGAGGGCCACGTCGTATCAGCAAACAGAGTTTCAGGAAAATACTGATTAAAGGATAAAATTCTAAAAGCCAGGGTTTTAGGCAATTGACAAGTATTTTTTTTAACTTTTTAAAGTTGAGAGATACATAAAGTGCAACGTGCACTAATCTTAAGTGTGTGGCTTGGCAAAATTCACTGTCCATAAAACCATGGAGCCACATCCAGATCAACATCTACAACAGTTCCAGCTCCTCAGAAAGTTCCTGACTTCTGAGTATAAAATGTATAATCCCCGCACCAAATTTTTCAGAAAGGCCAAAAAGACAGGATAGATCATACTGAGAATGCTGAATTTGGTATCGGGAGAACATATTTTGTGTTGTCCCATGAATGGAATGGCTGTTCAGAAAAAGAATCCAACCCAGAGGGGTGGAGAGGTACCGCCCTCCTTCCTTCACCCTAAGAATAAGAAACACTCTAGCACACAATTAATGCCCTGATGGCAATGCCCAGCTTTATGTGTGGACAGCAAAAAGTGGTACCTGTTATATGGACGTTGACTTGCAATTTTGCTTGTGCCTGCAGTTATACAATTAGAATTGTATAACTTTGGGTTAAACCTTGCCCTTTGCATTAAGTTATTTGAAAAATCATATTTGCCACCTTCAGTGTGACTGGTGTCATATCAAATTCTAAGAACTTTCTTCAAATTTGCTAATCGATAGCTTTTTTTTGTTTTTTTTTTCTGACAAAGCAGTGGGATGAGGCTCCCAGGCTCCTGATAGCAGGTAGAGGAGAGAACGAGACCGCAAAGAGGGAAGCCGAGAGGAGTGATGAAGACCCTGGCCCTACCATCTACTCAGGCTGTCTTTGCAGCCACACTGTGAGCCCAGGCTGGTTAACGCTTCCTCCTGGAGGAGAAAAGCTAAGAGAGAAAACAAAATCCATGCAGCGCGCTCCCCCTCGGCCCCTCCTCTCTGTCTCCTCTGTGCGCTAACCTCCAATGCCCTGCGGGAACCAATTACAGTATTCTAATGAGTGTAGTTTCCAATAACTGCATTTGACGGGCCTGTTACCTCCTCATCTCAGCTCACCTTTCCCAGCCATGAAGCAGGTGGCCCAGTGCTTGCTCACTGGCCTGGCATCTCCCGGTGGAGTCACCAGGGATGCAGGGCCATAGGGATGTGTGTGTGAATACTGGTGTTCACAGAATGCAAAGGACTGTGGGCCAAGCCAGCAAGGAAATAAGCCAGGCAGGTTGGTGGCTTTGGACAAACATGGTTCACTTGTTTGAAATAGTCTGTAGGGACCAAAATGAAGAGTCATGTTTTTTAGAAAGCCCCTGTGTCCCGGATATGCTTGTAGAAAAGGGGTAAACAGTGGTTAAAAGCATGAACATTGGAGTGAGGAAGACTTACCTGAGACTTATTCCCCATCACTTACTAGCTGCGTGACCTCCAGCAGTGCCTTCATGTCTGAATGAGCCCGGGTTTTATCATCCATAAAATGGGAACGATAATAGCCCCTACTTTGTACAGTTGTTTTAAATATTTAAAAAATAGTGGATGCAAAGCCCTTGGCACTTTTTTCATTGGCTTGCTGAATAATATGGAGCTATTGTTATTCTAACACAGATTGGGCTAATACAGATGGAAATAAATACACATTTTTATCACTTACTGGCAAAGCCCTGCCCCTTTTCCCTGGTTCTGCTCTTGTCTCTACCCCTACTGTCTCAGACTCCACTCAGCACTATGGTATCACCTCTGTTCTTTGCAGCCATTATAACACAGGTGACTTGGATGTACAGGCACCAAGATATATTAACTGAGGAGGTAAGTTTTTATCTATGATATGCATGTATATCTATATATGTAGGTATAGAAATGCATGAAAAGGCACTGACCAAGTTAGTGGCACTCCAAGTTATCTTGGAGTGAGAAGCGGGAATAATGGGAGTAGCGTAGAAAGGAAGATAATTTCACATTTTACTCTAGCTACTCCTTGATTGTCTTTTTTTTCCTTTTTTTTATTTTTTATTTTGGAGACAGAATCTTGCTCTGTCACCCAGGCTGGAGCACAGTGGTGCAATCATAGCTCAAGAGGAGTCTTGAACTCCTCAGCTCAAGAGATCCTCCCGCCTCAGTCTCCCTAGTCGCTAGGACCACAAGTGCGCACCATCATGTCTGGCTAATTTTCTTTTCGTTTAATATTTTGTAGAGATGGTGTCTTGCTATGCTACCAGGCTGGTCTCATATTCCTGGGCTCAAGCAATCCTCCTGCCTTAGCCTCCCAAAGTGCAGGGATTACATGCATGGGCCTCGCAGATTGTCTTTTAAAATAAGAGTGTATTCAGGGATTACTTGTGCAATTAAAAAAAAAAGTAACAAAGATGTGTTTAAATGGTCCAAGGTTAGAGGTTGTGGTTTTGTTGCTGTTGGGGCCCTGGAGGTTCCCCATACCCTGCGGGGTCACCCCACTGAGGCACTCCACACCTACCTCTTCCAAAGCACAGCAGGTACCCTCTGCCGCTCTGTCATTTATTCCAGGTCTTTCTTTCTTGTCCATTCTCAAGAGTCTGTGTCACTCAAGCCTCTGACCTTCTACCCACTGACAGTAAGGGTTTGGGCATTTTATAATCCTTTAAAGTGTTTTTTAAAAACCAGAGAGGAAGAGAAAAATTGTCTCCAGATTGTTTGTAAGAAAATTCAGATTTACAAATGGATAATGTGGAAAGTGACTATTATCTTTATATGAATGTTTGAGAATTCATCAAAGCAGTTCTTTAACTATTTGGCTCCCTTATGCACATAGAAGAGTTTGCTTACTGCCCATTAGCCCTGGCAAGAAGTCAGGGAGGCAGTCAGTTCCCACAATTAAAGATCAATACCCAATGCAGATCAACATTCTCCAGTGATAAGCCAAGTCATGAGAACTAGAAATGGGTCTGGAGAAATCTGATGGAGCCCCCTTTGCATAGTGCTTTTTGCAGTTTGCAATGATACATTCGAAATCACTCAAGAAATCAGCATCTTTCATAAGGAGTTTGTGTCCTGTCTGGTCTTCTAAGTATGTGAAAAAGACCACAAGCCCCTTTAGGTGTTTGTTGTCTGGAGGAGAGGGAAGACTAGATGCACAGAGCCATGGTGCCCTCCACAGAGCCATGGTGCCTGACCCTGGTGTATGCCCAGGGTGCAAAGCTAAACCCCAAAAGAGGGAGAAATTAGAAAAGTGGAGAGAGGGCTGGGCTGTCTCTGAGCCTGCTGAGGGTAAATCGAAGCTTGCTTCCCTTCCTCCATTGTCTGACTCTTTCCTCCCCACCCTCCAGTATCTCTCCTCTCCACCTTCCTGACCCAGAAGCTTTGCACAGGCTGTTCCCTAAGCCTTAAACACTCTTCTCCAGTTGATTGCCTCACTGACTCCAGCTCACCATCTGGGTTTCAATGCCCTGTTCAGGGATGCCATCCTTGACCTACCCAAGTTCCTTCCCATTATAAGTTGCTCCTTTGTTATTTTCTCTCATAAACCAGGTTGTTTTTTCTCATAGCACATAGAAATCACATTTATAATCATATATTACTTTGTCCATTGAATTTATTTAATCTCTGTTTTTCATGAGATTGTAAACTCTTTGAAGGTAGGACTCTCATGTAAATCCCCTGTTCAGTGCTAGGCACAGAGTCTGGAGTATAGTAGATGCTCAATAAGTATTTGTTCAATGAAAGGATAAATTAATTAAATTAGTGGATTAATCAATGACTCTAGCTATTCCACAACAAATACTTATAAATCTTCATTTACTTTGCTCCTTTTCTCTGAAAGCTCTTCTTCCTTCTCTTTATTTATCTAAATTCTCATCAGCTTCAAAACCCAATAACAAAGATGGTGATAGTGTTGATGATATTAACCCCCTCTGGACCCCATACTGAGAATTCCATATAAATGGAATTTTATTCGATCTTCATTACTTTATTGTTATTACCAAATATCATATGGCAGCCACTCAAAGACCCTGCAGCAATGCAAGGATTCTGCAACCTGCATCTTGGAGCCCAGAGGTGCTGGGGAATTGAAAGGTGAGGACAGCGCCCCAGCTCTTTGTGATTTGCACTTGGCATCTCTCTAGGGTGTCTGTGTTTTAAGCTGAAGGGCTGTGGCTGCTGCTGCGGCTTCCTTGCTTTTGTAATTCTCTCCAGCACTCTGGGACTGCTGGATTCTGCTGAGGAGGGAAGAGCAGAGAGAGATTTGTTATTGCTTTTCTGATGCTTTCAGTTACCTGATCCTTGGGGGGTTATAGGTAGAGAACAAGAAGCCAGAGATATGCAGTAGACCTAGACTGTTAAAATAGAAGGTGGCTGATGAAGAAAGTGGTATGATTTGTGAAGCAATAAAAATTGTTATTTCCACTCTCACTCATGCACTCCATCCCCATCTTCCCCTAAAGCTCCCAAAGTACAGAGGTGAAAGTCAACAGTGTTCTCAGAGGCCGGGCTGCTGTGTTCAAGCAAGCTAGCCTGTGGTGCTCAGCATCTACACTGACAGCCTCAGTTTCCTCATCTCTAAAATGGACATAAGAATTGTTCATACCCAACAGAGTTTCATGAGGAGTCAATGAGAAAACGTGTGTGAAACCTTCACATACTGCTAGTATCACATCACATTTTCAGCAAGTGCTAGTTACAATTTTTATTGTTTATTCACTAAATGTCTAAAGTTAAGCACCAGTCTGAATCCAAGCCCAGATTTTTCTGATTCCTAACTGTGTTCTTCTAGAATCACCCCTGATTCTAGAACGCGACTGTTTGCCTGGGCTGTGAGCAGAGAGGGGGAAGAGAAAAGATTAATTAAGAAAGAGTCGTAAAAAAAAATTCACTGAATATCGAATGGATGTAATATTAACATACGTAATTACTTCTCAACTTCAGAAGCTATAATATCAAAGATAAAAATCATGTCAGCTTCAATCTTTTTCTCATTGTAGATTCAGACCATTACATTAATGACTAACTTTCTGAGCTGTGTAATTTTCTCTTGGAAAGATACCTTTTTTTGAGCTTAAGCACAGAAGCCCTTTCCCAGGCACACCCTGGACTTGAGAGTGGCAGAGAAACCTCCCTGTGGAGGCCTCTCCCCTCCCCTCCTACTGCTGCGGCTGTCAGTGGGTCCTCTCCCATCGGGAGGAAACAAAAGGCAATTAAGCACACAGACAGCCAAGCCTTGCCTTTGGCCCGGCTATGGAGTTGGCTCCCAGGACTTCAACAGGAGGTGGGAGCTATGTGTGAGCAAGCTACTCACTGTCCCTAATTCAGAGACTGTTGCAGTAGGTACCAGAAACCACAAGCCTTCCGGGCTGGGCTTGTTCTTAGAGAAGAGGTCCCCCTGTAACTTGAAACTAGGCTCTTGTTCATTTTAAACAGGTGCCCTCACTCCCACCTCTTGTCTTGGCTCTCTGGTCTGGACCCTCCAACTGTATGAGACAGGACAGATTCTGTCTGTGGGAACTACAGTGTGGAATCCTCTCCCCAGAACTAAGTCAGTGCCTCCTCCTCAGAGGTAAGAAATGAAAAGCATCCTATGGGTTTTTCCCACATAGGGTGCAAGCGTAGCATCCTTTTCGGTTCTCTTTTTTCAGCACCTCAAGATAGAACCAGGGCGAGGAGGAAGACCCCATTCTTCAGATAAAGAAATCGCCCAATGTCAACATTGTTCCTAAATAGAACAAGAAGTTCAGTGGTCTAACTCCTTTTGCAGCCCCCTGAAACAGCGAGCCAAAGGGGAGGGAAAAAAGATTGTTTTATTTATATTTTATTTTATTTTATTTTATTTTATTTTATTTTATTTTATTTTAGTGCCCATCTCTACTCAAGGCCTTCCCTCTAGTTCCTCCCCCTTTCATTAGGTGGTCAGTCCTGTCCTTGGCTGCTCAGAGCACCTCCTCCCCAAAGGAGCATCTTTCTTTTTTCTAGGCTTCTCTCCTCTTGCTATTCCTATGTCAGGTACAAACTTCTTCCTGCCCTCTTTCCTTCTGTTAGCTCTGACTCAGGAAACTAATTATGGAAACATAATTTTCCATTGGTTCACCTATTGCCTTATCACACAGAAATGCCAGTGAGTTTAAGATGGGCTAGCTGGGCATGGTGGCTCACGCCTGTAATCCCAGC
Source organism: Homo sapiens (assembly GCF_000001405.40). Taxonomy (NCBI): domain Eukaryota; kingdom Metazoa; phylum Chordata; class Mammalia; order Primates; family Hominidae; genus Homo; species Homo sapiens. Next base: position 158,539,558 of record NC_000005.10, read on the forward strand.
ACTTTGGGAGGCTGAGGCGGGTGGATCACAAGGTCAGGAGTTCAAGATCAGCTTGACCAACATGGTGAAACCTCGTCTCTACTAAACATACAAAAATTAGGCGGATGTGGTGGCGCGTGCCTGTAATCCCAGCTACTCGGGTGGCTGAGGCAGGAGAATCCCTTGAACCCAGGAGGCAGAGGTTGCAGTGAGCCGAGATCGCGCTACTGCACTCCAGCCTGGGCCACAGAGCAAGACTCCATCTCAAAAAGAAATTTAAAAAAAAAAAAAAAAGATAGGCTGACTTATAATTGGGGCTACATAAAATACAGTCCTCCCCACAATTAGAAATATTCATGGAAGAAATATTCATGGAAAGCAGCTGAAACTGAATTTTCCAGAACAGTTTGTGTGATTTTTACCTGGGATGGTGTACCCTGAATCCTGAGGTGTTCTGCCCAGAGAAAAGAAACGGTGCTTCCCCAGCTCCTTCAAATCAAGTCTATCCCTGACTTGGAGCAAGTGTAAAAATGGAGACTCATGTGCTGTATGTCCAAATATTTAAGTAATAACTCCAGCTAGCTACTAAATAAAATTCTCTTGTTATTACCTTCATAACATCCTATAAGGTTACCTTCTAAGTTAGAATTCTTGGACTCCCTGCAATTTGCAGCAGATCATGAAAAAGCAAAGAAAGTTGACTCACAGCCCCTGGTCCCCAGCCCCCATTCCCTTCTCTTCACTCACCCAATTTGTTCCACATTGTGAGGGGCTTCATGTACACCACATATAACCTAGTTTAAGTCCATTGCCCCAACAACTGCCCTGGCTCAGGCCTTGTGATGCAGATGCTTGTGCATATGTTCCCCTCAAGAGAACACACTAAGGAAACAGGCCTATTCAGGCTCTGAAGGTGGGCTCAGTCATTTGGGAAGAAAATTCTAGCGTCCCTGGTATCCACAGTGTGGCCTGGATGGCAATGTGGCATAGGCTGTAGATGGGCACACTTTCATGGCTCTGTGGAGAAGGTCCAGGAGGGCACCCTCTACAGCTCAGGGCCCAGAGCAGGATTCTTCTCACCTAGGTCTAATGATAGTATGAACTTAAAGGGTAGATATGCCGTGTTATATGCATGCATTTGCAATCCAGCTGCATCTCGTATGTGCAACTCTACATAGGATGCTCTAAGTTGTTTAACTGCAGAGACTTTTTGATGTGACAATGATTAGTGAGTATACTGGGCAAACAGGAGGTGGATAGGCCAATGAGCTCACGCTAAGATAGGTTGCAGCACTCCCAGATAGCACTGACCAACACATAGTTGGCACTTAATAAATGCATTAGGTGTAAATAAATGAATGACCAATAGGAATTTTATAAAGGGTTTCATATATGAACGGAGAGATCTCTGATGGATATTTCAGGCACTAATAGCAGACAAAAGAAATGTTGATTGATTTGCAAACTTCAAGAAGCAACTCCTTGTTAGAGGGGATCCGTCTATATTAGATGATAACACAAGCTATTTCCGCTCGTAAAGCATTTACAACTGCACTGAGGGCCCAGAGAATACATGCATGATTCTACCAAGTAAGATTTTTTGTTGTTGTTGTTCGAGACAGAGTTTCACTCTGTCGCCCAGGCTACAGTGCAGTGGCGCCATCTCTGCTCATTGCAAGCTCCGCCTCCCGGGTTCACGCCATTCTCCTGCCTCAGCCTCCAGAGTAGCTGGGACTATAGGCGCCCGCCACCGCGCCTGGCTAATTTTTTGTATTCTTAGTAGAGACGGGGTTTCACCGTGTTAGCCATGATGGTCTCGATCTCCTGACCTCGTGATCCACCCGCCTCGGCCTCCCAAAGTGCTGGGATTACAGGCGTGAGCCACCGCACCCGGCCCCAAATAAGATATTTTTAAAGCAGGGTTTCTTGACCTATGGTCACCATTGACACTTTGTTATGAGAAACTGTCCTCCGTGTTGCGAGATGTTTAGCAGCATCTTTGGCTTCTACTCACTGGATGCCAGTAACATTGCCCTCCTATTATAACAACTAAAAATGTTCCTGGATATTGCCAAATGTTACTGGGGGGCAAAATCACCACTGTTCTTTAAAGAACTGATTCTAGATAGCTTGGCATCATCGTCACCCAGCCAGAGTAAATACCAAGCTGGAATCACAGCAGGCTTTGGTTGCACCCAGGTTTATTGTCAATGGAAAATGAGAGTCAGGGGAAGCCAAACTAATGTTGTGGTTTTCTTTGTTTCATCGGTCTCCAAGATAGTATCACAAATGGTTATTTTAAGCTAAAAAAATTAAAATGAAGAGTAATGATGTTTAAATCTCTTACAGCCATAGCGCTACTAATTTCGGTTTTTTGGTTTTTTTAGTGCTAGGGAATGAGCCAGCACTCATTGAACGTGCTAAAAGTTCAAATGTAGGATGAGATAAACAGAATGAGAAAGCATCTGCCAAAAGCATCTCTATTCGAGTCTCAATTCTCAATGATGCAAGCTGTTTTGGCAGATTCAGGAAGGGTTATGTGGTGCAGAGGCAGCCCCCCATTTCCACGGATGTTCGCTAGGTCTTTTTCCTTCTGCTGGCCCTTCATCTCTGCTTCTTCCTACATCAAAACAGGAAGTTGTGACTTGGTGACTTATTATATGCACTTGTGTGCCTGTCATGACTTGTTGGAAATTCATGAAGCCGTAGATGTTGTTTTGGGTTATAGAAATCCCTAGGATGCAATTAGCCATATTTACTTGTATCCCAAGAACAAAATTATTTATGCATGAGAACACACCATTTTGCCTCTTCTCCACTTTTTCTGAGCAGGAAAAAAACATTTCTTGCTAAGTTAGCTTCCAGAATCTTTTTTGTTGTTGAGAATCTAGTTAGTAAAATTAAAGGAGGAGTTAATTTAAACTATATAATAGAAAGCCAGAGTGGGTAGGAGTTAGAAAAGCTATATTGACTGTGTATCAATGAAAATGCTTAGAAGAAGAAGAGAAGGGAGAGCTATATGGAGGAATCGCTGCAATACACATGGAACGTACTACTGATGGTCAGAGATATTTTTAATTTTTTAGTTTAAAAATATTCTTAGATGTTTTGCCACACATTAAGACAAGTCTGATTAAATAATAGAAGTGCTTAAAATTATAATTTAAGGCCGGACTCAGTGGCTCATGTCTGTAATCTTAGAACTTTGGGAGGCCGAGGCAGGAGGATCACTTGAGTTCAGGAGTTTGAGACCAGCCTGGCCAACATGGTGAAATCCCATCTCTACTAAAAATACACAAATTAGTCAGGCTTGGCGGCAGTTGCCCATAATCCCAGCTACTCAGGAGGCTGAGGCATGAGAATCGCTTGAACCAGGGAGGTAGAGGTTGCAGTGAGCTGAGATCATGTCACTGCACTCCAGCCTGGGTGACAGAGTGAGACTTGGTCTCAAAATAAATAAATAAATAAATAAATACATGAATAAATAAATAAAAATTACAATTTAACTACAGAATATAAGGGTTTTTTTAAAAAAAATAAATAATGCAATGCAGAGACTGAGTCCTGCGGTCTTGGGCTAATGCATGGACATCATTTGGAAGTGACTGTACCAACTTCCCTGTCATGTAAACCTTCACAGCTACTGTGAGTCCAGTATTTTACATGTAGTCTGTCTCTTAATTTGGTGCTTTGGACAAGAGGGCTGGGAAAAGATTTCTCAATCAATATGACATCTACCATATTATTCATCAATTACAAATTCATTAAATAGCTATCATGTAACAGTACAGTGTGAGATCTTGGTGACACAAAGAAGAGGGAGACAGCCCCTGTCTTCAAAAAGCTTTCAGTCTTGTCTGTGAGTAATTTATTTAAAATACGTATGGCAACACACATACAAGCTAAATGTGTGTTGTCAATAGAACCAGGTATTTTAATAGTATTAAAACCTATTCCAAAATTGTACATAGCCTTTCATAGAATCATTAAGATTTGTAGAATTTTCCAGCCGAATTAGATGAATGTATACAATGTGAATAACTTCATTAGGAACTATTTCAAACCTCACAATTTCTGGATATATCTAGAGTAACAGGATTCAGAAAGATGTTTATTACATATTTATTACACTCTGTACTTTCCTTGCTGAATCTGATACCACTCCAGAAATGAACAACAGACCTTTCTAACATGGTGACTCAGAGTCAGAATCCACATAATTTCAGAAGCAGGGCAAGCAGATGAGAAAGCTCCTCACTCTGAAGCATGCCTTCCATTGTTTTTCAGGCGGATGCCACATCAAACTCAAACTCTTCAACTGATCCCTAAACTAACTGTGGGAAGAAATTTTCTGTCTTTTTCTCTCTGGATCTGAGGATATGTTATATTCTATTAGCAGCCTCTCTGATTTTTCATCTAAAGTCCTTCCCTTGCCTTGGATATTGGCTAACATTTTCCACTGGTCAGAAACTTTGTTTATACAGCTGATCAAGTTAATGGTTCATCTCCTCTGCTCCGCAGGCACTCCAATTCTACCGTCATCATAACTAGGACTGGTTATTTTGTTTGGCAGAGTTATTTCAGTAATATAAGATAACCAAATTAGATTGGTGATCGATTAGTTTGTTCAGTACTCATCCCAGTAAATAAAACCAAACAGGCTCCAAATGGCTGAAATGCTATTGCAGCAGAGATGCAGTGTGAATCAAAACTTAGAGACCTCAGGGAATGTCATAAAATCCTACTCTGCAACCAGATGATTGTCCCATAATAAATACTGTCTGCCAAAGACTCACACATTTCCTCCTTTTTCGGTGGTATGGGCTAGCATTCTATGCTACATAGATTAGAAATACCACCATTTATAAAAGCTGCTTTTGAAAACCACTGGATTCAAAGAGGAGTTCAAAGGCCTAAATGGTGCTGCCTCAAATTGATTAATAGCTGCTCATTTTTCTATTCCCATTTCTTTGTAAATGCTGACACAGGAAAAATTTGGAGGGTCATCACAATCTCTGCATTAAGGAATACAGCAGATTGAGTATCTGCTGAATCATAAATAACTGAATTTTGTTTTTAAATATCTTCCTCTCATTTGAAGGAAAAAGAATTTTTTAAAAAAGGAAAACTTCTAAGATGCAATGGAGAATGTATCAATAAACTTTGAAATGTATTTTTTTAGTGAAAAATAATTCTAAGTTTCAGAGAGAGCCTTGCCACTGACTTCCTGTGTGCACTTAAAATATGTTGCTTCGCACTTTCAGTTCCAGTAGAATAAAAGTAATAATTATGGTCCTATCTACATTGCCAAGTTACCATGAGGACCAAATAGAACACTGTATGTGGTAGCACTTTGCAAAGTCTAAGAAGACATTATAAAGCATGAGACTGCTAGCAAAGCTTCTTAAATTGTAGGATGCATTGCTGGTGAGATGACAGACACCTGTCAGTGTCCAGGGGTTTGCTTTTGGAAATGAACATTAAATGGTATTAAACTATGTAGTAAGAAAGTTATTCCTTTTTCAGTTCTCAATCACCCTTTCTGATTTCTTCAAAGAGCAAGTCTTCCTGTGGTGCTAACATGTCCTCACCACCTCAACACTTGCTAAACTTCCTTACCGTAAAGAGAGAACAGACCTCAACCTCAGGCATGGCGCCTTGAACAAGAACATGTATTTAACTAGATTTTAATATCACAGTTTAGTTTTCCCTCCTCATATTTTCATGATTTTTGTTTTTAGGTGTTTTTTTTTTTTTTTTTTTTTTTTTTTTTGACAGGGTCTCTCTTTGTTGCCCAGGCTGGAGTGCAGTGACACAATCATGGCTCACGGCAGCCTCGACCTCCCAGGAGCTCAAGCAATCCTCCCACTTCAGCCCCCTTTGAGTAGCTGGGACTTACAGGAACACACCACCACACTTGGCTAACTTCTTAATTTTTGTAGACACAGGATCTTACTATGTTGCCTAGGCTGGTCTTGAACTCCTGGCTCAAGCATTCCTCCCACCTCAGCCTTCCAAAGCTCTGGGGTTACAGGCATGAACCACCGTGCCCAGCCTGCTCATGTGTTTTTGTGGTAAACTCCTTAATGACCAATGGTAATGCCTTCCCATTAACAGCAGTTATATAAAGTTTCATTTCTATGCAAATTTATCTATGTAAAAAAAGAGCCATTTTAAAGAAAATGTTAAATAAATAATAGTCAAGTGATATGTGAATTTGGCAAAATTTGTGAATGTGATATGAATATGTTTGAAGCTTGGGAGCACATGTGGAATGCTTAGGCAAGACCTAATATGTTTGTTTCCAAGATAGTTAATCCTTTTTCTATGTTGCTTCGTTTCATCCCTCACCATCCTTAAACAATTCTTACAAAGAAACATTGGAAATAAAGGAAGGAAATTGGAACTTTCAGCAGCCATTTTAACTTTCACTGATAAACCCATTCGCTGGGAGAATGTAGGCACTGGAATCCCACTTAAATCTTCTAAACTTTTCAAACATTAAAAATTGACAGCATTGACTGAGCTAAAGAGATAATCTCCTCCCCAAGAGTCCAGTTTGTGTCATTAACCTTGGAAAGGGACACACACATGCAATATATCAACCTTGGGCAGAATGGACTTCAACATGTGGATGAAATTCATCTTGTTCTGTTCTCTAGGGACCACGTGAATTTGTGAACAATTACAATTTTGAAGAAATTGTGGGCAAGCTAATCCCCTGTGATCACAGCATTTTCTCACCCATGTTTCTCTTCTCCCTGTCTCTCTCTCTCTCTTCCTCTTTCTCTCTCTCTCTCTCTCTCTCAGTGGGGAATGGAGTAGAAAAATATTTTCAAAGAATTGGGTTGGAATGAGAAGCATGGAAAATTTGTTGGTAGGTTTTTAAAATACTGTTTCTGAAAATTTATGGATGAGCTCAATTTAGAAAAAGTGAGGAAATTACATGATGACATTCAGGCAGCTTGTGAGCCTATTTTTTTCCATATAATGTTGTGCTGAATAAAATCACAAAGTAATGATTTCCACTTGTTAATAAATAATTCTTGCTTGAAGTGAGGAAGTCTTTAAGAAGGAGAAGAAATAATCATAATCATAATAAAAGCCAGTAGGATCATCTTCATTCCTTTTAAATATGTTCAACTCCAACCTTGGAAAAGTTAACTAAACCTCATCTCAACATCAAATGCTGCCTCTCCTATGGGTTTCTTTTTTTTAATTGGTGTATCTTTTTTCCTACAGTCTTCGAGCCTGTGTTTATATAATTATTGTCGCAAATGTAGGTATTTGACACTTTAATAACATATTACTGCACTTTAAGGAAAACACGCCCTTCTGCACGATTCTTCTTGCCTGGGTGTAGGGCTCTTCTTTGGAGCAGATGTTCGTTGCTGTTACGAAAGGGCCTTAGAATGCTGGATTCAGATGAAGCTGGGAGGCGAGCGCCAATTATGTCATATGGTGTCAGTGCCCAGTTACAACCCTCACACAACCATCTTTTTTATTATTTTTAATGTTTTGGCTTTAATTATTCCCATGTATACTTCAGGGCACTCTTTATGGAAAGCCGGGATTTGAGTTACTATTATGTTCTTCACCTAAACAGGACAAGGAATGTTTTCATGGTCTGATTTTTAAAAGAGTGTTGGGAATGTCTTGCAACAAACAAAAACCCAAACCTGCCCTATAGCCTGGTCACTGAGGGCTGATATTGTATTTTTTATGTCTAGTATGCCAGGTTTCAAATAAATTTGTGTCAAATGAACTAATTGAGTAAATAAACCAACAACACTTTTCTATTTTTTTAGTCAGCTTAATGATACACCTTCCCTATTTCTTCCATTCTTGAAGACTGGAACTATTCATATTCACATGACATGGAAAAATGAAATATGCCTGGTTCACTCAAAGCAGGGTTGTTTAATCTTTAGCTCCTAGCCCCATGTTCTTCACACAACATTCTTTCTTTATTTTTATTATACTTTAAGTTCTGGGATATATGTGCACAACATGCCGGTTTGTTATACAGGTATACACGTGCCATGGTGGTTCGCTGCACCCATCAACCCATCATCTACATTAGGTATTCCTCCCAATGCTATCCCTCCCCTAGCCCCCCTACTCCCCGACAGGCTCTGATGTTTGATGCTCCCCTCCCTGTGTCCATGTGTTCTTATTGTTCAGCTCCCACTTATGAGTGAGAACATGCGATGTTTGGTTTTCTGTTCCTGTGTTAGTCTGCTGAGAATGATGGTTTCCAGCTTCATCCATGTCCCTGCAAAGGATATGAACTCATCTTTTTTATGGCTGCATAGTATTCCATGGTATATATGTGCCACGTTTCCTTTATCTGGTCTATCATTGATGGGCATTTGGGTCAGTTCCAAGTCTTTGCTATTGTGAACAGTACTGCAATAAACATACATGTGCATGTGTCTTTATAGCAGAATGATTTATAATCCTTTGGGTATATACCCAGTAATGGGATTGCCAGGTCAAATGGTATTCCTGGTTCTAGATCCTTGAGGAATCACCACACTGTCTTCCACAATGAACTAATTTACACTCCCACCAACAGTGTAAAAGTGTTCCTATTTCTCCACATTCTCTCCAGCACCTGTTTTTTCCTGACTTTTTAATGATCGCCATTCTAACTGGCATGAGATCATATCTCACTGTGGTTTTGATTTGCATTTTTCTAATGACCAGTGATGATGAGCTTTTTTTCATATGTTTGTTGGCTGCATAAATGTCTTCTTTTATATGACAGAAGTGTCTGTTCATATCTTTTGCCCACTTTTTGATGGGGTTGTCGGTTTTTTCTTATAAATTTGTTTGAGTTCTTTGTAAATTCTGGATATTAGCCCTTTGTCAGATGGATAGATTGCAAAATTTTTTTCCCATTCTGTAGGTTGCCTGTGCACTCTGGTGATGGTTTCTTTTGCTGTGCAGAAGCTCTTTAGTTTAATTAGATCCCATTTGTCAATTGTGGCTTTTGTTGCCATTGCTTTTGGTGTTTTAGTCATGAAGTCTTTGCCCATGCTTATGTCCTGAATGGTATTGCTAGGTTTTCTTCTAGGGTTTTTATGGTTTCAGGTCTTACATTTACTTCTTTAATCCATCTTGAGTTAATTTTTGCATAAGTGTAAGGAAGGGGTCCAGTTTCTGTTTTCTGCCTATGGCTAGCCAGTTTTCCCAACACCATTTATTAAATAGGGAATCCTTTCCCCATTGCTTATTTTTGTCAGGTTTATCAAAGATCAGATGGTTATAGATGTATGTCGTTATTTCTGAGGCCTCTGTTCTGTTCCATTGGTCTATATATCTGTTTTGGTACCACTACCTTGCTGTTTTGGGTACTGTAGCCTTGAAGTATAGTTTGAATTCAGGTAGCATGATTCCTCCAGCTTTGTTCTTTTTGCTTAGGATTGTCTTGGCTATACAGACTCTTTTTTGGTTCCACAATATTGATTCTTCCTATCCATGAGCATGGAATGTTTTTCAATTTGTTTGCAACCTCTCTTATTTCCTTGAGCAGTGGTTTGTAGTTCTCCTTGAAGAGGTCCTTCACATCCCTTGTAAGTTGTATTCCTAGGTATTTTATTCTCTTTGTAGCAATTGTGAATGGGACTTCACTTATGATTTGGCTCTCTATTTGTCTATTATTGGTATATAGGAGTGCTTGTGATTTTTGCACATTGATTTTGTATCCTGAGCGAATTGAATCTTTCCCATAATTAATAGCACTAATTGAGTCCTACCCACAATCCAAGAGTATATGGCTCTCCCCATTTAAAGATGAGGAAGCTGAGGCTCAGAGCAGTTAAGTAGTCCAGGGTCACACAGTTGATAAGTTGCAAAGCAAGGATTTAGCTCCAAAGACTTTGTTCTATAAAATGCTGGATGAGGGACTTGTTGCAGAGGCATGGGTTTCATGAGTCAGTGATGTCATTCGACCCCTGACCTAGAGTTGTTCAATATGAAAACCAATGCTTCAAGGGAGTTGTACTAGACAACCTCATCCAGAAGGAATTTTTGCTCTTTTCAGTCTAGGTACATTCCCCTAGTCCATCTGATTTGGCTTTCTGCTGAAACCTGGGCAACTGTTTGGTATATAACAATCGGTACTTTTCCACTAAGAGTCGGCCCTACGTCCTAACAGGAGAGGCACAAGCTGGACTGCCCTGCTTTGGACAACACAAAATATTGGGTCAGATGAGGCTGGCCAGCAAAGCCCAGCTTTTCAGGGGACTGGGAGGCAAGGCAACCCCAAGTCTCTGGCTCAAATGGGAGACTTCCTAAGCTTCTCAAAAGGCCTCTCCTTGAAAACCCATGCATCTACTCCTCCTAAAAAGCTGCAGGGAATGCTGGCAGGGCATCTAAATAGGGAAATGGAATCAAAGGATCAAAGGAGAAATGGCACAGGGTAGAAGGGAAATACACACACATACACGCGCACACACACACACACACACACAGAGACACACATACATTCCACAAAGTAAGGAGTCTCTCCTGGAACACTGGCCTGGAAATGAAGCAGTCAAAAAAGAGGAGGCAGCACTGACCCTCATAGTGTCCCAGAGGGGCTGTGGGCTGTGGATGATTCCTTAAATTCCACGTTAAATTGCCAGGCCACTCACCTGTATCCTGGGTCTTAGAAAAACTGTGATTTCTGAGGAGCCACCAGAATCTTCTTGGGCCCCTGAGAAAAATGATAAAGGAAGCTGTGGGGTCTTGGAAAAGGCCTCTGATCACCAGGACTGAGATTTTTTTTTTTTTTTCAGAAGAGAGAAGTAGATACCGATTGTTTCCCCCAGATAATCATTACCATCATTATAATTCACACTGAGCCTTCTTAGCAGTGATCAGCTAATTAGATAGCACTAACAGATCATTCTGTGCCAGGTAGTATGCTCAGCACCTTCCAAACATTAAATCCCAAAGACTCTAAAATGTAAGTTCTAAGGTTGTGTTAATTTTGCAAAGAATTTTTGAGGTCTAGGGCTGCCTGTGGCTTTGAGCTCCTGACATGTGCTGTGCGTGTTAATACGAACAGGTGTTCAAAGACTTAGTACAAAAAGGAAAAAAATGCAAAATAGTTTATTAGCAAATTTTAATGATTACTTGTTCAAATGATATTTTAAATATGTCAGATTAAACAAATATACTATTAAAATTAATTTTATCTTTTTTATGTTTTTGTTTTACTTTGTCTAATGTGGCTACTAGACCATTTTAAATTACATACGTGCCTCAGTGTGTGGCTTACACTTTATTTCTGTTCAATAGAGTGGCAGTCTAGAACAGAGTTCAGTAAACTACAGCCCTCAGGCCAAATGCAGCCCACAGCCTGGTTTTGTACAGCTTATAAGCTAATAAATGACAGAATGATTTTTACATTTTTAAAGGGTTGTAAATTTCTTTTAGTGTGAGAGAGACTGTTTGTGGCTTGCAAAACCCAAAAATATTTGCAATATTGACCAGGGGTCAGTCCTGTAAAGGTTCAGATGATTAAGTGGCAGAGCAGGCCTCAACAAACCCAGGACCACCAACCCCAAAGTCTATGCTTTTTTCACTATGAATATCAGCTGTCATACTGGGTGCTGGACATTGCATGGAACCTTTATATACATTGTCTCATTTAATCCGGAGATTAAATAATGTTAATTACTAACATTTATTAATAATGCTATTATGATGCTACATAAGATTAATGATGTTATTATGTCCAATTTAAAGATAAGCAAGCTGAACTTTAGCTTATACAAAGCTATACAATAGCTTATGCAATTTGCTTATACAAAGCTAAATTGTAGAGATTTACTAATTTTTCTTAAGTCACATAGCCAGTAAATAATAGGACTGGGATTTGAATCCACTTCTTCCTGAAAGGTACAACCGCAGGCCCTTGATACCTCCTGCTTCTGAATCCCTATTACGTTGAGGCAGGGCCAGCCTCTTCATTGATGAGCACTGAGTTATCTACTCTTGAGTCTTTATCTGAGGTGTTGTGATCTTTCCAGGTATAATCCAATCCAGGAATCTGAAAACTATTGCCCACAGGCCAAATTTGCTCCCACAGACCTAATTTGCTCAGTTGGGTCAAAATGTTGGCCTCAGTATAGCTTAAGAAAGAACTTGGCAAGCAATTGTACCTGAAACAAAGGTGGTAGTTCCAGGATATTTTGGGTAGATTCATGGCAAAAACTGTTCCATAAGGCGGCCACATGACATTTCCAAATGATATAATAATAGCTATCATCACTGAACACAACCCTGTTCTTTTGTTACATATTGTCTATGGGTGCTTTTGTGTTACAACGGCAGAGTTGACTAATTGCAGCAGAGACCACCAATCCCACACAGCCAAAAATACTTACTATCTGAGCCTTTACAGAGAAAGTTTGCTGACTTCTAATCTACTTTGTTCAGGACAGGGATCACATTGACCCCTTCTATACAAGCAGTGCCCACTACAGTGTGGAGTTAGTGAGGGCCCAATAAGCATGGAGTGGTTGGGTGAGTGGTTGACCCGTGGGTTGGAGAGGAGAATCAGGAGGGCTCATGCCCTCTCTTCCTTGTACAGAGATCCCTTAGAACACATGCAGCACACACACCTCAGATGCTGCCATCTCTTTAAGAGCTGATGTTGGGATTCTCCCTGATTCTTTCCCACTTCCTTCCCCAGTAGTTACTTGACCAGGAACACGTGGATTACATTTCACTTAAAAACACAGAGGGAATTTCAAATTAGCAGGAAACATGTTTGGCAAAAACTAAAATACTTTGCAAACCATCTGGGATGTTCTCTTGTTAGTACTGGAGCTGAGTGCCACTGTCCTCCATGGAGAAATGATTTTTTACAAAATCCACATTAGTTCCAAGACAAAAGGACTCTGCACACTTAAGCAAGACCAACGGGAGTGAATAATGTTGGCCTCACTATGTCTTGAGAAAGGAATTGGCAAGCAATTGTATGTAAAACGAAGGTGGGAGTTCAAGGACATTTTGGAGAGACTCACAGCAAGAACTATTGCATAAGGCGGCCATGTACCATTTCCAAATTATATAATAGTTACCATTACTGAGTATTTCCCATGTTCTAGCACAAGCACCTTACACCTTTACCACAAGTAATCCTCCCAACAACCACATGAAATAGGTCCTATTATTGTCCACATTCCAATTAAAGGAAACTAACAATTAGCTTAAATAATTTTCCCCCAGGCCACACAGCTGGTAAGTGTTAGAGGCAGGGCTCAAACCCAGATCCAGGACTAGCTAACTCCGGGCTCTGTGCCTCCTACCATTATTCTACACTGGACTCCCCATAAGTTTCCCTGTGGCATTAGTTATGTTTCCCATGCCCTTTGAGTACAGCAGTGCTGGGCATACGGTAAGCATGCAATAATTACTTATTTCCTCATTCATGTATTTAAAAATATGTATCAAAACTTACTATATGCTAGGCACCATGACAGGTGATAGGGATTCAATGGTGATGTAAGACTGGTGGACTTAAATTAATTTTTTAAAGGCATCATGGGATTTTGTATCGGCTATCTCTGTATCTAGAAGATGTCAGACTCATGGAAGTTTTGTCCATTTTATTCCCTTTGCTTATCCATTCTTTCTTGTTTACAGAAAGACTTAATTTTCTGTCTCATATCTCTGTCCTTCTTGCCCCACTATTTTTCCCCCTTCTCCAAAAATCCCAGCCCCAAAAACAGTCTACATATTGTGAAAAAGATTTCTCAAACCACAAGGGTGATGTAACTTTAGGCCTGTGTTTTCTCTCTCACACACACAAAATATTGGATATGAGTGAGATTTTAAAAAATTGGTTTTTAAATGTGATGAAAAGAGTGTCCTTTTCACCAGAACAAAACAACCCTTAATGCTGAAGCCTCCTTCCCGATATGGTTGGCTTCCAAATATGAAGAAATCTGTGCATTGGGCCACAGGCTCCAGACAAAGTCTGAGGACAAAGGAAACCTGTGGACTGGAAAGATCATCGATGTTTAGAATGAACTGGAGGCTCCCTCCAGGTTTTGGAGACTGTGGTTAAAGACATGGCCTATATTTCAATGGGCAGCAGCCCAGCAAGGCTCGTTTGTAATCCAGCTGATACGACAGGGTTTTTGCCATGGGAAGTGTTTGCATTTGAGCATTTCTCAGCCAGTCACTAGCCATCAATTACTTAGGAGTCAGATCTTGGCCAGAGGCCCCCGTTCCACAAAGTATGTCATTCTGTATTCACAGAAATGGAGTTTACAGTCCTGCCGCTAAATTAAAACTGGTGCTTCCAAATTAAAAGCAGACAGGACAGATGTGCAGGGAAGAAACGGAGACTCACATCTTTTGTGAATCAGCTAATCCTTGTGCCAGAACTTGAAATCAGCTTTTCCTGTAGAGGCCTCGACTACACCACACCTATGTAAGCTGCATTAAATGAGGTGGAATTAACATTTTACCAGATATTTCCTCTGCTCTGCCATCTGGACAAGGATAAAGAGCTCGGTGAAGCCCAGAATCCCAAAAACTGTGCAACATGAGAACATGGGGCCAGCACCTGAGGGTGGCCACATCTAGCCTGTCCCCTCATTGAGCAATATGAAGTCATGTAGGACACCAGAGGGTGGATGAAAAGCATGTGAACCAAGTATGCTGCTTCTAACGATTAACGGTTCAAGCACAATCTCAAAACTCCAGTGTCTGCACTCCTCTAGGGAAAATGATAAAAAATACGATTTTCACTATTCTGCCTGCTCCGTTAATCACCTCATGATATAAATATTAGCTTTATTTTATAGGGCATTTATGATATTAAATTTGAAAACCTCAAATATGATCTGGCAAATTCATGCTTAAAAACCTTCAGTGGCTTCTCATAGCCCTCACGATTAAGAGCAGCTTCCTTGATTGGGTCACTAAAGCCTGCAGGGTCTGGTTTCCACCTCATGTAACACTACTTCTCTCCTCTACTCTGTGCTGCAGACACATTGACTTTCTTTCCATTTCTCCTGCACACCATATTCTCTTCCACTTCAAGTTGTTCCTTCTGCTGCAAAGCTTTTCCAGCCATCCTCTTTTATAACCTCATTATTAAGAAAAAAATTCACATACACACAATTCACCCACTTAAAGTGGACTATTCAGTGGTTTCAAGCATATTCATAGAGTGGTGCAAGCATCATTACATCTATTTCAAAACGTTTTTATCACCCTTTAAAAAACCCTTTTACCTATAAGCTTTCACTTTCCATTTTCCCTCAACCCTAGGAAATCATTAATCTACTTTGCATCTCTCTTCTGTCTCCTATTGCAGACATTCAAACAAATAGGATTATCCAATATGTCGTATTTTGTTTATGACTTCTTTTACTTATCATAATGTTTTCAAGGTTCATCCATGTTGTACCGTGGATCAGTGTTTTTTTCTTAGTCATCACGTAATATCCTATTGTATGGATATACCACATTTAGTTTATCCATTCACAAGTTGATGGACATTTGAGTTACTTTCATTTTTTGACTATTATGAACAATGCCGCTATGGGCATTCATGTACAAGCTTTTGTATGGATGTATGTGTTTATTTATCTTGGGTTTATACCTAAAGATAGAACTGCTAGGTGATAAGGAAACTATGTTTAACATGTTGAGGCAACCACCATAATTTTAACTAATGTTAACTACCACTCATGCTTTGAGTTTCAACTGAAATGTAACTTCCTCACAAATGCATCCCTGTCCCTTCCACTTCCTCCTAAGGTCTCCTGCTAAATGTCTCTCATACATACTGTACCTTTTCTTCATTGTCTTAGCCTAGTTGGTTGGTATGTATTTAGGTACATAATGATTTTATATATGTCTGTCTCTCCTCTTAGACTATAAGTTAGATGGCCCTTTAGCTCATGGCTATATCCCCAAAACTCTTACTAAGGCACTGTGTCAGCCAGTCTTCAAAATGCCCTCCAAGGATTCCACCTCCTGGCATTCATGCTTTTATGTATACCTTCCCCTGGGTGCAAACTTGTCTCAGTGATGGACAAATAAAATAGGAGCTTGGAGACTAGGTTTTCTCTCTCTCTCTCTCTCTCTCTCTCTCTCTCTCTGTCTCTCTCTCTCCTTGCTTTAGGGGAAACCAGTGGTTAATTCATACTGACACTGTATAGAGAGCCCCATTTGGCAAGAAGCTAAGATCTTTTGCCAATAGCCATGTGAATGAACCATCTTGGAAGTAGTTCCATCAGCCCCAGTCAAGCTTTCAGATGACTGCAGCCAGAGTCCACATATTAATGGCAACCTCTTTAGGGATCCTAAGGCAAAACCATCCAGCTAATTCCTTGAATTCATGACCCATAGGAATTGTGGGATAATAAATGTCTGTTGTTTTAAGTTATTAAATTTCGAGGGTAGTTTGTTATACAGTAATAGAAAATGAGCATAGTTATGCTGCCTGGAACATAATAGAAGCTAAGTAAGTGATGAATGAATAAGTAAAGGAATAAACACCCTAGGCTTCTCAGAAATAAAGAGAGTAAAGGCTACACTTATGAACACTTCCTAGATGTTAACTGTATGGGCTGAATGTTTATGTCCCCTGCCAAATTTATATATTGAAGACCTAACCCCCAATATGATTGTACTTGGAAGTGGAGCCTTTGGGAAGTAAGATGGTTAACATTAAGTCATTATGGTGGGACTTTCATGCAAGGATCAGTGCTCTTATAGGAAGAGGAAGACAGAGATCTCTCTCCCCGATGTGCATGCACTGAAGAAAGACCATGTGAGCACACAGCTGGAACGCAGGTATCTACAGCCGGAAAGCAGACTCTCACCAGGAACCAAATCTGACAGCAGCTTTATCTTGAACTTTCCAGCCTCTAGAACCATGAGAAATAAATGCTGCTTAAATCACCCAGTCTATGGTATTTTGTTATAGCAGTTCAAGGTAATTAATACAGTGTTTATATCAGAATCTCATTTAGTGATCACATCAATCCTCAATGGTACAAACAATGACATGCATTTTACTGGTAAGGAAACTGAGGCCCAAAAAAATCTAGGAATCAAGAATCAGCCCATGTGGCTTTTGATGGGCTAAAGCATGAAAAAAATCATACCATGCTCCCAGCTGGCAGTGAAGACAACTCACTCAACCACTCAATGTAACTTTCAGAAGTTCCAGGACCTGAAGCAAGATGCAAGATGAAAGATCACTGAGATAGAACCTTACCATTTCATTTCCAACTTTATTGCTTAATTTAATTATTAATATATATTTTTAATTTTTTATTAAGGTGAAATTCATATAACATTAAATTAATGCCTTTAAAGTGTACAATTCAGTAGCATTTAGTACATTCACAATGTTGTGTAACCATCATGCCTCATTAGTTCCAAAATATATGAATTTATTTTAGTCCTTGGTGCAGAGGATTGAATTTTAGTGACACACCTTAGGTCAAGGCATATCAATATCTTCATCAGGGCAGGGCCCTTTCTTCAAGTCACTTATTTATGCCTCCCCTTCATCCTTCATCCCAGGAGCTATAGCCCCAACCACACTAACATGTCTAATGCCTTCCTTCTTGTTTACCTGTGCTTTGTTTAATAAAACCCTCTTGGCTTTCCAACTTTGATCTTTCATTTTCCCTTAACATTAAGAAAATAACAGGGCTTTACAATTCATCTATCTTAAGGAGGCAGCTTTGCTTTTGTAGAAAAAGTGCCAAATAAAGAGTCAAGGATCCTTTGTTCCAAACTAGAGTTCCACAAATTATCACCCATGGGTCAAATCCAGCCTTCAACCTGTTTTATAAATAAAAGTTGTTGGAATACAACCATGTTTCTTTTTTTACGTATTGTCTGTGGCTGTTTCCTTACCACAATGGCAGAGTTGAGTAGTCGTGACAGAGCCTGCAAAGTCCACAAAGCCTAAAATATTTACCATCTTGCCCTTTACAGAAAAGGTTTGCCAAGCCCTGCTCCAAACCACAGTCTGTCACCTATAACTCTTCATATGATCAGATGAATCTGTTCACTCCCTGGGCCTTAATGTCTAGTTCATAAAATCGAGGCCATGATACTAAAACTATAGTTTTTATTTCTCTCTCTCTTTTGTTTCTAACCTTCTTTTTCTCTGTGTTATGTAGTAGAATACATTTTTAAAACAAAATATTTATGTGCAAATCTACTACAGAAAGTACAGAAGTAGTTTCTCTGGTAGAAGAAGATTGGGACCCTACAATCCTGCCTGGCTAGCTTTAGCCATCCCAGTCTCTCCATCAGCCTCTGAGGTGCCATATTGATATGCCAGGCCCATGAAAAACTCCGTGAGAAAGCAACCCACCCCTTGGATACTTTTAACGTCAGTTCCCTTTCATAGCATCCTGTTGTTATATGGTAGTACAGAAAGTGATGAATTTTGGAATTAGGTCAAATTCCAACTCTAACATTTGCTGTGTAGCTTGAACCAGTCACTTTAACCTCTCTGAGCCTCAGTGTGCTCACTTGCTTGGGAAAATGGAGATAAATAGTCTGGACATCACATGCTGGTTGTAAGGATTAAAGACCCCAATTATTTCTAGAATACCTGGCATAGAAATCTGCATTCAGTGAATTGTAGCTACAAAGGATACAAAATAATTTTTGTGTGAGGGAATCCATGTGATACTTTTTTGGGTGTGAACTCAATTTGAATCTTCACTTTTTGGACACTGACACTGAGGCTGGAAAGGTCAGCCTTTTTATTGTAATAGAAATCTGTTACTTATGTGCTATGATTTGGGGACACTTCCGAATATCTACCCCTGCCTCCAAATGGCATCTACCATGCCCGGCTGAATGCTTGACACCCACCATAGTAGTCAGCAGACCCTGGGCTGAGACAGTGCCTCTTTAAAGAGCCATAAAAATCCCAGACAGAAATAAGAGGTTAAGCCATTGTCTTCTGCAAGGATTTAGCTTGAATCAATCAATTTTCAGGTTTAAGCCTTTGAAGGAAAGAGGCATAAATAAGGCTTAGAAAAGGCCAAAATGTGTAATGACTTCCAGAGAACAAACAAAAGTCAACTGCAGAGGCCTCCCAAGGAGAATGGAAAGGCCTCTGGATGGGGAGACACCCTGTGTTGAGTCAACCTCACCTCTTCCAGGCTGTGTGACTTGAGGCAGTCTCTTAACCTCTCTGAGCCTCCACTTGATATCCAAAATTAAGGCCAATAAGACTGACTGGCCTCCAGGGTGACGGTGAGTGTGAATGCCTGGTTCCAGTCCTGGCACAAAGCAGGCACCGGGTTAAGGCTTCCTGAATGAATCAGTGCAGCATCACACTAGATACTATGAAAGTAGTACTTGAACATCAAAAATGATCATGTAACCTTGAAACAGGCATTTGATGGAACACCAGAGAATGGAGCATCAAGGAGTTGTGGATCCACCTGAAGGCACTGGAAAAGGAAAATGGGGCACAGAAAGGTAGGGAAAGGTTGATAAAGGTGAGGGACAAACGTTAACTACTAAGAGAACCTGGGACCCACCACAGTCTGTGGTGTGGAACAACCAGTGGTTTGATCCAAGTCAGAATTGCATTGAATCATGTCAGACGGGCACCGAATCAAAAGTAGTACTCTCACAAGAGACAACAGGCACTAACCATGTGCCAGCCACAGTGTAAGCATGCCATGCACATTGCCATTTAATGCTTTTACAGCAGTGTGATTTCGGCAGTTAGCCTAATTTACCATAAAGGCCGTTTCCTGTGCAGTAGGCTTTGGGTTCCTGAACTTGCTGTGGCTGATGGACTATGAAAAGAATTGCCAAGAGAGAAAAGAGCCATGGTACCCCCTTCCCCATCTCTTTCTCTGCTGTGATGAACTGGAACCAACTGCTGTGGGTTGATTGACATAGTGATGTCAGAAGAAGAAAAGATCCCAGGTCTCCGAGTCTCCTGAAATAGAAGAAATTTCTCCATCTGCATGAGTGAGAAATAAATGTTTATGGTCCTAATCCACTGAGATGCCAAGGTTTATTTTACATTGGAGGATTACATGGAACCCATCCCGCCAAACACAGCAGCTAACATTTATTTAGTGCTTGCTACTACTTGAAAAACTTCATATATTTTTAAAATTTCATTTCATTCTCACTTTCATTTTACACGTAAAGAAGAGAGTAAATTATCTGAGAATATGAGAATATACAGGATGTACCAGAGCCTGAATTTGAACCTAGGCATTCCGGCACCAGAGCTGCCTTCTGCTTTTTTTTTTTTTAGACAGAGTCTTGCTCTGCTCTGTTGCCCAGGCTGCTTGCTGGAGCGCAGCGGTGCAATCTCGGCTCACTGCAACTTTTGCCTCCCGGGTTCAAGCGATCCTCCTGCCTCAACCTCCCAAGTAGCTGGTTAAGCTGCTTTCTTATAGAAGGAAAAGTTGAGAAATTAAGGGACTTGCCTATCATCACAGAATATGGAAATGGCAGAGCCATGATTCAAAACCAGGTCTGTTTGGTTTTACATTATGGGAAAACCATTATGGGAAAGTCGCAGCCATTTTATGTTCTCTTCTTTGCAGTTTTGGTCCAGTAGGTCCACTCACTGTCCAGCATGCAAGATGTGAAAACGCTCTAAAAGTTGAGAGGAGGTGTTTCCAGCCACTGCATCAGTGTAAGAGTTGGCAGGGGCTGTCTGGCTTGCCTCGTGCTCAAATCCCCATTTGCTGTGGAGGCCACAGATGCTCTGGCCTGACAGTAAGACAGCCCCTCTTTTGGACAGCACTTCCCACCACCACGAAGCTTCTCTGTGCAGGGCTTGCAAAACTCAGCAACACCACTGTGGGCGGTCCCTGGAGAGGCAGTGAGTCTTGTTATCGACAGGCGTATTGACTTTCAAAACCACAGTGTTTGAGCCTCAGGGCACTCTTTGACTCATATTTCCTTTTTCGGTCTATAATGCTGCAAAGGTCCAGAGAGACAATGGGCAGGCATAGTTCTGCCCAAATGGTAATGAGGAGTGGCTCAGAGGGAAATAAAAGAAAGAAATGGTAACAGTAGTGAACATTCAGAGGACACATGTGCCAGGCAGCGTTTAAGCTGCTCTGTGGGCATAATATCATGGAATTCTCAAAACAATGCCAAGAGATCGGTGTTACTTGATTTTGAAGGGCAGAAAATTGGGATTCATAGAGATCAAGCAACTTACCCAAAGTTACTCATCTAGGCGTTAGAAATGATATTGGCTTCCTCTGGAACTAGGAATCTTAATTTGCTTGGCTCCTTCAATGTTAATTAGCTTTATAAATGTTTTTCCATATAGCTTCACTTGACAGTTTTGCTGGAACAAATAGTCCATTGGGGTTCTTACCTTGCAAAGAGCATTCGTAAATGTTAATATATTTGATCCTTATGAGAGCTTTGTGAGGCAGGCGGGGCATACCGGATTTTCATATTTAGGGACACCAAGACACAGACATTGAGACACAGGTCATCCCAGGTTAGGCAAGGTGAAGCAAAATCTAAAATCCATCTGTCTGTAGCCTGGTTGGATATCTTCCCACAAGCTCCATAGCTCTCTTCTTGGAAGCCCAGAGTTACTAAGGGGCTGAGAGCATAGGCTTAGACATTAGAACCATCTTCGATTTGAGTCCTGGCTCCACAGGTCAAGTGCTGTGTGACCTGTAATGCACAAAGTTCTTACGAGTTTAGGCGTCCTTGGCCAAAAATCAAGACGAATAATAGTAACATCTACTTCACGGGTATTATAAGGATTCAATGTAAGTCCATGTGCTTGGTGGATAGAAACTGTTATTTTTCTTATACTATAGAATCTCTTCATCTGATTGTTTCTGCCTAAGAACAATCATATTGAAAAAAACTCATCATGACTGTGATAGAGCCTGAGACTCCTACCAGCTTGTGTGTGTTTCATCCTTTGAGATTTCCAGGGAACCGAACTGTGCCCAGTGCCAGTTTTGTGAATTCAATGGAAAAGCATGCCCTTCAGTCCCCTCTTCACTGGCTTCTGGACTTCCAGGAGGAGATGCTGGGTTAGAGCTGAATGAAAGACCCTACCCATGGATGGCTCCACAGTCTCCACAGTCCTGGGAGTCACTGTCCCTCTCAGCAGCTTCAGCTGCTTTCCTGATAACAATGTTATTCTCTTTGGTCTTCTGGGAGTCCCACCAGCATCATTAATCAAAGCACCACGTTGCTTACTCGTACTGAAGTATCCTCACCGCCTCATCAATCATAAAAGCAGCAAAGGGTGTGCTTTGGATTTCTAAGAAAAGCTCCAGACAGCACCAAAAGAAAAAAAAATTGTGTGGGGATGGGGGAGCTTAATTATCAGCTGGTCCTTGGCCCATCACTCACAGTGGAAATGTCTTTACAGCTTTATTTGGGTTGTGTCTCTTTTTAAATCCCAGTAAACAGCCGTTAAGCTAAAAACCCTCATTGCTCGGCACAGGGAGCCCCACTGGTTTTCAAGCTATTATTTTAATAAGGCCTATTTTACAATTAAGGCACCATGGGCTTTAAATTACTTATAAAATAAAATGTGGAAATTGAAGCATTAAGTGTGTGACTGTCGTTAGAGGAACAGCAGCCGTTCTTTGTGGTAAAATGCTGTCTGGTGTAAAAGGAATAGAACAGAAGGCTCAGGGTATGTGCCACCATGATAAAAACAAAACAAAACAAACCCACAATACACACGTACCACATCGGAAAGCCCTGTTCACTCTTCTCCAGTAAAGATTGGGGTCATGTCTAAATGGAGCTAAATAATAACAATAACAATAAGATTACAACTAATATTGTTAATAGTAAGAGCAGCTAACATTTTTTTGAGCACTTGCTACATCCCAAGCACCAGCTGAGAATCTTCTCCTGCATTGTGTCATCCTCCCACCAAATTCAAAAGGGAAGTGCCATTCTTATCCCTCTGATAAGGAAGAAAATGGAGGCTCAGAGGGGAGGCCACTGGCTGGAGGTCTCTGTGCTGGCAAGGGGCAGAGGTAGGAGCTAAACTCAGGTACATGTGAATCCAAATCCTATGCTTGTAGGCACTCTCCTTGGAGGCCAAATCATTAATTTAATCAACAATTATTTTTGTGCCGGGCACTGGGCCATCCATTCTGCAAAGGAAACAGTCACGGCCATGCCTGGTGGTGTTTACAGTCTAGCAGGAGGTTCAGGTGATAACAAGGAAACAGTTGCATGGATTTGTGACTATGGGCAGGGTAAGAGTTATGAAAAAAACAAGCAGGCCATGGTGAGGGAGAATAAGGGGGTAAAGGGACTTTGCTGAATTGGGGTGGTCAGGGAAGGCTTCTCTGAGGAGGCGATGTTGAAGCCAAAGGAGAAAAGTGAGGAAAGAGGAGTCCACTGCGAGATGAATGGCAGGCACTGTAGCCTGGCAGAGGGAAAGCCGCTGGTAACTGGAAGGGAGACAGGGGAGATCAGAGGGCAGTGAGTAAGAGAGAGCAGAACTAAATGGGGATGGAGAGGAAAGCAAGGGCCAGGGCAGCTACTTCATGACCACACTAAGGAAGCTGTTTTATTCTAAGTCTTAGGAGAGCATGCGCTGAGGGTGACTCATGCTCCAATTTTAAGCAGATTACCTGGGCTGCTCATGAGAGTGGACTGGAAGTGGGCAAGAGTGAAAATAGGGAGACAGTCAGGAGCTGTTTGCAGTAGCCCAGGAGGGCCAAAAGGGTTGGCAATAGACATGGAGACTAGATGCATTGAAGGTATATTTTGGGCCTATAATTCCAGCACTTTGGGAGGCCGAGGCAGGTGGATCACTTGAGGTCAGGAGTTCAAGACCAGCCTGGCCAACATGGTGAAACTCCGCCTCTACTAAAAATACAAAAATTAGTCGGATGTCGTGGTGGGTTCCTGTAATCCCAGCTACTCAGGAAGCTGAGGCAGGAGAATCGCTTGAACCTGGGAGGTGGAGGTTGCAGTGAGCCGAGATCATGCCATTGTACTCCAGCCTAGGTGACAAGAGTGAAACTCCATCTCAAAAAAAAAAAAAAAAAAAAGATATATTTTGGAAATAGAAATAACAAGGTCATTGTCAACCATTCAGTCCCCACAGGTTTCCAGCAGATGACCTGTGTTGTATGATCGTCTGGTCTTTGTCCTTCAAGAGAAGGTTCTATTCGCTCCCTTAAACAAGGCTCCATGTTCCAAACTGTTCCACCCTGCTCTTCCTGGAATGTCCGTAGATTTATCAAAGAACTTCGCTAGTCTTGCCAGCCAGCTCCTCCACCCTCTTGTAAAAAATATCCATATTTATGTTGAGCTACCACTGACTCCCCTCACGCTCCCTGTGGCTGGCATTTACATCCAGAGGACTTAAAAGGTTTGGAGGATTCTTCCACATGTAAATGCACCATATGCAAATCAGACCTGTCTGCCTCTGTAGACAGCTGTCAATGGAGGGTGTGCCAGAAACACTTATTTGCCTTTACAGAACACCCCACAGCCCCACAGGCAGGAGGTCTTTAGGGAAACAGCAGTGGGGAGACCTAGAGGAGCTGCATCTGCCCCAGTGGCCCAGGATACTTGGCGGCAAGGCTTTGTTCTCCCTCAGAAGATGAATCTTCTTTAACAGGACCAGAGGGCGTGACCAGCTATGTCATAAGCTTGGAGGCTTTTCATTTTTTGTCCACAAAATCTTGCTCCTGGGTGGTACTGAGTCAAATTCCTTAACAATCTAACAGCTGCTCAGTGGCTTATGAAAAATGACTTGCAGCTTCATGGTCTGAGTCCTAGTTTGGAACTTCATGGTGGAAGCCTCCTTGGCAACCATGACAGAGATCCTGGGATGGGGTGAAAGACCTTCTGAAAGGAGTGGTCCTTCTGAACTCAGCTTGCATCTCAGGCCAACCGGAAAGCTGCAGAGGCCAGCCTTGGCCGAGCAGGGCCTTGGGCCTTGAGAAAGATGCTCAGTGTAGGTCTCTCTCCCACTCCTCCCTGGAAGTATATTGGGAAGATTCTATGCAGAAATATCTATCCAGTTGTTTGTCAGGCCCACCCTATGTAGACTCTATCCTCCATTTTCTAAGAACTGATTCTCCCACCCCCTTGATTCACATGCTTCCTGTGGGAGAAACGATGTTTTGGCCATTTGACCTCTGCTCTGGCTTCAGTTAATGGAAGACCAATCAGAGTCCCTCCTCTAGGAAAGTAGAAATGAGATCAAGGTCTCAGTGGGTCTGGTCTCCTGAGTAAAGGAAATGAAATTCTACTAGCTGCAAAAGACCGAGTTTTCCTGAGATTTGGGGCTTGTCTATTGTGACAAGTAGCACAAGCTTCAAATATCAGTGGCTTAACACTGTAAAAGTGTATTTCACATTCGTGCTTGTAGGAATGCCACATGAACACATGACCACCAGCTTGTCACAGCAAGGGAAGAGAGGGTCACAGAGGATGTTTTTCAGGGTCACGCCGTATGTCACTTTCATATACATTATATTGACCAGAATTAAATTAGATAGCTCAAACATAACTGTAAGAGGAGCAAGGAAATTAAGTCTTTCTGCATGCCAAGGAAGAGAAAAGGGTGTAGAGAGCATGCTGTATTGCTTCATCACATACATGAAACTACAAACAAGAAAAGTCAATCCCCAAAGAGAAAAGGAAGTGAAATAGGCACATGCTACAAACAGCATCCCTACAATAAACTCCCATTGTGGCCTGAGTTAGTTCAAGGGGGTTCTCTGTACTTGCAAACAAAGAGAAGTGTACAAATACAGCCTTCAGCATCCACTGCATGATGACTCTTTAAAAGACTTGAAGATAGCACTGTTCAGAGTCAAGCCCAACTCCTCACTGTGATCAAAAGGTGAAGTTCTACATGCTTGCAACTCTGGACTTCCAGCCGAAAATAGTCTTAAGGACACAAGTGTTCCAGTGCTGTGGTCTGTTGGCTCAGGTTTAAAGATGAAGCTTTTCATACCACCAGCTGAGAGATTACCCTTCAAGCAGTTATGATTCTTTTTTGAATGGGTATACACACTCTTGCAACGGTCATGTTCTGTTGCATTTCACACAAAGGGCTGTAGAGCATGGGGAGGGCTCAAGTTCAAGAGCAGAGCAAGGAAGGCAAATGCACAATTAGTATCAGGGCATTTCTATGTGCGGATGAAATAGGTGGCATCTGGGGGCTGTGATCTCAGTGGTTTGAGGAGAATCTTGAGCCCCTAAATGTTCTTCCTACTCCTACTGCTCACCTCATCCTAGGAACTTCATTGATTCCCCTGGCTTAAGTCTACAGATCTTCCCTACCTCATGTCTTGCCTCAACATTCCAAAGCTACTGATCCCTGTCGAACTCTCCAGATTCACTCCAGTCTGCCATTCTGTGTTCTACTATACCCTTCCCTCTGCTTAAAATACCCTTGGCCTTCTCTTCCTCACAGAAGATTCCCCTCACTTTCCTCCACCCTCTGCAGAGCCTTTTCTGTGCAACCAAAAGTGATCACTCCTTCCTCTGTGGCACCATCACCTCCATTCCTGCTCTACCAAGTAATTATTTGCTCCTCAGTTGCCCTGCTGTTCCTGCTCAGCCCCCTAAATTTCAACATGGGAACTCCTTTAAGGTAGAATTTCTTCTGATTTGTATTTAAACTCCTGTGGAACTGTCTATTATCTGACACCTAGTAAGTGCTCAGAAAATAATTCACTAAATAAAGAAACAAACGAATGAATGAATGACTGAATCTATAAAAATAGTGACCTCAATGAAAGATAAACAATCAAACCTTAGCAAATGTATAAGTAAGTATTGATCAATTTATTTGACCTTTAGGGTGAATGAGGATGGAAATGCTGGAACTATTTCTTTTTCTCTTGGATTTCCCTATGGAGTGTTCAGGCTCTCAGCTCCTCCTCTGGACTTTCCAAATCAGGTTTCTCCCATATGAATTTTCTTTCCTCTATCTTGCAGTACAGTTCACTTCTGTCTCTTGCTCCCAAACTTGCATACACAGACTCATTGACATGCTTACCAGTATCAGAATATGAGTTCCATGGGGGAAGGGGCCATGCTTGCCAAGCCCATCAGCATTCCCAGTGCCCAGAACAGTATCTGGACACATAGTAGGTGCTCAATAAATACTTGTTAACTCAAGGAAGGAATACATAAATCAATCAATATGTGAAAGAATAAAGGCCTTCCTATTAATATGTTACTGACTTTTTAGGAAGCAGTCTGGGTTTTAAACAGCATTTCTTTTCTGCTATAAGATGATAAATTGGTTTTATCTCATTTTAAAACTCTGATCAAGTGGCAGTGGCTAGCTGGAACACTCTAATGAGAAGGGTTCAAATTGGGATCAGTGAGAAAAAAAGGACTGTGATTGATTAGTAATGTCTGTCATGCCAAAGGTGGAGAAAGTGGTGATGCATCCCTGAACTAGAGAAAATCTTAGGGTAATGCATAAGTAATACTTGATGCTGTAGTTCAAACAATAGACATCAGTGCAGAGTGGCAAAAAATAAAGGAGAGTGGGAAGCATGAGAATGCATACAGCACCCAGGTGAATTTTTATAATGGTAAGAAGTTTTTAAAGTAAATTTCTCTAAAAACTCTCAATGAAATATGTAAATAAATTCCATAATCAACTTAAATTGCCAAAGCACCAAAATATGAAACTGCAAAAAACTACTCATCCAGTCATAGTATACACAGACTGAGGCAGTTGTTTGGATATCTTGGAAAAAATTACCTTCAGATTCTCCGTAGTCTTCACAAGTGCCATTCATCAAATATTTCTAGCATGTTTTCTGTTCGGTACACAGTAAGACTGCATCTTTCCTGGCTCCTTGAAGTTGGATGTGATCATAAGATTTGCATTAGCCAATGAGATGTGAGTGGAGGTGACCTGGGTCCCCTTTGGGCAAATGTATTAAGATTTAATACATTAAGAGCCAATGTATGATTTGCTCCTGTTCTTTCCACCTCCCAGGGAAACAGGCAAAGCTCCAGGCCATAAGGGCTTCTTCAGCCTGAATCTCTGGCCGAGGACAGCTTGGAGTAGAGGAGGGTCCCCAGAGGATCTGCAGTGGTCACATAGCATGAATGAGAATAAAACCTTTGTTAACATTTTCTTTCTTTCTTTCTTTCTTTCTTTCTTTCTTTCTTTCTTTCTTTCTTTCTTTCTTTCTTTCTTTCTTTCTTTCTTTCTTTTTTTTTTTTGAGATAGTCTCACTCTGTCGCCCAGGCTGGAGTGCAGTGGTGCCATCTCGGCTCACTGCAAGCTCCGCCTCCCGGGTTCATGCCATTCTCCTGCCTCAGCCTCCAGAGTAGCTGGGACTACAGGTGCCCACCACCACGTCTGGCTAATTTTTTGTATTTTTAGTAGAGATGAGGTTTCACCGTGTTAGCCAGGATGGTCTCGATCTCCTGACCTTGTGATCCACCCACCTCAGCCTCCCTAAGTGTTAGGATTATAGGTGTGAGCCACTGCGCCCAGCCAACCTTTGTTAACATTTTCAAGCCACTGAAATGTGTGGGTTGTTTATTACTACAATATGACTGAGCCTGTCCTGACTGATGCATTCTCCAAATTGGGAATTACAATATGTCACAGCACAAGGAAAATATGAGACTAGTTGCTCAGGACCAGTTACCTGGTTAAACACCTCTTTCTCTAAACTGTGGCTTCTGTTCATCTGAAATATTTAGGAAGAGAACCAATACAGGGAGAAATGAAAGCTTTGCCTCCCACTGCTCCTCCTCCTGAACCTGGGCTCCAGCAAAACAAAGCGAGGCACTGTTCTTGATGATCACCCCCAGGTTTTCTTGGTTCATGCCTTTGTTTCCACTATCCTCTCTCCTTAGAAACCTTTCCTTCACCTTGTCTCCAAGTCACTCTCATCTCCCAAGGACCAGCTATAATGCCAACTCCTACAAATGCATCTTCCTGCCACCTAGGAGGGATGTCTTCCCCTTCTGAACTCTGAGAGTACATTTTCAGTATCCTTCTTATTACATTTTTCATTGTCTACCATAAAGGTTGGTTGAATGCTCATATAAAAGAGTCAAGGGATGGAGAAAAGAAGAAAAAGAGGAGATGGAAGCAAATTCAGGGAATCATGGGCAGCCGTGTGAAAATAACATTTGCCAGTTTGGAAAGCTTGTCTTTGCTTCTGTGTTGTATATTTTGGGCTTTCACCGCAAGCCACTTGTTATTCTCGTCACCTTTTATGGGCTGTGCCACTTCTCCTGTGCCCCAGTTGCTTCCTCTCGACTATGCCTTCTGATCAATTATGTCAATTGTTCACATAGATGTATCCTTGCTGACAGGTAAGGAGACCTGTGATTCCTCCTGATTAACGTAATACATACTTCTTCATTTCTTAGTGGTTGATAAGGTTTGGCTCTGTGTCCCCACCCAAATCTCATATCAAATTGCAATTCCCATGTGTTGGGGGAGGGACCTGGGGGGAGGTGATTGGATTATGGAGGTGGTTTCCCCCATGTCATTCTCACGATAGTGAGTGAGTTCTCACATGATCTGATGGTTTAAAAGTGCATGGCAGATCCTCCCTTGCTCGCTCTCTCCTGCTCTACCAAGAGAAGATGTGCCTTGCTTTCACTTCACCTTCAGCCATAATTCCAAGTTTCCTGAGGCCTCCTCAGCCACACTGAATTGTGAGTCAATTAAACCTCTTTTCTTCATAAATTACGCAGTCTCAGGTAGTTCTTTATAGCAGTGTGAAAACAGACTAATATAGTAACTCATAGTGTGTTTTGATGGCAATTCTAGGTCTCCGGGATGCATAATTTGAAAAATTATAACCTCAGCTCTTTTAGTGACCCTTTTGAAAGACACAAGCCAATTTGTGGGACCTAGTAAAAAATGAAAATTCTGGGCCCCTTGTTTAAAAGTTATTGAGAATTTCAAGATGGCAACAGCAGAGCACTAAATAAAGGGTAAGGCCCTTCCAACCACAGAGCACTGTGCACCTGCAAAGGTCGCACACTCATGAAGTTGACCCTGATGTGGAATGTGGGAGTTCTCAATGCCTTCAAATCATACAATGTAGGTGACAGTTCCAGTCATATACTAGATCCTCTCTAAAAGGGTGATACCACCATTTCCCTCCTCCTGTCTACTAGGCATGTCCGACACTGACTTCCAGGAATCAACTATCTAAGGAGTCTGACAACCTTCAGGAATGTTGCCTGCTGAGTCTTTGTTCTCTGCAGAGAAAATGGATGCATTCCAGCATCAAAGTAGCAGCTTCACACAGCTTCACTCCAACCACCATTCAAGATGCCAAGGAAGCGTTTTGATTTGCCCTCATTTTCCTTTAACTAATGTGTTCGTCTACTAGACGAATTACCTATTTCTTGATGGAGTTGAAAGTTGGCCCACATCTTCTAAGAACAGT
Organism: Homo sapiens; assembly: GCF_000001405.40. NCBI lineage: Eukaryota > Metazoa > Chordata > Mammalia > Primates > Hominidae > Homo > Homo sapiens. The sequence continues at coordinate 158,569,944 of NC_000005.10, forward strand.
GATATATATGATGGCCTGGGAGTATATTTTATTTTATCTTAAAAAAAAAGCTTTTTTTCTACCAAAATCAAAGGGAGGTTGAGAATACTTTTAGCTTATGTTGTCTAACTCCTTTACAGTTCAATTTCACATCAAGGAAACAGAGAAACTGTGGAATGTCCTCCAGTAGGGCAGGCCAGCAGGAGTTCCCAGCATGGATCTATGATGCTCTGTGATCCACTCACAAACTTCAGAGAGTACACCACACACAGGGGAGGACTACTCCTGTTTAAAATTCCAGGAAACACCAAAAGATTGCTATGAGGACCTGGAAGTCAGATCGCTATGGTCCTTGCCCCACCTTTGACAAACTAAGTCAGTAAGTTTGGTAAGTGAGAGCATAGGACAGGTGCTCTCACTTACCAAAGATCAAGGTGGCGGCTTCATCCCCATGCAGCCAGAACGATGATGCTGTAGTTGGCTGACTTGGTTGTTCACAGTTTATGTCTGTGGTGATTAGACCAGCATCCATGCTGATGGACTGGTACCCATGTCATATCAGTTGTTAAACTTTGTTTACTGTCATCCCTGGAACAAACCATATGCCCATTTTTATTCTGGTGTCTAACAAATGTGGGACAGTGGTCTGGTGGAGCCAGCTTGTACCAGCTCACACAACCCTTCCTCACCCCTACTTCACTGATATAAAATTGGTAGCCTGAAATCAGTCACAGTGAGAGTTTTTACACCACACAAATCAGCACACTACAGATAAGGGCTTTTTGTTTTCAGAGAGTCGGTTGATCAGCTCATCTCATATCTCAGATGTGTGATGGATATGTGAATCATTGGTTAGTCATCCATCAATTATTTCACCCATGATACAGTAAAAAATGCTTAGAGCTATATAATTCATCTCCCAAACTGGGACATTTTCAAGAGTAAAAGGGTGTGCTATTGAAAATTACACCAGGGCAGGCGCGGTGGCTCGCGCCTGTAATCCCAGCACTTTGGGAGCTCAAGGCGGGCGCATCACGAGGTCAGGAGATCGAGATCATCCTGGCTAACATGGTGAAACCCCGTCTCTACTAAAAATACAAAAAAATTAGCGGGGCGTGGTGGCAGGCACCTGTAGTCCCAGCTACTCAGGAGGCTGAGGCAGGAGAATGGCGTGAGCCCAGGAGGCGGAGCTTGCAGTGAGCCGAGATCGCACCATTGCACTCCAGCCTGGGCGACAGAGCAAGACTCGGTCTGGAAAAAAAAAAAAAAAATTACACCAGAACACTCCAGAGTAAATGGAGACCATCTTGAGCAAACTACAATGTATTGCCACTATATTGTATTGCCTCTAGGCAACTATGCTTGTTTTGGGAGAGAAAACAGTCATTATGAGAGACATGATCTCTACCCTTCTGACATTACAGCCTACTGGGTTAAACAGATAAATCGATAAATAGCATTTTTTACTGATTCATTTCCCACCCATAATATCAAAGGTTTAAATTAAATGTTATAAGAACAGATATGTAAAAACAGTTTTTATCTTAATGATCTCACTTCAAGAAATTGTGAGTTATGACTCTACAAGCAATTTGACTGTCTTAAAAACAAATCATATGAATGCTACCATGTTCAAACTGGTCACCCTGAGAGGTTGTGTATGTAACCCAGTGAGACTGCCATTGCTAGATCATTCAAGCCTCAATAATATTTTGAATAGCTTTGATTGCAGTCAATTTTCATCCTTGCAGTGTGAATTTAACTTCTGAAATGGATCAAAAGTCATTTGGCATCAAGTGTGAGGAAGAAAGAAAGTAAGCAAGCTGGGTAGAATATTTTGGTTTAAATCAGGGTGAAATCATACGTCATGAGATGAAGTTTCTTGTGCGGTTAGCTAAAGTGGCTCCGCAAATAGACACTCCCAAGAAACATTGTAAAGCTACACTCAATTCATTTGGATAAGTATTTCTAATTTTCAAAAGAATTCCAAGAGCTTTTGCACACATCTTATACAGTACAGATATAAGGAAGAAAAACAAGGCCACGGTGGAATGAAGAATTGGGGGCATCTGATATTTATGTCACAGATTCGCAAAAAGCTTACTGGCATATATATAGGTAAGCTTTATATAATATTATATGTAAAATATTATGTAAAGCTTATCAAAATATATGTATAAAAGATTACATATATATTTAAAGCATACTGAAATATATATATATATTAATCTACTACAAGCATTGGAATAACTAGTCAAAAGCCAAAATATCATAAATACGGTTAATCTTAAAATGTTGCTACAGAGAGAAAGCACTTGCTGGTTTACTGATCTTTAGATGATGCTACTTCTCACCCAAGTACTTATTGGTGGAAACTGAGCTCAAATCCAGGTCCTGTCCTACATTCATTCACTCAACACAGAATGATGGAGCTCTCAAGACGATTCAGGGCTCAGCCCTGGGCATAGGGCAGTGAGGAGAAGTCACAAGACTCCCATTCTTGTGGAAGCCTCAGCCTACCAGGGGAGATAGACTTTGATCAGATAACACAGAAATAAAAGGATGTTTTTGTTTGTTTGTTTGTTTGTTTTGAGATGGAGTCTTGCTCTGTGGCCCAGGCTTGAGTGCAGTGGTGCAATCTCGGTTCGCCACAAGCTCCGCCTCTGGGGTTCACGCCATTCTCCTGCCTCAGCCTCCTGAGTAGCTGGAACTACAGGCGCAGACCACCACACCCAGCTATTTTTTTTCTTTGTATTTTTAGTAGAGACGGGGTTTCACCGTGTTAGCCAGGATGGTCTCGGTCTCCTGACCTAATGATCCACCCACCTTGACCTCCCAAAGTGTTGGGATTACAGGCATGAGCCACTGCACCCAGCCATAAAAGGATGTTTTTAAACTGCTGTGCTAAATGCCATAAAAGAAAATCAGAGGACTCTATAAGAGACAATAACCTTCTTGAGGAAGTAGGGTCAAGCCAGGACATAAGGAATTAACTGGTCAAAGAGAACAAACTAGTGTGAGGAGAGAACAGCTTGCAGAGACACTGAGGCTGAGGTCAGGGTCAGAGAATCTGTCAATTTCAGAAATCACATGGCCAAACTCCTGTCTAGGTAAATGAGGGAAGTGAAAAGGGCAGGTCTAGAGACCAGATGTCTTGACTCACATCTCATTCGGGGTGTTTCTTAGCACCCACCCATCTCTTTTTGAATTCCAAAGGTATCTGGAGCATGTAGAGAACCTAACAGGAGAAGTAGTCAAGAGGATGTTGCTTTTGAGGTTAGCGTCTGGGTCTTCTGTGCACACATATGCATGCACACACACACACAAACACACATGCATGTATACATTTGTGTGCACACACAAAGACATAGTCATACAAACATGTATACACACAAACACATGTATGTTTATATGCATGCATGCATGTATGCACATGCAAGTACACACCTAGATGTACTTTTTGTTTATGAAAATGGCCCTTTTTCCAATGGATATTGAGCAGCAAGGTAGAATAGCAGAAAGAACACTAAATTCCAATTCTAGGCATATGGGTACAAGTCACTACATCATTCCACACCTCTATTTCTTTACCTGGAAGATAGACACAAATCTTCTCGTCTAAATAATGCATTGGGTTGTAGCGAGGTGCCAATCAGATGGCTAATATGAAATTGTTGAATGCGCACAATACAGTATTGTATTACTATTAAGCAGTCAGAAAATTAAGTGGTGGTTTGGAGAGATCTCCTGTTTGGTGTCTATGATTTTGCCTCCTTTTTTGCCTGTTAATCTGGACATTCTTCACCTCTCCATAGTCACTTGGTACAGGCTCCAGAGGTCTAACACCAAGAGAACTGCCCCACCACGCTAGGCTCAATGCCCTTGCAAGTAGGATTCAGGGTCATGAGTTGTGGAATCAGAAAAATCCAGCTCGCTTCTTCAGGCCCATTACTTTCCAGCTCTATTGCCCCTGGGGAAGGCCACTTAATCTCCCTGAGTCCCAGTTTCCTCATTTGTAAAATCTGAACTCTAATATTTCCTTCATAGACTTGTGAGAAATAGAGGCTATTTTTGGAAGCCCTGGGGTCCTGTCTGGTACACAAGAAGCCTCAAGAGGATGTATTTGGCAGGTCAGTTCTTTGCTTCCAGCATTGGCCCCCAACGTTGCCAAACATCCAGACGTCCTATGCATCTGTTGCACCACAGTGGGTCTGTCATTCTGTGAATTTTAGGAAGTCTTTTAGGGAAACAATTTGTATTTTCAGTCTGTCCCATGTTTTGGGGTTGATTCAGTTATTTATTCATTCAACAAACATTTATTGATCACCTCTATGTGTCAGACACCACTCTAGGTACTTGATATACACCATAAATAAGAAAAATGAAAACATCACTCTAGTGGAGGAAGACAGATAATAAACAGTAAAAACAACATATTAGTAAATTGTATAATAAATGATCAGGGATGTGGGGAATAAAAGAGCAGTGTAAAGATATCAGGAATGCTAAGGGTGGGGTGGTAGGTGTTTCTTTACCAAGGTTCATCACCATAAGTCTAATTGCAAAAAGGTCATTTTAGTAAAGACTTGGGAGAGGGACGAGAGAATGAGCCTATGGCTATCTGCAGAGTGGGGTGGGCAGAGAACATTCCGGGTAGAGGGAACAGGAGCATGGATGACATGCAGGAAGGACAACAAGGAAGCCAGTGAGGCTGGAACAGAGTGAGCAAGGGGTAAAATGGATGGAAAGGAGGCTGAAGAGTGAACAAAAAGCCAGATTATTTAGGGTTTTGTAGGCATTACTTAGACTCTGGATTTTGCCTTGAATTTATTGATATGATAAGTATGTATCAGGTGTCTGCTGCATGGATAGCCACATGTTAGAAGACATGGTGGCCAGGAAGAAGTCAAGCAAAAAGAAATAAGAATTTCTTGGTCCCTTTTCTGTTAAAACTAGTGGGAAATCAAAAGTATCTTAATTCACCACCTCTTTTGTTTATCTATTGAACATGTAGAGTCCATGCTTTGACGGTTGTCAGGAAATAAAGGTGAGAAAAGCCAGAGAGGGTCTTTACCCACATGGAGCTTTCAGTCTAACTCAGGGTCTCTCCATCATGGCATGACTAATATCTGTGGCCATTTAATCCTTTGTTGTTGCGGGCTGTCCTGTGCATTGTAGAATGTTTAGTGGCATCCCTGGCATCTACTCACTAGACACTACTAACACATCTTCCAGTTGTGACAACCAAAAGTGTCTCTAGACCTTATGAATATCCCTGAGTAGGGATAAGCAAAATCATTCCCAGAGAATCACTGGTCTAACTGAAAATATGTTATGTGCTTTTGTCATTATTTTTGGCTGTTAACACCTAAACACTTTTGTTGTTATTTTGGGATCCTACAGCTCTGAGATTTCAAGGCAGTCACAGTCCACTTCTATTAGGAATTGAATGTTTGCATCCTCCCCCAAATGTATATTGAAGTGCTAGCCCCCAGTATTATGGTATTTGGGGGTGGTGTTTTTAGGAGGTGCTTGGGTTTACATAAGGTCATGAGGGTGGGGGCCCCCATAATAGCACTAAAGGATTTAGTATGCTAAAGGATTTAGTATACTAAGCAGGATACTGAAGCTTTGGAGAGCTGATGGAATTAGCTCTAAATTAGTATACTAAATTACTATACTGAATCCTGCTGCAGTAGGATTGATGGATCATATGGCAGCTCTAGTTTTACTGTTTTGAGGAACCTCCAAACTGTTCTCCATAGTGGTTGTGCTAATTTACATTGCCACCAACAGCAATCCTTGTCAGCATTTGTTATTACCTGTTTTGGATATGAGCCATTTAACTGGGGTGAGGTGATATCTCATTGTAGTTTAGATTTGCATTCCTCTGATGATCAAAGATGTTGAGCACCTTTTCATATGCATGTTTGCCATTTGTATGTTTTCTTTTGAGAAATGTCTATTCAAATCTTTTGCCCATTTTTTGATTGGATTACCAGACTTTTTCCTATAGAGTTATCTGAGCTCTTTATATATTCTGGTTATTAATATCTTATCAGAGGGATAGTTTTCAAATGTTTTCTCTAATTCTGTAGGTTGTCTCTTTGCTTTGTTGATTGTTTCCTTTGCTGTGCAAAATCTTTTTAACTTGAAGTCATCCCATTTGTCCATTTTTGCTTTTGTTGCCTATGCTTGTCGGGTACAGTTTAAGAAATTTTTGCCCAGACCAGTGTCCTGGAGATTTTCCCCAATTTTTTTTTTTTTTGTAGTAGTTGCATAGTTTGAGTTCTTAAAGTCTTTAATCAATTTTGATTTGATTTTTGTACATGGTGAAAAATAGGAGTATAGCTTCATTCTTCTACATATGGATATCCGGTTTTGCCAGCACCATTTATTGAAGAGACTGTCTTTTTCCCACTGTATATTCCTAGTATCTTTGTCAAAAATGAAGTCACTGTAGGTGTGTATATTTGTTTCTGGGTTCTCTGTTCTGTTCCATTGATATGTGTGTCTGTTTTTATTTCAGTACCATGCTGTTTTGATCACTATAGCTCTCTATATAATTTGAAGTCAGGTAGTGTGATTTCTTTACTTTTGTTATTTTTGCCTAGGATAGCTTTGGCTATTCTGGGTCTTTTGTGGTTCCATATAAATTTTAGGATAATTTTTTTTCTATTTCTGCGAGGAATGTCATTGGTATTTTGGTAGGGATTGCACTGAATCTGTAGATTGCTTTGGGTAGTATGTACATCTTAACAATACTGATTCTTCCAATCCATGAACATAACTTTTTTTATTATTTTTTTGGTGTCCTCTTTAATTTCTTTCATCAGTATTTCATAGTTTTCATTATAGTGCTCTTTCACTTCTTTGGTTAAGTTAATTCCTAGATATTTAATTTTATTTGTGGCTATTGTAAATGTTATTACTTTTTACATTTCTTTTCTGCATTGCTCACTGTTGGCATATAGAAATGCTACTGATTTTGTTATGTTGATTTTTTTATTTTCATTATTATATTTCAATAGATTTTGGGGGAACAGGTGGTGTTTGGTTACGTGAATAAGTTCTTTAGTGGTGATATCTGAGATTTTGGTGCACCCATCACCACAGCAGTGTACACTGTACCCAATATGTAGTCTTTTATCCCTTGTCACCCCCACCCTTTCTCCCAAGTCCCCGAAGTCCAATATGTCATTCTTATGCCTTTGTATCCTCACAGCTTAGCTCCCACAAATAAGTGAGAACATACGATGTTTGGAAATTTCCATTCCAATTTCCACTGCTTCACTTAGAATAAGTCTCCAATTCCATCCACGTTGCTGCAAATGCCATTATTTCATTCCCTTTTATGGCTGAATAGTTCAGCTCCCAGTTCGGCTACTCGGGTGTCAGGGACCCACTTGAGGAGGCAGTCTGTCTGTTGTCAGATCTCAAACTCTGTGCTGGGAAAACCACTACTCTCTTCAAAGCTGTCAGACAGGGACATTTAAGTCTGCAGAGGTTTCTGCTGCCTTTTGTTTGGCTATGCCGGGCCCCCAGAGGGTGAGTCTACAGAGGCAGGCAGGCCTCCTTGAGCTGTGGTGGGCTCCCCCCAGTTGGAGCTTCCCGGCTGCTTTGTTTCCCTACTCAAACCTCAGCAATGGCAGGCGCCCCTCCCCCAGCCTTGCTGCCACCTTGCAGATTGATCTCAGACTGCTGTGCTAGCAATGAGCGAGGCTCCGTGGGCATGGGACCCTCCGAGCCAGGTGCGGGATATAATCTCCTGGTGTGCCATTTGCTCAGTTGGAAATGCAGACATCACCCGTCTTCTGCGTTGCTCACGCTGGGAGCTGTAGGCTGGAGCTGTTCCTATTTGGTCATCTTGGAACCGCCCCTGGCAGTATGGTCATTTTCACAACACTGATTCTACCCATCCATGAGCATAGGATGTGTTTCCATTTGTTTGTGTCATCTATGATTTCTTTCAGCAGTGTTTTGTAGTTTTTTTCCTTGTACAGGTCTTTCACATCCTTGGTTAGATATACCAAGAATTTTATTTTATTTTTTGCAGCTATTGTGAAAGGGGTTGAGTTCCTGATTTGATTCTCAGTTTGGTTGCTGTGGGTGTATAGCAGAGCTATTGATTTGTGTACATTAATTTTGTATGCTGAAACTTTGCTGAATTCATTTACCAATTCTAGGAGCTTTTTGGATGAGTCTTTAGGGTTTTCTAGGTATATGATCATATCATCAGCAAACTGTGACAGTTTGACTTCCTCTTTACCAATTTGGATGCTCTTTATTTCTTTCTCTTGTCTGATTGCCCTGGCTAGGACTTCCAGTACTATGTGGAATAGAAGTGGTGAAAGTGGGCATCCTTGTCTTGTTCCAGTTCCCAGGGGAAATGCTTTCAACTTTTCCCCATTTAGTACAATGTTGGCTGTGGGTTTCCTGTAAATGGTTTTTATTACCTTAAGGTATGTCCCTTCTATGCCAATTTTGCTGAGAGTTTTAATCATAAAGTGATTTGAATTTTGTCAAATGCTTTTCCTGCATCTATTGAGATGATCATGTGGTTTTTGTTTTCAATCCTGTTTACGTGTTGTATCACATTTATTAACAAACCATTTATTGATATTAAACCATCCTTGCATCTCTGGTATGAAACCCAGTTGATGATGGTAGATTATCTTTTTGATATGCTGTTGGATTGGGTTCAATAGTATTTTCCTGAGGATATTTGCATCTATGTTCATTAGGAATATTGGTCTTTAGGTTTTTTTTTAATTTTTTTATGTCTTTCCCTGGTTTTGGTATTAGGGTAATACTGGCTTTATAGAATGATTTAAGGAGGATTCCCTCTTTCTTTGTCTTTTGGAATAATGTCAAGAGGATTGGTATCAATTCCTCTTTGAATGTGTGATAGAATTCAGCTGTGAGTCCGTCTGGTCCTGGACTTTTCTTTGTTGGCAATGTTTAAATTATCATTTCAAACTTGCTGCTTCTTATTGGTCTGTTCAGAGATTCTATATCTTCCTGGTTTAATCTAGGAGGGTTGTATATTTCCAAGAATTTGTCCATCTCCTCTAGGTTTTTTAGTTTATGTGCATAAAGGTGTTCATAGTAGCCTTGAATAATCTTTTGTATTCCTGTGGTATCAGTTGTGGTATCTCCTATTTTGTTTCTAATTGAGCTTATTTGGATCTTCTCTCTTCTTTTCTTAGTTAATCTTGCTAAAGGTCTATCAATTTTGTTTATCTTTTCAAAGAACCAGGTTTCTGTTTCATTATCTTTTGTATTTGTTGTTGTTGTTGTTTCCATTTCATTTAGTTCTGCTCTGACCTTTGTTCTTTTTTTCTGCTGGAGTTTGTGTTGGGATTGTTCTTGTTTCTCCAATTCCATGAGGTGTGACCTTAGATTGTCTATTTATGCTCTTTCAGACTTTTTGATGTGGACATTTAGTACTATGAACTTTCCTGTTAGCATCACTTTTGCTGTATCCCAGAGGTTTTGATAGGTTGTGTCACTATTATCATCCAATTCAAATAATTTTTAAAATTTCCATCTTGATTTCATTTTTGACCCAATAATCACTCAGGAGAAGGTTATTTAATTTCCACATATTTACATGGTTTTGAGGGTTCTTTCTAGAGTTGATTTCATTTTATTCCACTCTGAGAGAGTACTGGATGTAAGTCCAATTGTCTTAAGTGTACTGAGACTTGTTTTGTGGCCTATCATATTGTCTACCTTGGAAAATGTTCCATGTGCTGATGAATAGAATGTATATTCTGCAGTTATTGTATAGAATGTTCTGTAAATATCTGTTAAGTCATTTGTTGTAGGGTATAGTTTAAGTCCATTGTTTCTTTGTTGACTTTCTGTCTTGATGACTTGTCTAGAGCTGTTAGGTCTAGTAGTAATTGTTTTATAAATTCTGAAGCTCCAGTGTTAGGTGCATATATATTTAGGATTGTGATATTTGCCTGTTGGACTAGTTCTTTTATCATTATATAATGTCCTTTTTTGTCTTTTTTAAATGCTGTTGTTTTGTTTTGTCTGATATAAGAATAGCTACTCTTGCTTGCTTTTGGTGTCCATTTGCATGGAATATATTTTTCCACCCCTTTACCTTAACTTTATGTGAGTCCTTATGTGTTAGGTGAGTCTCCTGACCACAGCAGAAACTTGATTGGTGAACTCTTAATTATTCTGTGTCTTTTCAGTGGAGCATTTAGGCCACTTACATCCAATGTCAGTATCGAGATGGGAGGTACTATTCTATTCATTGTACCATTTGTTCCCTGAATACTTTGTGCCTTTTTCATTGTGTTATTGTTATATAGGACCTGTGAAATTTATGCTTAAGGAGGTTCTATTTTGGTGTATTTTGAGGATTTGTTTCAAGATTTAGAGCTCTTTTGAGCAGTTCTTATAGTGCTGGCTTGGTAATGGTGAATTTTCTCAGCATTTATGTTTCTGGAAAAGACTGTATCTTTCCTTCATTTATGAAGCTTAGTTTCGCTGGATACAAAATTCCTGGCTGATAATTGTTTTGTTTAAGGAGGCTAAAAATAGGACACAATCCCTTCTACCTTGTAGGGTTTCTCCTGAGAAATCTGCTGTTAATCTGATAGGTTTTCCTTTATAGTTTACATGATACTTTTGCCTCACAGCTCTTAAGATTCTTTCCTTTGTCTTGCCTTGAAATAAACTGATAATAATTATGTGCCTACGTGATGATCTTTTTGTGATGTTGAAGTCTATTCTTTTTATACTCAGTTTTTTTTGAGGATTTTTATCATGAAGGAATGTTGAATTTTATCAAATAGTTTTTCAGCATCAATTGAAATGATGTATAGTTTTTATCCTTCATTCTGTTGATATAATATAGTGCATTGATTAATTTGCTTATGTTGAACCATCCTTGCATCCCAGCGATAAACCCCACTAGATCATGATGAATGATGTTTCTAATATATTGCTGAATTCAGTTTACTAGTATTTTGTTGAGAATTTTTGCATCACCATTCATCAGAGATGAATATTGTAGTATAGTATATGTAATATAGAATATTGTACCCTGTAGTTTTATTTTCTTCACGTGTATTTGGTTTTGGTATTGGGGTATTACTACCCTTGTAGAATGAGTTTGGAAGAATTTTCTCCTCCTGTATTTTTCAAAGTAGTTTGAGTAAAATTGGAATTAGTTTCTCTTTAAATATTTGGTAGAATTCGGTGGTGAAGCCACCAGGTCCTGGGCTTTTCTTTACTGGGAAACTTATTACAGCTTTGATTGTGTTACTTGTTATTGGTCTGTTCAGGTTTTGGACTTCTTCCTGGTTCAATCTTGGTGGGTTGTATGTGTCTAGAAATTTGTTCATTTCTCATAGATTTTCCAATTTATTGGCATATTGTTGTTCATAGTAGCCACTAATGATCCTTTGAATTTCTGCAGTGTCAGTTGTAATGGCCCCTTTTTCATTTGTAGTTGTATTTATTTGGATGTTCTCTCCTTTTTTCTCAGTCATGTTAAAGGTTAGTCAATTTTGTTTAATTAAAAAAAAACCTATTTCATTGATCTTTTGTATTATTTTCTTCATTTCAATTTCATTGATTTCTGATCTGATATTTATTATTTATTTTCTTCTACTACCTTTGGATTCATTTTGCTCTTGCTTTTCTAGTTCTTTAAGATGCATTGTTAGATTGTTTATTTGAAGTTTTTTCTCTTTTTTGATGTAGGCACTTATAGCTATAAATTTCCCTCTTAATACTGCTTTTGCTCTATCTCATAGGTTTTGATATGTTATGTTTCCATTATCATTTGTTTCAAGAAATTTTTTGCTCTCCCTCTTCCTCTCCCTCTCCCTCTCCCCACTCTCCCTCTCCCCACGGTCTCCCTCTCCCTCTCTTTCCGCGGTCTCCCACTGATGCCCAGCCGAAGCTGGACTGTACTGCTGCCATCTCGGCTCACTGCAGCCTCCCTGCCTGATTCTCCTGCCTCAGCCTGCCGAGTGCCTGCGATTGCAGGCACGCGCCACCACGCCTGACTGGTTTTCGTATTTTTTTGGTGGAGACAGGGTTTCGCTGTGTTGGCCGGGCTAGTCTCCAGCTCCTAACTGCGAGTGATCCGCCAGCCTCGGCCTCCCGAGGTGCAGGGATTGCAGATGGAGTCTGGTTCACTCAGTGCTCAATGGTGCCCAGGCTGGAGTGCAGTGGCGTGATCTCGGCTGGCTACAACCTCCACCTCCCAGCCGCCTGCCTTGGCCTCCCAAAGTGCCGAGATTGCAGCCTCTGCCCGGCCGCCACCCCGTCTGGGAAGTGAGGAGCATCTCTGCCTGGCCGCCCATCTTCTGGGACGTGAGGAGCCCCTCTGCCTGGCTACCCAGTCTGGAAAGTGAGGAGCGTCTCTGCCCGGCCGCCATCCCATCTAGGAAGTGAGGAGCGCCTCTTCCCGGCCGCCATCCCATCTAGGAAGTGAGGAGCGTCTCTGCCCAGCCACCCATCGTCTGAGATGTGGGGAGCGCCTCTGCCCCGCCGCCCCGTCTGGGATGTGAGGAGCGCCTCTACCCGGCCGCGACCCCGTCTGGGAGGTGAGGAGCGTCTCTGCCCAGCCGCCCCGTCTGAGAAGTGAGGAGACCCTCTGACTGGCAACCGCCCCATATGAGAAGTGAGGAGCCCCTCCGCCCGGCAGCCACCCCGTCTGGGAAGTGAGGAGCGTCTCTGCCCAGCACCACCCCATCCGGGAGAGAGGTGGGGGTCAGCCCCCGCCAGGCCAGCCGCCCCGTCCGGGAGGGAGGTGGGGGGATCAGCCCCCCACCCGGCCAGCCGCCCAGTCCGGGAGGGAGGTGGGGGGGTCAGCCCCCCGCCCGGCCAGCCGCCCCGTCCGGGAGGTGAGGCGTGCCTCTGCCTGGCCGCCCCTACTTGGAAGTGAGGAGCCCCTCTGCCCGGCCAGCCGCCCAGTCCGGGAAGGAGGTGGGGGGGTCAGCCCCCCTCCTGGCCAGCCACCCCATCCGGGAGGGAGGTGGGGGGTTCAGCCCCCCACCCGGCCAGCAGCCCCGTCTGGGAGGGTGGTGGGGGAGTCAGCCCCACGCCCGGCCAGTCGCCCCGTCCGGGAGGGAGGTGGGGGGGTCAGCCCCCCGCCAGGCCAGCCGCCCCGACCGGGAGGGAGGTCGGGGGGTCAGCCCCCCGCACGGCCAGCCGCCCCGTCCGGGAGGTGAGGGGCGCCTCTGCCTGGCCGCCCCTACTGGGAAGTGAGGAGCTCCTCTGCCCGGCCAGCCGCCCCGTCCGGGAGGGAGGTGGGGGGGTCAGCCCCCCACCCAGCCAGCCGCCCCGTCCGGGAGGGAGGTGGGGGGTTCAGCCCCCCGCCCGGCCAGCCGCCCTGTCCGGGAGGCAGGTGGGGGGGTCAGCCCCCCGCCCGGCCAGCCGCCCCATCCGGGAAGGAGGTGGGGGGGTCAGCCCCCCACCCGGCCAGCTGCCCGGTCTGGGAGGTGAGGGGCGCCTCTGCCTGGCCGCCCCTACTGGGAAGTGAGGAGCCCCTCTGCCCAGCCACCACCCCGTCTGGGAGGTGTACCCAACAGCTCATTGAGAACAGGCCATGATGACAATGGCGGTTTTGTGGAATAGAAAGGAGGGAAAGGCGGGGAAAGAATTGAGAAATCGGATGGTTGCCATGTCTGTGTAGAAAGAGGTAGACACGGGAGACTTTTCATTTTGTTCTGTACTAAGAAAAATTCTTCTGCCTTGTGATCCTGTTGATCAGTGACCCTACCCCCAACCCTGCGCTCTCTGAAACATGTGCTGTGTCCACTCAGGGTTAAATGGATTAAGGGTGGTGCAAGATGTGCTTTGTTAAACAGATGCTTGAAGGCAGCATGCTCGTTAAGAGTCATCACCACTCCCTAATCTCAAGTACCCAGGGACACAAACACTGCTGAAGGCCGCAGGGTCCTCTGCATAGGAAAACCAGAGACCTTTGTTCACTTGTTTATCTGCTGACCCTCCCTCCACTATTGTCCTATGACCCTGCCAAATCCCCCTCTGTGAGAAACACCCAAGAATGATCAATAAAAAATAAATAAATAAATAAAAAATAATAATTAAAAAAAATAAAAATTAAAAAAAAAAAAAAAAGAAATTTTTCAATTTCTTTCTTCATTTCTTCATTAACCCACTGGTCATTCAAGAGCATATTGCTTAATATCCATGTATTTGTATAGTTTTCAAAATTCCTCAATTATTAATTTCTAGTTTTATTCTATTGTGGTCAGAGAAGATGCTTGACATTATTTCAAATTTTTTGAAATACAAAAACAATCTTAACAGAACCCAGCCACAAGTACTATTTTATAACCCATTATTTAATCTGATAACAACTTAACACTGTTTGCATAAATGAACAAGCAAAAAGAAAACTATTAATAATAAAAAGTCAGCCAGGTGCGGTGGCTCATGCCTGTAATCCCAGCACTTTGGGAGGCCGAGGCCGGCGGATCACGAGGTCAGGAGATCAAGACGATCCTGGCTAACATGGTGAAACCTCGTTTCTACTAAAAATACAAAAAATTAGCTGGGCATGGTGGCGCACGCCTTTAATCCCAGCTACTTGGGAGGCTGAGGCAGAAGAATTGCTTGAACCTGGGAGGTGGAGGTTGCAGTGAGCCAAGATTGCACCACTGCACTCCAGCCTGGGCGACAGAGTGAGACTCCATCTCAAAAAAAAAAAAAAAAAAGAGTAATAATGAGAAGAAGTCTATGCCTTAACTTTGTCCCCCTGCTTTTTAACTTCCTGTTGTTTCTATTTATATCTTATTGTACTGTCTTTTGTCTACAAAAGTTGTAGCTATTTTTTAATTGATTCATCATTTAGTCTTTCTACTTAGGATAAGAGTAGTTTAGACATCACAGCTAGTGTTTTGATATTCTGTGTTTTTCTGTGTACTTACTATTACCAGTGACTTTTGTACCTTCAGGTGATTACTTTTTGCTCATTAACATCCCTTTCTTTCTGATTGAAGTACTCCCTTTAGCATTTCTTGTAAGACAAGTCTGGCATTGATGAAATCCCTCGGCTTTTGTTTGTCTGAGAATGTCATTATTTCTTCTTCATGTTTGAAGGATATTTTCACCAGATATACTATTCTAGGGTAAAAGGTTTTTTTCCTTCAGCACTTTAAATATGTCATGCCACTCTCTCCTGATCTGTAAAGTTTCCACTGAAAAGTCTGTTGCTAGACACCAAGTTAGACTTCCAAGTAGAACATTTTGGAGCTTCATTGTATGTTATTTGTTTCTTTACTCTTGCTGTTTTTAGGATCCTTTCTTTATCCTTGACCTTTGGAAATTTGATTATTAAATGCATTGAGGTAGTCTTCTTTAGGTTAAATCTGTTTGGTGTTATATAACCTTCTCATTCTTGAATATTGATATCTTTTTTCTAGATTTGGGAAGTTCCTTGTTATTTTTTCCTTTGAATGAACTTTCCATCCTTATTTCTTTCTCTACCTCCTCTTTAAGGCCAATGATGCTTTGATCTGCCCTTTTTAGCTATTTTTCTAGATCCTGTAGGCAAGTTTCTTTTTTCAAAATTCCTTTTCTTTTTTCTCCTCATTCTGTGTATTTTCAAATAGCCTGTCTTCAAGCTCACTAATTCTTTCTTCTGCTTGATCGATCTATCCTGCTATTAAAGAGCTCTGATGCATTCTTCAGTATACCAACTGCATTTTTCAGCTCTAGAATTCCTGCTTGATTCTTTTTAATTATTTCAATCTCTTTGTTAAATTTACCTGATAGAATTCTGAATTTCTTCTCTGTGTTTTCTGAAATTAACACAGCTACTTTGAATTCTCTGTCTGAAAGGTCACAAGTCTCTGTTTCTCCAGGATTGGTTCCTGGTGGCTTATTTAGTTCATTTGGTGAGGTTATGTTTTCCTGTATGGTGTTGATGCTAGTAGATGTTCTTTGGTGTCTACACATTAAAGAATTAGGTATTTATTGTAGACTTCACTGTCTGAGCTTGTTTGTACCCATCCTTCTTGGAAAAGCTTTCTGGATATTTGAAAGTACTTGGGTGTTATAATCTAAGTTGTATCTGGTTTAGGGAATACCCCCAGACCAGTAACACTGTGGTTCTTGCAGACTGGTGGTGGTCTTGGACAAGGTCTGGAAGAATTCTCTGGATTACCAGGTAGAGACCCTTGTTCTCTTCTCTTACTTTCTCCCAAACAAATAGAGTCTCTCTCTCTCTCTCTCTCTCTCTCTCTCTCTCACTCTGTCTCTCTCTCTTTCTCTTTCTCTTTCTCTTTCTCTTCTGAGCCACCTAAAGCTGGGGGTGGAGTGACCCAAGCATCCCTGTGGCCACTTCCACTGTGACTGCACTGGGTCAGAGCTGAAGTCAGAACAGCACCGAGTCTCACCCAAGGCCTGCTGTAAACACTCTCTGGGTACCGCTTATGTTCACTCAAGACCCTGGGGCTCTATAATCAGCAGGTCACAAAGCCAGTCAGGCCTGTGTTCTTCTTCCCTTCAGAATGGCAAGTTTCCCTAGGCCCTGGTGGGTCCAGAAGTATCATCCAAGAGTGAGATACTAGAGTCAAAAACCTTAGATGTCTACTTGGTGTTCTATTGTACTGTGACTTGGCTGCCACTCAAACCACAAGACACAGTCATTCCCAGTCTTTCCTCCCCTTTCCAAAGGTAGAGGAGCCTCACCCTGTAGCCACCACCACCACAGGCCATGGGGAATATGGTAAGACTACCAAGGAAGTTCTCTTAATGTCCCAGAGCTCTTAAGTCAGCTTGTAGAGAATGTTGCCTGGCGTGGGACTGACCCTTCAAGTTTGGGCTCCTCTCTGGCCCAGAGCAGGTCCAGAAATGCCATCCACAAGTCAAGTCCTGGAATCAGGGACCCCAAGAGCCTGCTTGGTGTTCTACTCTCTTGAGGTTATACTGGTTCCTGAATCCAGCAACTCTCAGAGGCTCACCCAAGGCCCTTGATGTAGTATCTGGGTATTGCTGCTGGTTATTCAGGACCCAAGGGCTCTTTAGTTAGTAGGTGATGAATTCTCCCAGGACTGAGTCCTTTCCTTCAAGGCAGCGATTCCCTTCTGGCCCAGAGTGTGTCTAGAAACGTTGTCTGGGAGCTAGGGCCTGAAACAGGGGCCTCCCAACTCTGACTGGTGCCCTATGGTGCTGTGGCTGAGCTGGTATTCACGAAGAAAGACAAAGCCCCTCCACTCTTTCCTCTCCCCTCCTCAAGCAGAAGGAAGCGGTCTCTTTTGGAGCTGGAAGCTGTGCAGCTTGGGGTTAGGAGAGGGGTGAGGCCAGCATTCCCTTAGCCACCCCAGTTTATGTCTCAGTATGTTGAGTTCTCCCCAGTCCACTCTCTCTGGGCCCAGTTTAGCACTAGGATTCACCTAAGAGTTGCAGTTCTTATGGCCTAGACTGCCTTTCAAGTTTACTTAGCACCTCAGAGCACTGTAGCCATCAGTGGGGAGGTCTGCAGGCACTCAAGCTTCTGGCCTCTGGAATCAGCGATTCCCACCCGACTAGCTAGGGCTGGTTCAAAGCTCCCTTCATGGGCAAGCGTCAGCTGAGTTTGGTCCAATTTTCCTTTCTGCTCTAACAGGACAGCACTGAGTTCAATGCCTTACAGTTTCTCTGGTCTCCCTCCCGCAGCACCCAGAGACACTCTCAGCACCACAGAGCTGCTGCTGGGGGTTGGGGAGGGGTGGCATCAGAGATTCCGGACTGTTTTTCTTCTTCAGTGCCTCTTTCAGCAATACAAAGTTAACACCAGGTACTATGAGGACTCATCTGATTTTTGGTTGTTATGAAGGGTTTTTTTTTTCTGTGTAAATAGTTGTTAAATTGGTGTCCTTATGGTGGGGACAATCAGTGGAGCCATCTATTCTTCCATCTTGCCAAACCCTGATGTCTTAATGCATCCATTGTATGTAACAAGAAAGGAGATTTGTCACATAATGACGATAATTACTATTAAGAGTGAGCACTGAGCACACACCTGTGCCAGGCACTGTTCTAAGTGCTGCACATGTATAAGTTTTCCCTTAATTGTCACCACTATGATATGAAGCAGGTACTATTATTATCTCCATTTATAGATAAGAAAATTAAAGCACTGAGTGGTTAACTAACTTACCCAAGGTCACACAGTCAGAGAAAGGCAGAGCTGGGGGATTGATGGTTGACTGATGGATTGATTTAGGAATAGCTACTTTTTTCAACATAGTAATTCAATCTGCTGACCTTGAAACCATGGATTCAAATGCCAGCTCTATTCCTTACTATCAGATCATTTTAAACCAAGTTTCTCATAGTTAAAATAATAAATTATAGCATCTAACCTCATAGGTATGTGGGAATATTATATGAGTTAACTCATGTAATAGTGTGAAACCTGGAATACTGGCTGGCACCAAGTAAGCAATATTATTAATACTATTATTATTTCTTCGTGTATAACTTAGGCAGAATGACTTGACAGCTTGTGTTCTAACTACCACCCTGTATTATCTTCCTTCTAGATTCCATATCCTCAGTTCCATAGCTGAATGGTTGACACACCTGAAGCAGTCGATAACATTTGATGAATAAATGAACGAATGAAAAGATACATGAACTGCTGAATGCATTAGTAGAAGATAGAGAGGAGAATTAAGTCTTATCCTATATGTAGAGTTTGGAAGGGAAAACAAACATTTCTTAGGAAATGCCAATAATCACCTATGTTTAATATTGTTAATGAATCAGGAAATGTGCCTTCCTTCCAAGAAAAATGACCAGCTTATCTACACTACAGGAAACAACAGGCCTTTAGACCTCCTAAGCACCCCCCAAGCATGGGATCCCTCTCATACTTTCTGTTTGCTCCTTCATTTGCACCTAAACCCAGCCCAGTCTGTGCTGTGAATTTCATGGTCATAGCTTATGCCAGTAAAAAGCCTTTCATGCTCTGCTAATGTGGCATTTGTTTGGTAATATGTGGGAGAGAGCATTAAAAAGAAATCCAGAAACGGCATCTTATAAATTTGGATTTTCTGTTCTCATAATTTATAGGAGTTCATGTTAGAGAGCACTGTCTTATGCATAAATACAATTTCTTTGTGAGCTGATGATGGAATTTATATCAAAGGGGGTCGAACATATACTTCATGAACTCAGCATCCACTATTATAAGCTATTTCATGTATAACTGGAGATGAATGATCTCTCCCCCTGTTTGTCTTAACTTAAAATTCAGTTGGTTTGCTTGAATTCATTTCCAAGGCATGGAAGTGGGGGAAGGGAATTCAAGATTGATACAGCTTTAATATAATCAATTCTAAACATATCTCTAGACAAATAATTTAAAAATCTATGCATCACAAAACACCTCTATTAATTTCAGAATACATAGTTTGGTGAATTTTTATGTGATTGTGGGTTTGTGTGTTTAAGGAGATTAAAAAAAAATCATCCTCTCTTTCCTTTCCCCTCAGAAAGAAATTTTAACAGGAATGTTTTGAAATAAAGTCCCACAAGGAAACAATCCCCCCAGATAATTCAACGGGGAGAAGTTCCCCTGAGGGCAGACCAAAACAAAATTCATAAAAATAATTGCTGTGCTGGGTTTCTGCTGTATTTTGGCTGGGCATAAGCAGAACAGCGGGGGCCTGTGCACATACTCACAGAAAACACACACACACACAAACACACAGAGTAAGTGTGTCCCTCCATGGAGCAGGCTTATGACACTGTTGTGTGTAACTACCTGGCCAGACTCGGGTCTTTCTGGCAAGATGCAGTGATTTGGAGGCTGTAGCCAATATAAAATAACAATCAGGTCATTTACAAGGTTCTGCCAAATATTAACCTTATATCCAATTCTCCCCCAACCTTTCAGAGTCTCTAATGTGAACCAGGCCAGCCCCCCCAATCATTTTACCATATTCTGGAATGGGGGTGGAGGCAGTAGGCAAGTTGGGGAACTCAGTACACACTTGTTAGAAATAAAATATTTTAAGGGTGTGTGTTTATACCAAGATAATGATGTAGTTTGTTGGCCTTTTTTTTTTTTAAGTGCCTGAAAGATTGTTTAATTGCCCTCTCTTTCCTTAGGGGAAACTCAAAGGTTAATCCGTCCAAGAAAGTGGGGTTTGCATTTGCCCTGAAGATAACAGAATTATTTGAGCTGTGGTCGAGGGTGTAGGAAACTGTGGTTTAAGGCCAGGTGGCTGAGAGTGTTTTGGCAGGGAGGATTGAAGTTATGGTTTTGTGTCTGTGTTGGGGAATTGCTTTGGACAGAATCATGCGGTACTGGGTTTAATGCTGCACTCAGGAGCATGCTCAGACAGCTAATATTGTATTAATATTTATTATTAACATAGCTTCATAGTTATTTTTAGCACTTCAAAAGAGATCACTGATTTGTACCATAGCCTCTACTTCTCCACTTCTCATTTTTTAAGCAACCACACTGGAGCCCCTCTTGTGTGCCAGACACTACGTCCTATTTAATCTACACAAGAGGTCGATACTGTCAATATCTCCATTTTAGAAATAAGGAAAAGGAGGTTTCTTGGACTGGGAAATACCTCTCCCAGGTCAAGTGGCTACAGAATATAAAGCTAAAGGCAAGCCCCCTAACTTGGTCCATACTCCATTCTTCCCTCTTAAGAGAGCATAGCCCTCCATGCCTGGATCCATTCTGCAGACATTTCTAGTCTTTGCTTTCAAATGCCAGTGAAGCCAATGGTACTGCACTAGTCTGAGCCATGTCATAGAGAACTTCTAAACTTCTCAAGCCAGCCATGATCACCAAGATTCAATGGATAAAATAATTCCTAAGTAAGCCCATCTGTCTGAAGCATAGATTGTATTCATTCTCTGTCCCTGCTGTATAAATTCTAGCCAAGTTTTCCTTCCCTCTCTAAAGGCCGATCATACCTTCCGACTGAAGGCCTTGGAGAACTTAAATGCAATTTCTATGCTGAAATTAAGCCAGGTGAAGGTTTCAACAATAACAACAACAAAACTGGTCCCTCTGGGTCTTCTCTCAAAACTGTTGGTATCACTACTTCTTTGGAAGCAGAGGTGATATTTCTTGACAGCCAAGACACTATATCTTACAGTTAGTTAGTCTTCTTTGAATGTATTTCTTTTTTTGTGGAGTGGAGCCTAGGGAGGGGGGTGGGGCTCAAATTCTTTAGTGAATGGAGTGTTAGAATAAACAGCTCTGCATGAATGCTGGGATAATGTTTTAAAGTGAGTACCAGCCAATGCAGTCAGGAGAAGCAGTTTTAACAGCAGGGCTGTTATTTTAACAATAGGTTACCAGATCCATTGGGCAATCTGACTAAAAGCCCATATTTATTTCCCTAATTTTATAAACATTTAATAGGTCCTTATTAAACACATCAGCCAGCATGATTTAATAACACAATCAGTCTAGAAGTTTAAGAAAATTGAAAACAGGATTTGAATGTAATGCAGCCACAATTACTGGAGATTATAGGGAATCATTCCCATATGTCTCCAGTGGAGAGCTGCTAATCTCTGTTTGCGTGGAGGTGATTTCCTTTGGAACCCTGCCCAGCCTTCAACAGCACTAGGGCTGAACAAATTAGATTTGAAAGTCCCCAATTTTATGACTAAGGTAATACACTCTGTGTATTTAGAGAAACACTGAGTTCCTATTTTCACTGGCTCTCAAACGCTGGACAGAGACCTTGATTTCATTTAGTTTGGCTCCACTTAGAATACGGTCATAGGTCTGAAGGGGTCAGCATATGTTTTTGTGTGACTTTCATAGGTATTCTAATTCCTCTCCACCCACAATGCTGAGGCGTTTGCATCATGGCTTGGTGACGACAGATCTCAGGAATGTGCTGCAATTAGACCTGGAAGACAGCCGGCTTCTAGGGGCCTGGGGACCCGCACCTTCCTCTAATAAACTTTTGCGCCTCCATCTCATTCCCCGTCCTCCGCTCATGGTACCCTCCGAGTGGCTTTTCTTATCCTGAGAGAATAGCAACCTGGGAAACTAGGCTTTGTTTTTCTCTTTCTTACGCAGCTTCTGGAAAAGGTGAACTCTGCAAAGAGACAGATTTTCTTGATTCTGGGTAAAGCAGCAAGGACCAGTAGGCTAAAGATGAAAGTCTTGGGGGCTGCAATATTAGGAACAAACCCAAAAGCAGCATTTCTATTAGTATTAGCCTGAAATAGTGCTGGATGGTTTCCACCTTGATGTTTGCCTCCCATCCTGCCTCTTATTTTTGTAGAATGAGTGAAATATAGTAACAATGACTCCCAATTCTTGAACATTTACTGTGTGCCAGCACATTACGATACTGCCAGCTTTAAGCTTCACAATAACCCAATAAGATCAGTATTATCAACCACACCTTATAGAAAAAGAAACAGATTCTGTTGACTTTGGAACCTTCCTGTGGTCTCAGCAAAGCAAAGATTCAAACTCAGAGGGCATTGACTTAGAAGTTCCTTTTATATATATATATATATATATACTTTAAGTTCTGACATACATGTGCAGAATATGCAGGTTTGTTACATAGATATACACGTGCCATGGTGGTTTGCTGCACACATCAAACTGCCATCGACACTCAGTATTCCTCCTAATGCTATCACTCCCCTAGCCCCCCACCCGCCTACAGGCCCTGGTGTGCAATGTTCCCCTCCCTGTGTCCATGCGTTCTTATTATTCGACTCCCACTTATAAGTGAGGACATGTGGTGTTTGGTTTTCTGTTCCTGTGTTAGTTTGCTGAGAATGATGGTTTCCAGCTTCATCCATGCCCCTGCAAAGGACATGAACTCATCCTTCTTATGGCTGCATAGTATTCCATGATGTATACGTGCCACATTTTCTTTATCCAGTCTATCATTCATGGGCATTTGGGTTGGTTCCAAGTCTTCGCTATTGTGAATAGTACTGCAATAAACATACGTTTGTGTGTGTCTTTATAAGAGAATGCTTTATAATCCTATCCTTAATCGCTATTTGGAGTGTGTTTCTTCCAATAATGGTAAAGATAATGAGATGACAACAATGCCTTATGTGTGCATGAAAAGGAAGTGTACCTTTTCCTAGACATCTTTCCACTCAATTCAAGAGTTCTAGTTAGTTTCTTCCTGGTAACTTCCCTTACTGTGGTGCTTTTGGCTTTTGAAGATCCAGAAGCAACAAGAGGAGGAAGAGGTAAAGGGCTAGTGGAAGAAATCTGGGTAATTCTGAAGAGAAATGTTGAGCAGCTTGCAGAGAATGAGAGAAAATGCGATTTTACAGCTCTTGAGTTAAAACTTATTTATGATTTACCATGTACCCGGCACTGTTCTAAGCACCTGTCTTGTATTTCCCTTCATTTCAATCCTCCCAACAATTGTGTGAGGTAGTTCCATCTTAAAGTAATCCTACTTTACCCACATTAAGTAACTTTTTTAAAGTGACCCAGCTAGTAAGTGGCACAACCAGGATTTATGCCCAGACATTCTGGGTCTAGTGCCAACCCTCACCACTGTGCTAAGACATTGTGTATCAACTAGTCCTTCGCTTGGAGAAATGCAAGGAGGGAACTCATGTTGCTTTCAGGTTAGTTTTTGCTTGCTGAACTATATATATTTGACCTTCACTGAGCCCCTTGCCTGAAGCCCTCAGCAGGTTTATCTAAGCAGGTGGGATTAAAACCTTTAATTTATTGAGTTGACTTTACAACCTAAGCCCACATCCTCCTCCCCACCGCATGCACCCACCACAATCATATGTGTTCAACTCACAGTCACAAACATCTCCATTAACATATATTAAGGTTATATGTGCTGAGATTTAAAACAAAATGGAACCACTTTGAACCCTTTAGGCAAACAAGAACACCAGAAATCTCCATTCACCCTCCATCCTCGCCAAAGATTTGATGGTTCCCCTAAGGGCAGAATATTTGAACACCCAGTCGTCAGTGTATACAGACTTTTGTTCATTTCTTTAACCTAGAGCAATCATTACTCAACTCTAGCATGTATAAGAATTTCTGTAGATCATTGGATGCACTAAACAAAAGGGTACCCACTGAGTGTGATGGGTAAAGACAACTCTGCCTCCCCTGCTGATGCCAGGTGAGAGCATCCAGGTGAGAGCAACAGGTGAGTTGAGTCAGTGACCCACAATGCTTTGAGGCTTTTGAAGTGCCTCAACCACCTCCTTCTCAGTTACACCAACTCTGCGAGGTCACCAGTCCAGTTCCTGGCCCCAGGAGGCATGTGAAAGTAAATTAAAATGGAGACCAGGACTGAAGAATCCCTGAGCAGACCAAGCCAGGTAGGCCTCATCAGTGAGTTTAACCCTCCTTGATTTGCAAGCATGAACAAAACTTAACTTGAGCTAGTTTTCTTGTAAATGCCTATATTAAAGAAAAATAGAACTTAAGCTCAACCAATCAGGAGCAGCCAAAACACTTATCATTATATAAGTAGGGGCCTTCCAGCAAGAGAGACCAAATAAGGCAGCCGTATGACTATAACCAATCAAATATTTGCTTTGCTTTACTTCCAATTTTATCCTATAAAAACCTCCCTCTCGTGTTCCTCTGGTGGAGCTTCCGAGCCACTTCCAATTTGGAACTACCAGATTCATGAATCACTGTTTGCACAACTCAACTCTTTCAAAATTTATTGTGCCTCAGTTTGCCTTTTTAGCAGGTGTCATATTTCAAGCTCCGTTTCATCGAGGGCCTCATCTGAAGTCAAAATGTGCTGGACTCTAAAGAGAGCCTCAAAACTGCCCTGAAATCCAGTTTTTTCACATAGAGTAGCATCTTTTGTCATCATCCAACTTTTACCATGAAAGGGTCAAATGGCTTCTAGAAGCCATTGAACACAGCAGCCTGATGATGTAACAACTTTTTAAAAGAAATTCAAATAAGTTCTGCTGAAATGTCTACAAAAAAATCCAACTAAATCAATATCAGATACGATTTTGTGCTTCTAAAAGACAATACCTTCTAGAATATCATCACATTCCATCACTAAATATTTTATTTAATCAAAGTTTGTTGGTGTAGACTTTCTGCCAAATCCTCAGGGTGAATTCTAATTACACAGTGTAGCCAGGTGTTTACAGAGCATGACCTTTTTAGAGACTGTCTGCCTGGCTTTGTAACCTTGCCCAGCCAACCACTAGCTTTGTGTCCATGGGCATGCTTACTTCATCTCTCTGTGCATCAGATTTCCCATCTCTAATATGGGGACAATGACGGAATCTGCCTCTTGGTGTTGTCGTGAGTATTAAATCAGTTAATCTATGCAAAGTACTTGGAACAGTGCCTGGCACACATGAAGAGTTCAATCAGTGTTATCTCCTATAGTATCAAATGGGAAAATGCCTTAGTCAAGATGAGAGTCATTGAACAAGATATAAGTTTGTCTTCACAATAAATAAAATCAATTCAGCGGTATGTAGTGGACCAAGGATGGAGTTTTAGAGTCAGACAAACCTGAGTTTGCATTCTGGCTCTGCCTCTTTCTATAACTGTCATCCATGTAACTGCTGGAGGCTTAATGAATGGCAACTGCATGAGGCAGCATGATAGTCAGATGTGTGAACTTCAGAGCCACTTCTGGATTCCAACCCTCTGTCACTTAATACCTATCTGATTATGGAAGAGACATTCACACTTTCTGTACCTCAGTTTCCTCCTCTGAAATAATGAAACAATAAAGCCTGTGGGAGTTGTAGTGAAGGTTAAATGAGATATGTGTATAGTTCCTGATAGGTAATCAACACTCAATAAACTGTAAAAATGCTGCTGTTAATCTTTTCCAAATCACATAGGTAGTGGTTACCTCCAAAGTCAGATCTCATGAGAGAGACAATTCTATTAAGTGTTCTAAAATACATGTAACATGCCAGGTGCGGTGGTTCATGCCTGTAATCCCAGCACTTTGGGAAGCTGAGGTGGGCGGATTACGAGGTCAGGAGATCGAGACCATCCTGGCTAATGTGGTGAAACCCCGTCTCTACTAAAAATATAAAAAATTAGCCACGCGTGGTGGTGGGTGCCTGTAGTCCCAGCTACACGGGAGGCTGAGGCAGGAGAATGGCCTCAGGAGAGTGAACCCGGGAGCTGGAGTTTGCAGTGAGCCAAGATCGCCCCACTGCACTCCAGCCTGGGCGACAGAGTGAGACTCCGTCTCAAAAAAAAAAAAAAAAAAAAAATACATGTAACATATAATGTACTATCTTAGCCATTTTTATATATACAGTTCAGTGGTATTAAGTCATTCCCATTATTGTGCAGGCCTCACAACCATCCACCTTTAGAACTTTTCATCTTGGAAAACTGAGACTGTCTACCCATTAAACAATAGCACCCCATGCCCCTTTCCCCAGCCACTGAAAGAAAAACCATTCTACTTTCTGTCTTTATCAATGTGTCTACTCTAGGTACCTTATATAGGTAGACTCATACAATATTGGGTTTTTGTGACTCACTTATTTCACTTAGCATGATATCCTCAAGGTTCATCCATGTTGCAGCATGCATCAGAATTTCTTTCCTCCTAAGGCTGAGTAATATTTTGTTGTATGTCTATACCACATTTTTTTAATCCATTCTTCTGTCAATGTACACTTGGGTTGCTTCTGTGTTTTAGCTATTGTGAGTAGTGTTGTTATAAAGATGAGTGTGTAAATATCTGTTCAAGGCCCTCATATCAATTATTTTGGGTATATACCCAGAAGTGGAATTGCTGGATCATATGGTAGCTCTACTTTTTATTTTTTGAGGACCTACCATACTGTTTTCCACAGCAGCTCCACCATTTTGCAATTCTGCTAACAGAGCACAAGGGGCCAATTTCTCTGCATCTTTGTCAACACTTGTTATTATCTGGAGTTTTTTTGATAGTAGTATCCTAAAGGGTGTGAGCTAATGTCTCATTATAGTTTTGATTTGCATTTCTCAAATGATTAACAATGTTTAGCTTTTTTTGTGCTTATTGGTCATTCATAAATCTTCTTTGGAGAAATGTCTATTCAAGTCCTTTGACCATTTTTTAGTTAGGTTGTTTATTCTTGTTGTTGCTGAGTTGTAGAGAAAGACATTTTTAAAGATACTCTCAGAGACTTATTTTATGAAAAATATTTTTTCTTTATTCCTCAGAAAAATAAAGGGAACATTCTTACTGGAGAGAAAAATAGGAACTATAAGGTTATTTTGTGATAAGGTACATATAAAATGCCCCTTTCCCTAGGAATGGCTTACACAGAGGCCTCAGGTAAGGGACTGCAGGGAAGGCCTGCACCTCTTCCAGCCTAGCTCCAGCCCCAGCCCCAGTACCCTGTGCCTGTAGGGCAGACACAAGCACTTCTGCCTTTTGGGGCCTGGCATATTAGGGTGTCCACTTAGGCCCCATTAAAAATGGCCACCCTAAAGTGAAAAAAGCCAGTGTCTTTGTTCATTTTTGTGCTTCTGTAATAAAATACCACAGACAGGGTAGGTTATACACAATAGAAATTTATTTCTCACAGTTCTGGAGGCTGTGAAGTCCAAGAACAACGCCCTGGCAAGTCATGTCTGGTGAAGGCTGCCCTCTGCTTCAAGATGGCACCTTGGATATTGTGTCCACACATGGCAGAAAGTGGAAGGGCAAAAAGGGCCTAGTCTAGTTCCCTCCAGCCCTTTTATTAATATAAGGCACTAATCCATTCATAAGGGCAGAGCCCTCAAGACTTAGTCACTTCCCAAAAGGGCTTACCTCTTAATGGGGATTAAGTTTCAAAAAGAATTTTGGAGAGGACACATTCAAACCATAGCAGCAAGTCTCAGAAGGACAAATACTACATGATTCCACTTATATGAGGTATCTGAAATAGTCAAATTCATAAGAACAGAGAGAAGAATGGTGGTTGCCAGGGGCTGGAGGAGAGGACAACGTAGAGCTGCTGTTCAATGGGTATAAGGTTCCAGTTACGCAAGATGAATACCTTCTAGAGATCTGCTGTACAACATTGTCCCTATAGTTAACAATACTATGCTGTGCACTTAAAATCGTGTTCAGAGGGTAGATCTCATGTTAAGTATTCTCACCATAATAGTAATAACAATAACATGGTTACCACTGGGGATTCTGGTACCTGGAATGGCAGCTGGCTTCTGGATGACTTCAGTGGAAAACCATGCTTCACGAGTTACTGGACACTGCTTTCTGAGCCTCCTTCCCCAGGCCACACCCACTCTACAGCTTGAAACACTAATACTTCCTTTTTTTTTTTTTTTTTTTTTTTTTTGAGACGGTGGCCCAGGCTGGAGTGCAGTGGCGCGATCTCGGCTCACTGCAAGCTCTGCCTCCTGGGTTCACACCCTTCTCCTGCCTCAGCCTCCAGAATAGCTGGGACTACAGGCAGCCGCCACCACGCCTGGCTAATTTTTGTATTTTTAGTAAAGATGGGGTTTCACCGTGTTAGCCAGGATGGTCTCGATCTCCTGACCTCGTGATCTGCCCGCCTCAGCCTCCCAAAGTGCTGGGGATTACAGGCGTGAGCCACTGCACCTGGCCTAAAGCACTAATACTTCTCATAACATCCTATCACCTGAGAGAGTGAGCCCTGACACCCTCCCCTCTGAGTGTCCCCAGCTAACTCTTCAGTGAAGACTGAGCTGCATCTCCAAATGCCACACTAAAATCCTGATTTGCCTGCCCAGTTCATCTCTGGGGTGAGAGACCAGGAGAAACAGAAGACGGTTTTTACTAGAACCTAAAAACCTCAGTTCCTTGGGCACTCTTGCTGCCTGTACCAGTGTCCCAAAACCCAGCGCCTCCCTGGCACCATCTCCAGCCTCCATCCTTGTGGAATGGTGGGATCTTCCTGCTTTGCCTTACCAGGTGGGTAACACTGAATTCCCTGCCTTTGGCCTTTTTCACTTAACATTATTTAATTCCACTTTTACCCACAGCCTTCAGCCCTTAATTTAATATGCATTTACTCAACCACAGTCTGGGTGAACTTGCTAGGAAACAGAAAGGAAGGTCAAAATGTGAAGGGATGTGATGGATAAAAACCAATGGATAACTTTGATGAGGATGTGAGGCTGGGGGCCATCAAATGTTTAGCAGGAACCTGTGAAAATAACATTTCTGTGGTAATTCCTCCTAATATGCAGTGAACTGAGAACATTTCAGACATTTTATTTTCATGTCTTCTCTAATAATTGAAAAAATTTTAAAAAGCAAAATATCAGGGTCAAAATATTTCAGAGAGGTATTTTTTTTCACTTCTAGTTTGAAAGTAAATTGTTACTTTCTAAGCAAGCAAACAAAAAGGGCTTTTATGCATATCTGATTAGCTCATTTCCTTTGATTTTGGCGAGTGATGTCATTTGGGCCCAGCTGTTGGTATGCTGCAAATGATTTCCCTTCCTCATGTTTCAGCAAGTCATTTCTGCCCCTAATGGAATTACTTTGACTGGAACCCAGCATTTTTCATGGTTCACCTCTCCTATCAGCTGATACCCAGGACTCCTCTGGAAAAAATGAGGAAAGGCTACAAAGGCATTTAAATGCCTAGCAAACAATAACTTCACGTAGACTCTTATCAAGCAGTTGTCTTTTTGAAATCTGTTTGTGTCCAATGCCTTAGCTCCTCAATTCATCCAGTAAAATAACAGTGAGAGTCTGAAGTAGATGAAGGGTCTAAATTAAAGGGCCCTGCATTTTCAGAAGCAGGCCTGGCTTGCCCCTTTCTGCCTCATGTGCTTACAGCAGAGCTGACGTATTAACCCAACAGGGAAGGTAACGGAGCCATAGAAAGAACGGGGTAGCACACAGGAGCGGTGGCTTTCAAATTCTTCAGACTCAAGTCCACATTTGAGTGCCACGCCTTGCTAGCTAAGTTTCTGGGCGTCTTTATACCCCAGTTTCTTACCGGTAAAAAGAAGCTACTAAAAGTAAGCACAGATAGTGGGAGAGGCTGTGAATATGTGGGAACCAGGGGTTTATGAGGAACCTCTGCACATTTGCTCAGTTTTTCTGTGAACCTAAAGTTGCTCTAAAAAAATCATAAAATCTACCTTTTAAAAAAAAGCAACAGGACAGAGGGTTGCTGTGAAAACTGGCCCTTAAAGTACTTAGAACTCTACGTAGCACAGTCATCATTATGTGCTGCTTCTAAACTGGTTATTAGATGTTCGGGCACGGGGTTATCTGCTAGATCAATGCTTTTCAGCCTATGTACTCTTGACATTTGGGCCATTTAATTTTGTTGGGAATAGGGATGTCTTGTGAACTATAGGATGCTTAGCAGTATCCTAGCATCCCTGGTCTCTCTACTCACTAGATGCCAGTAGCAACTTCAATTCCCTCCCAACCAGTAGTGAAAACTAAAGACATCTCCAGACATTGCCAAATGTCTCCTGAGGGGTATAATTGCCCTTGGTTGACAATAACTATGCTAGGTTAAAAGAAAAACAATAATCAGTGCATTCAACGGCTCCACTGAATAGAAACACTTCATGGTCCCGGTGAAACTCTCTTTTTGAGAATTTTGCTTACTTGTTTCTCTAATTGTCAAGCGCTGCTTTCATCTGTTCAGACTGATCTCACAGCACACCTGGCTCACCTTAGCCCTGCCCCTGTTCTCCCACAGCTGGATGCACTGCCTTCCCTCTTCTGCTCTCTTCCTGTCTGAACACTTCCTAGCTTCGGCCTCCACCTCCTTCATTACTTCTTGAATACTTGAAGCCTTCGGAAGTCATCCTGTCTTCCCAGATTCTTAGTCTGCCACTCCATCTAGCAACTCATTTTACCTTGGCCCTGAGAGGATTGCCTGAGAGACTAGAGGTTTTAGAGCAGGAAAAGATGATACAAATCACGTAACCCAGCAGCCTCTAGGAGCAGATGAGGACGTTTGGATGTGGGAAGGCTACAGAACTTGTGTAAGGTCACAGTGCTGGTGATGTGGAGCTGGAATTATGACCTCTGCTTGGCAGCCGTCCCCCTGGAGTGGATGCTCCTGGGAGTTGGTCCCTGTGTCCAGCCTCTGTCTTCATACACAAATTATGTTTAGACAGGTTGGCCCATGCAGACTTATCAGTGGTTCAGAGATATCCAAAAGCTTTGTTCCTCTCATGGTGCTGAGTCTAAGAGATTTATCTTTCTTGCATCCCCTGCTTACACTAAACTTCCATTTAAGCTTAATAGCCAGAGAAGTGACTGTAAGCAGTTCTCCAACCTGAGCTTGCATTAGAATCACCTGGAGGGCTTTTTGAACCATAGAGAGCTGGGCTCCACCCCTGGAGTTTCTGATTCTGTGAAGGTGGGGTGGGTCTGGGACTTTGCATTCCCAGGTGATGCTGATATTGCTAACCCTGAGATCTTATTGGGAGAGCCTGAGAGAGAGTGGTTAAGAACCTGGACTTCACAACTGAACAACCCTGAGTTTCAGCTCCTGTTTCACCACCTTGGGCAAGTGACTCAACCTCGGTAAGCCTCAATTTTCTCATCTTTACATAAAGATAATCATTAGAAGTGCTCATTACGATGTGTTGTTACATATAACATCTTCAATTTTTGGCATTTACCAACTCGCAGCATGGGTCCTGACCAGAGGAGTAAAAAGAGGTCAATTTCCTTCTTTTTTTTTTTTAAGCTAGTGGCTTAAGAGGAAATAGAAAGTGAGGCTCAGTTTAATTTGGTATGGGACTCTGCAAAAACCATTTTACATATTAGCCAATTCTGTAAAATGGACCAAATGGCTCTTCTCCACTTCCCCCGATGTCCCCCGGACCTGTTGGTCAGGTAAGAGGATAGTAATGAGTACTCTGAAAAGAATTAATTAATAATATGACACTGCTATAAAAGTTCATTCCTGACTTGCCTCTTTCAGCAATAGTCCTCTGGAAGATGAGTTCTTCTCTTGCCTTTGTTTCTTTCCAAACCTGCGTAGCTTACCTTCCAGACGGGCACTTTCCTCCTCACTATAGCCCAAGTGAGTATCTCCCTTTTCTGATGAATCTCTATTGCCTAATTCCTACTTAACTATAAACAGCTTGCTTTGAAACTTACCTGCCTAATGAGTACTGTCTCCATGTCTCTTCTCTCCGATTAAACATTCTTTGAGGAAATGAACTATGCTTTCCATTTCTTTTGAATTACCCCTGAGTGCCTGGCATCATTCTATGAACAGTCAATAGACGAATGTTGATTAAATGTATATTGCCTAGTTTTCATAGAATGTCAAAGCTTTAAACAGGACATGGGAAAATAATTTCCTGTGTCTTCATATTTAAGATGTAGCTCTCTTCATCTTTTAGGTCATTCGTGCTTGTGTACAACGGGTTGGTCACGTCAGACTCCTAACAGCTCAAGCTGACTGCCTAGAGAAGGGTAACTCCCAGGGTCAATCTATTTGCAACACTTCCCTCTGATATTAACAAAACTATTTTTGGGGAGATCACAACCTTAGGAAAATGAAATATGTCTGGCTTTTCATTGTCATATCACTTTGTGACCAAAATTGTAAAAGCATTATGCTGAGCGGGTTACCCAGACTTCTCGAGTTAAATGGACGAACATTAAACTCCTAAAATAATGAAACCCCCGGAGTAATGGGAAGTGAAGCGGAAAAGAGGGAGCTGAGAGGGCTTCTAGTCCTATTTGTGTCCTACTAAAGTGTAGCCATAAAATATAATGGGCCAGTCGGGGTACATGTGGTTTAACTTGTATTCCCTCTCCTTTCCCAAACATGCCTTTTTTTAATAGGACAGTGATTCTACCAAAGATAGGTTTTCCTGGGGAGAAGTTGAGAGAGCCATGACCACAGTGGCCCATGGAGCATCCATGAAGTCTAAGGCCTTGCAGTGTTCTGAATGGGATTCCCTGTTGCCTTCTTTTTTCTTTTTTTCCTAGCATTTGTCCCTTTGGGAAAACTATTCCACCTCTTAGAATTCGATTTCCAGCTCCCTCTGTCCCACCACACCTTCAAAGAGGACTTGGTATACCGATTCCTTTTCACTACCAGTAGTGAAGCATGAGTCTAATCAGCAAAGGGCAGGGCCCCCAAAGCAGGCCGCTGGATGGAGGTGGTGGGACTTGCAAGAGGCAGCTTGACTTTCCTAGGATGCTCTTCAGTCTTCCATTTGGACCAGTAGCTCTTGACCATAGGTCATGACACACGCTTGCAAACGGTGTCACAAATAATGTGTTACTAAGCACACAGGACAGCACTGGTGAGTGATTTACTCTTTAAAAATTAAAGGTGAGATCAATGACTCCTAGGACAAAAGTCACTCTCATGTATTTCAATATGCTTTCTAGGGCAGAGCTCAACTATTGTCCCTACATATGCTTATGGCACTGAAAGTTGAATGATGAAAGTTGAAAGAGATTTTCAAAGATTGAGAAATACTGTATCCGATAAGAGTATTCCATCCTCTGACCCAATGAGTATAGTATATTGAACAAGACCTAGGCCTGGGGAATTCCTGTTCTGCCACTTACCAGCTATGTGAACTCAGGCAATGCTATTTAACTTTGAAGAATCTTGGATTTCCCGTCTGAAAATTAGGCAAATACAATCTAGCTCAGAGAATTGTGAGGATTAAGTGAAATGATGTCTGTGCTTATCAGAAATCTTTGTTTGCACACCCTGTGGTTCAACTGGCAGTCTCAACACTGAATTTTACTGACCTAGACTATAAGCTCCTTGAAGGCAGAAACCACATTTCACTCATCTTTGTATTTTCCTTGCCCTTCTGATGTGCCTAATATATGATGATTTTTTAAAAAGTGCTCATTGAATCATTGTTGAATGATTTTACAGTTTGCATCATTGCTGGTTGTATAATACAATTGGTTGCAAATGAATTTGCAAAGCAAGTTTCTGGCATACTTTTGGAGATGCAGATGGAGACCATGAAAATAGTTCCCAAGTTCCCAGATGATAGAGCATTATCTGTACTCAAACTCCTCAAGTACAATGAAGGAAAATTTCCAGTTGTCTATCTTCTGGATGCTTTAAACTTCATTTCTCGGGTAGTGGTTGATTAACTCTCAAATCATGTGTCTAGTGTCCAGTAATGGGCAGCATCTGATGTGTGAATTAATTTAATTGTGGGCCCAGATGTTACTTTCAGGAGCAATTTGCCTGTGATTTGAGGAGGTGGTCCCACACAGATCTGTTGGAAAGGAGAAAATTATAATGATGTTTTCAAAAACAGTCACAGCCAGGTGAAAGAGTAGCTGAACTCTTTCTGCCAGGGAGGCAGGATGTTATATGGGATTTAAAAGAAAAGCATACTATATGTGTTTCCTTTTCTAAACATCTGTGTTAGCCGGACCCCCACTTCCTGGGACATCAGGAAAGAACCAATATGAATCTCTCAAGAAGGAAGTGATTGTGCTCTGTCTTAAGTGGAAAAACTTTGAAGTTAAGGTCTTCCTCATATTTGTCCATGCAAAATTAAAAACGTTAAGTTGTTATACAGCAAACGTATTTGATCCTTGTTTTTGTTACTTTATTTACGATGATGACAATATGTTGCAACTGACATAAATTTCTGTAAGCAGTAAAACAAACAAGAACCTTTCAGTAAAGCTTATGCAATAGGATAGACCAAGGTAGATATGACTTACCTACTGCTTGATCCAGGCCTCAAATGGTATCTCCGGGATCTGTTTCTCTCTCTTCATTTCCCAGTGACCTGTCCCTTGGTGCTGCCTCCCTTGTCAGGCTCCACATATTCACAGAACTGTGGCAGTAGTCCCAGATTCTACATTCTCTCTGATTCACTTTTCAGAGGGAAAAGATAATGGTCTCTTTCCAGGATTCCTAGCCAAAGTCTCTTTGGGTAATTGCTCTGATTGGGTAATTGACCCCTCTCCAAGCCAATCACAAATGGTCAGGGGTAGAGATGTGACCCAGTGATGACTTAAGCCTGGCATACATACTTCATCTCAGAAGTTCATGGTTAGGACTTACCAACACAGATATCCATGGTCAATATTAATACCCAGTACTCTTGTCATGTATGAAGAGCTATGTGCCAGATATTACCTTATTATATCCCTGTAGCCTGTCATTCATTTATTCAGAGACCATATTGAGGTCCTACCATGATGAGAAAAAAAACAAAACAAAACATGGTCTTTACTCACAGTTTAGAAAGAGAACATAGCATGAGGTAAGGGTTACTATCTACATTTTACAGATGGGGCAACTGAGGGTTCCTGATGTTATTTCAGTTCCCTATAGTATTACATTTATTTTGACTTTTATTTTAAGTTCAGGGGTACAGGTGCAGGCTTGTTATATAGGTCAAGTTGTGTCATGGGGGTTTGTTGTACACATTATTTCATCATCGAGGTATTAAGCCTAGTACCCATTAGTTATTTTTCCTGATTCTCTCCTTCCTCCCACCCTCCACCCTCTAATAGGCCCCAGTGTGTGTTGTTCCCCTCAGTGTCTATGTATTCTCATCATTCAGCTCCCACTTACAAGTGAGAACATGTGGTATACGGTTTTCCATTCCTTGTTAGTTTGCTAAGGATAATGGCCCCCAGCTCCATCCATGTTCCTGCAAAGGATATGATATTGTTCTTTTTTATGGCTGCATAGTGTTCCATGTGTATATGTACCACATTTTCTTTATCCAGTCTACCATTGATGGGCATTTAGGTTGATTCCATGTCTTTGCTATTGTGAATAATGCTACAATGAACATACGCATGCATGTGTCTTCATGATAGAACAATTTATGTTCCTTTGGGTATATACCCAGTAATGGGATTGCTGGGTTGAATGGTAGTTCTATTTTCAGGTCTTTGAGTAATTGCCACACTGTTTTCCACAACAACATTACAATTATAGATGACCTTTGAACAATGCAGGAGTTAGGGGTGCTGACCCCAATGTGGTCAAAAATCCGTGTATAACTTTTGACTCCCCCAAAACTTAACTATTAATAGCCTACTGCTGACCAGGAGCCTTACTGATAAACAGTCGACTAATGAATATTTGGATGTTATGTGTATGATGTGCTATATTCTTATAATAAAGTAAGCTAGAGAGAAGACACTGAGAAAATCATAAGGAAGAAAAAATATATTTACTGTTCATTAAGTGGAAGTGGATCATCATAAAGGTCTTCCGTCCTCTTCATCTTCACATTGAGTAGGCAGAGGAGGAGAAGGTGAGAGGGGGTTGGTCTTGCTGTCTCAGAGGTGGCAGAGGAGGAAGAAAATCCACATGTAAGTCGACTGTGCAATCCACACCAACGTTGCTCAAGGGTCACCTGTATGAAGTGACCAACAAAGACCCAAATCTAAATCTCAGTTGCCATGGCCTGACTTACTACTCCTTAGAACTTATTACACTACCTTAGCTTCTAAACTGGCCGAAAAAGTGCCACTTTGGGGAATAATCTGCCCAGATGTTTATCTGTGACCATGAACTCCCATCATGAAGATTATCTCGTGAGAAAGAAAAGAGGAACTGCATGGGTATCTTCCCACTCCACCCCATACTGATGAGTCAATATTAAATTCTTTTAAAGTCTTAGTGATAAGTAACCACAAACTGACCAACTAATTTTTGTGAATTAATGAATAATGAAAGTACTTTCATTCAACGTTATTTTTCCTCAGTGCTTTATAAAGAACACCCAATCTAGTCTCAGATATTTGGCTCCATGAGAGCATCTTTGCAGTTCTGCTGACAAGATCGGCATCATCAATCCTACATGGCTTCCAAGAGTACAACAGGCCATCTTATTCTACCTATAAGGAAACCAAAGCTCAGAGACATTAAGTAATAGGCAGGCAATTTCCATGGAAAGCTGTTTTTCCTTTTCAGAAAAAGACATACGTATCAGCTGAATGGGGACGTGACCTTTTTTAGTTCCTCCTCACCCGGTGTTGGCCTCCCCAGTTACAATCACCCCCCACCCTGTGCTTGCATCCCGTCTTTGCTTGTGAGACACACCTGCTGTTTAAAGGTTAACCCAACTTTTCAAGCTTCTCTAATATTTGATGGCTTTTGTTGTTTTGCAGCTTGTGTGAACTTTTTTGGTATACTTCTTTAGTGGCTGTCAAACTGCGCCATTCTTCCAACTGAAAAACATCTATTTTGGAGGGCAGCTTCAACAATTTAACAAAGCTATTGCCACTTTCACTTTATTTTGTTATAATTATGTTTCATTCCCCCCAGAAGTTTTCCTACTGATTATTGGAGTTCTGCTACCCTCCTAAACCACTTAAGGATGAAATTCAGATCCCCAGTGCATTTTTATCCCTAGTTACTTGGAGAGAAGGATTAAGTAAACTACCTAATACCTCTCTGTTTTGACACAGAGAATAGGAGGAAGAGAAAAGACCCATTGTGTTTGAACACATTCCTTCACAAAAATTCAAGCTCTTAGAGGCGGCTCATTTGTTTCACCATTTAACAAAATTAAGGAAGTCTGTGTTTGTCCTCATAGCTATTCTTGGCTGCCATGATGCTCAGGGAGATTGGGGATATTGAATGCTAGCTAGCATGGTTTCTTGAGGAAAAGAGATCGCACATTTGTGTTCTTGTTTTTTAGTCTTTCTCACAAGAGAATCCATCAAATTGCAAAATAGCATGATCTTTCCCCAAAGCTGCTTTGGAGAGTTAACCAACTTACTGATTGCTATTGTTAACTCCAGAAAGAGTTTATCCTTTCTCTTACTGTTCTAATCCTCAAATCTGTTGCACATTAGAATCACCTGAAGCGTATTTAACACATACCAATACCCAGTCTTCAGGCTGACCACTTAGATCAAGATCTCTGAGGATAAAACCTGGCACACTTTGGAAAGTTCACCAAGCCACTCTAGTGTGCACACAGGGTTAACAGCATCTTCTCCAAAGCCTCTGGCTTCAAGAATTCCTTTAGAGTCATTGTTATGATGCAGCCAGGCAGGTCTGGGTTAGATCTCTGCTCCACTAACTAGCTATGATGTAGGGCTATTTGTTTAGCTTTTCTGAGCCTTGGGTGTCCTTCTATAAAAGAGGGATAATAACAGCTCCTACCTTGTGGAGTTGTTTTGAGATTCCATGCAGTGATGCATGGATAGCACAGCCTGCCTCCACTGCAATGACCAGCTCATAGTCTTCCTACCTTTGAGTGTCTTTTCTGCTCAGTTCATATTATACAACAATGAATCTTCCTAAAGTGCTGCTCCCCTGCCCAGTAAGAAAGAGAAAAGCCATGTCTGATATCTGGGCACTGGCCTGATATGTACAACTAGAACTTGTTGGTGTTAGTAGCTGATTTGGAATTCAAAGCTAGGCCCTGGTATCATCCTGTTGGACATAATCTTATCAAACATCATCAGGTAATGTCACTCTGTGACCATGCTGAAGTGAGACAAAAGCCAAGACCACTTCATAATTATTTCTAAGCAGAAAAACAGGTCGCTGCTCAAACTACAAAAATATCAAGCACCTCCCACCCCAGTTAGTATGAGTGACTGCAGCTTCTTCACCTATTACAGCTTTAGCTTCACTCTAATCTTCTCTCTTTCTAAAGTTTATTCAGATAGTCAATTATAGAATTATGCCCACGTTCTGACAGCACCCAATTCAGAGTAAACCCCTTTTCTTTCGACTCCAAATTCAATCAAATGAAGCCCAAATTCTATAAGGAATCCTTTCTAACACCTTCCTACTGAGACACCCCATGGCTCTCTAGGTGCATGTTCTCCCACACTGCCTCAATTAATACACCCAACTTGTTCAACAACAGGTATGTTCCTGGTGGTCTTTGACTGGAAGGCATTGATTAGCCTCACTCTCTTATTCAAAATCCTATAATCCCACTTTCTGATTTAAGAACCAAAGCGTCCTTAAAACTATTAAGTTGCATTTATATTGCCCTACCAAATCGTCTAATCTTTTTTCACTATGTCCTTCTGCTACCTATCAAACCCCATTTCTCATTGTTCTCTGGTATGACCTTCTGGGATACTTCTCTTTCTTATTCACGATGTTTATTTTCTTGCATTTACTCTTGTCATTTCTATACTTTCTTCCCTGATTCCTTCTCTCCTCACCCAGCCTGAAATAATAGAACACTTACTATGTGCTAGATGCTGTCCCAGAAATATGACTCATTAAGAATGAACAACAATCTCTATGGTAGATGCAAGGAGGAAAAATATAAATTTGGATCTTAGAAGCTTTGATGTATCTTATGATAAAATATGGCCAAAATATAGATCAACTTTTTATGTAATATGTTTTGTAGACAAAGGTTACAAAGTAAGAGTAAGTGGAAGTAAGAAATATTCTTATTAGAATCCTGTAGGATTCAAAACCAAAGAGCTAAAGCCTCTCATTTTGATGGTCTTCTTATAAGATGATATTTAGATGTAGCTAAGCATAAACATTGCAGTCTTTCCTACTGGCTGTATTAACTAACTTTCTCCCCTTGATGCCTGTGGAAGATGAAGGATGTGTCTGAGACAGTTCTCCATTAGATGTAGGTGTATTTTTTAAACTGGAAGTATTATGTATATGTATAGATATATAGATGTATAATCAACAAACCGACCAAGCATGAGGAAAGCCACCAAGAATGAGGAAGCAAGACTACAATTTGAGCCTTCTGGGAGATCCACCCTCTATCACATACCTACATATGGAAAAAATAATGTGGCACAAACTTTTTAAGACTTATTTTATAACTATAGAAAACGAGAAAGATTGATGCTTCATCTGCCAGAAGATCAGTTCCCTGCTGTTGCTTTTCTTTTTATTTAATCCCCCACCTTCTTCCCCCATACTAACGTAAAAACAAACGTCCAGGACTAATTAAAATCAGAACCCAGTATCCGATTAGCGCACGTTTGGCAGACCTTAGCTTTGGCATTGTTTTCTGACCAGTTTACTGATTAGTGTTTATTACTAATCATCTGTGGCTGGAAACATGACCCAGAGAGAAGAAAGACAAGGGCAACAGCATGCAGTGACATTGTTAGAATTATTCAAAGTGTTTTCAGCAGGAATCACTCAACTCAAATCCACAACCACAACAGATGCCTTAGCACGCCAAACCCCAGGCATTGGCGGCCAGGCAAAGCAGGCTTCTCTCAGCACTTGGCAAGACTCCTCTTCATTTTGCCCTGTGTCTGAGGTCCAATGCTTGGCCAGGAGTAAAGGTGGGACAGGCTGAGGGAATAAGAGTTTGCTGTATCTGACAGCGATGCTTGATGTCATATGTCTGCCCAATACACCGTAGAAAATCAAGACTAATTTAACCTCTCCAGACTCAGCTTTTCTGAGGAAGTGTGTTCACCCCTGTAGTATTTCAACAAATATTTGTTGAGTGACTACTATGTGCCAGATCCCTGATGTTCTGGGGAAGGCAGTAGATGAACAAAAATATGAAAATTCACTATTAAAACTAATGATAGGAATTCATTGACATCTGAATTTTCAATTTTGTAACTAATGCTATTACTATGGCACTGAAGAGAAACTCAATAAGGCTTTTCTTCCTAAATAGATATGATTATAACTTTATTTTACCAAGTTCATAGCCTAATGATTGCTGGCTTTGCTAATATTCTAATTCCTTTGTTTTGAAATACATCTTTTGACAGTTAATTTTTTTCTCTGCTTCTAAAAGTAAGAAACTTCTGTATTTAAGTTCATTTAGAAAATATGAATTTTAACTGCCCATCATCTCACCACCCCAAAACAACCATACTTAGCATCTGGGTGTAAAATAGGAAATCATGAAATCATGATCAAATCATGATCAAATGTTATAATCATATCTATTTAGGAATTATAATATCAGCAAAACCAGCAATAATTAGGCTACAAACTTGGTTTAAAAAAATGTTCTGTCTATTTAGGAAGAAAAACCTTTGCCTATGAGTTTCTCTTCAGTGCCATAGTAATAGTTACAAAGTCATCATGAAATCATGATCGCCTATTTTATCTCTTGCTTTACACCCAAATGCCAGGCATGGTTTTAAATAATGAAAACATGTCTTTTTTTTTTCTTAAACTATTAATGTATTGCAAATTCAGCTACTTGAAACAAAGACAAAAGGACAGTATTCTAATGAGAAGGTTTCTTTAGGAAATGGTGGTTTCTTCCCTGAGTGAAATCTAAGTTAATTTTTGTATTTTTGCCAAACCAGAAAGGTATGAGAAATTTAGAACATGACAGAGGATGATATGGATGATGTTTTATTTAATGTATTACAAGAATATTTGTTTAAAGGTTAACAAACACCTTTTCATCTATGAAGAGAATTTTAGTGTCTGAGAGAGCTGTAGCTGAGTGGTGGGAATGGTTTTTACCTATTTAGTTAGCACATTTTTATCAAATGTCTTTTATGTGCCACTAATTAGGCAAAGAGACTGGGAAATAGAGGTATGGAGGCACTTAGTCTAGGGGGCAAATGATCTTACGCCAGTAATAATACTCAAAGTAAGTATCATGGCGGAATATGCTGTGCAGAGAAGTACCGATGCTGTGAGATTACACAGCAGGGACCCTAACTTATTTGAGATAATGAGAGAAGTCTTCCATAATCAAGTACCCTTTAATCTCACACAGTGCATTTGTGAGAAGGTACCAGGTTTAGTCTGGTCCATGGTGGAGACCATTCCAGCAACCATGGTCATGTCAGAACCCATATTTCAGCTGTTGAAAATAACTACCCTACAGAAGGGCCATTTTTCCTTGCTGAGATGTTGGTCCTATGAGTATGATTACACAGTGAATCTGGAAAATAGCATGCTTGTGTGGTCAGTCAGCTTTCTAACTGACCTTTCTCAGAACAGAATGTCACTTCCTGGAGACCGTTTGCTGGAGCCCCACTCTTCAGCCTTTAATGTATAGAATCACTTTGGACTTAGTTAAGGAGATACCAGAAATTCCAGGCTGTATGCATAAATGGATACAGAAAGCATCAGAGAGGTTTGAGTGGTTGTGGCAAAAAGATTCATCATAATTTATACGCTATGCGTTCGAAGATGTCTCATGTGAAGTCAACAGCTGAAATTGAATGAATAATTCAGCATGTGAATCAATCGCATCATCTCACTTGCCACGTTATTGCTATTTTTACGCAATTGCAAAGTAAAAAAATAAATTGATGTCATAAACAACTGTCATTTGACATGATAAAGACCCTAGCATTTTAGGGATCTTCTATTTTTAGGTAATATTCTGGTGCTTTTCATACAATTAAGAATATGCCCTTATTAAAATGAGAAGCATTTCTACATGTTACTTCAATGTCAAAGTTTAAAGAAAAGCAATGTGGAAGAAGCACCAGATTTCTTTCTCAAAGACCAATTCTTCGCTGGTCTTGTTCTGGAAGGCATAACTCAAGAGAAAGTTCTCAATACCTGTTAGATAGTGCAATAGTACAATTGACTGAATACAACCAAAACGAAACACTTAGTTTAATTCCTTTCATGCTTTTATTTTTATTTATTATTACTTTTTTGAGACGGAGTCTTGCTCAGTTGCCCAGGCTGGAATGCAGTGGTGCGATCTCTACTCACTGCAAGCTCCATCTCCCGGGTTCACGCCGTTCTCCTGCCTCAGCCTCCCCAGTAGCTGGGACTACAGGTGCCTGCCACCAAGTCCAGCTAATTTTTTTGTATTTTTAGTAGAGATGGGTTTTCACCGTGTTAGCCAGGATGGTCTCGATCTCCTGACCTCGTGATCTGCCTGCCTTGGCCTCCCAAAGTACTGGGATTACAGGCGTGAGCCACTGCCTTTAGTTTTTAAAGTTGGTGGATATGAATGAACATAGTCTAATATCCTATTTTCCTTCCCATGAATCCTTTCTTGATTGAGTGAAAGGTAATTAATAAAAGCTACCTTTATTCATTTTATGCCTCTTAAAAAAAACACAAAACATGACCTAGGTAATCTCATATCACAGGCGTCAACTGTCATATCATTCCCATAATTAATCTTATAACTAGAATTTGTTCATAGTAGTACAATAAGAATATTCATTTTAACTGTCCAATTTTTGAATTTTTCCATTTTTCAAGTTTTCTTTTTAATTAA
Organism: Homo sapiens; assembly: GCF_000001405.40. NCBI lineage: Eukaryota > Metazoa > Chordata > Mammalia > Primates > Hominidae > Homo > Homo sapiens. The sequence goes on from NC_000005.10 coordinate 158,612,989, forward strand.
AGTCTTGCCTCCTTTTATCAAAAATATTGTTTCTTGAAAGTGTTAGTAAAACTTTTTTTCTAGGTGCTAAAATGTAAACTCTGAAGTTTGAATATACTGTAAAAACTAGAAATTCATTATTATTACCTAGCCATTGATTCAAAGACAAGATCTAACTTTATGTTTAGTTCTGAAAATACATGTTATCAATAAAACTCATGAATCTTCTAGCATATTAACTGTATATACCCTTAACAGGATCATTTTATGTCTTTAAATATCTTACATCTGAAATTGTTTGTACTTCGTTTGAACATCAGTTAGATACACACCAATATTTGGTTTTTTAGAATAGAAATTCACTCAGAGTCGAGTAGGCTATCTGGATAACTTACCTTGTCTAACAGTATGCTAGGTAGTGTTCGTGGTAACAAAAAAACAAAACAAAACAAAACAAAACCCTACAGATAATAGCATGATTTAGAGAGCACAGCCTTTTCTCTGTATTTTCAGATAACTACACTTTTGTTTGCTTTCAGAATTGGAAACACAGTGGGTTTTTTAAGCCAAATATAATTTAAAATAAACTCTTGCATTCTCCTTTCTCGGCTCAGATCTGGGAATGGACTGAACCTAAGTGGGAAAGAATTAGACCTTTTGAACTCTTTGGGGGGAAAGTGTAGGGAGTGTGAAGGTTTCTGATGTTTTTCATCTGGGCTGGGTTCGTATCACTGAAATGCTGTTGTTCTTCACACTATCCTTTAATACAGTTGAGCACGTTTGTGCAGCCAAATGTCATTTCATAGGAAAAATCAAACGCAATTGGGTAAGGTTTCTGGAGAAGAATAAATCTAATCTGGGATGGAATTGACGAAGTACACCAATTAAAACAAACACTATGGCCGGGTGCGGTGGCTCACGCTTGTAATCCCAGCACTTTGGGAGGCTGAGGCGGGCAGATCACAAGGTCAGGAGATCGAGACCATCCTGGCTAGCATGGTGAAACCCCATCTCTACTAAAAATACAAAAAATTAGCCGGGCGTATTGGCAGGCACCTGTAGTCCCAGCTACTCTGGAAGTTGAGGCAGGAGAATGGTGTGAACCCAGGAGGCAGAGCTTGCAGTGAGCTGAGATCGCACCACTGCACTACAGCCTGGGCAACAGAGCGAGACTCCATCTCAAAAAAAAAAAAAAAAAAAAAAAAAAAAAACAGAAAACAACAGTATGTGGTGCGGTGCCCTGCTCATAACATTGTAATGGTAAAGATTATTGCTTTTAGAGAAATACAATAATTTTAGTCCAGAGGTGACAAAACATATTCTCTTTCCCTTTTCTCTTGGTAGAGCTTCCTTTCAGAAGGGAAATGAATCTTTATTATGTTCCAGTGATTAGGGGGGTAGAGACAACCTTCTGCCAGAGCTGAGAAGCTGACACTGTTAGTAATATTGACTGAGCAAATTGGATTTGTGGGACTGATAGAGTCAACACTGAATAGTCAAAGGAATATCATGGCTACCTGATCATGTATTGTAGAAGTTTGGTATTGCTTTTATCTGGACCAACCTGAATGACTTTTGTAGCCTGGTGTTAGACAGATGAATAGATGGATCCAAATACCTAGGGATCCAGCAGTACAGATTAGGCACTACACACCATCAGCATCACTCAGTCCAACTGCTATAGGAATGTTGTGCTCTCAACTAAGAATGCAAGACCTTTATAAGAATAGGTGGAGCCATTGCAAGTCTCCTTATTTGAATCTTCTCCATTTAGTCACTTGGGTATTTTGCTCAGTTTCTCAATGCAAGATTCAAAAAAAAATTGTTTAATGTGATCAGTTTTAACAAAATGACAGATACCCACTGCATTACAGTGGCTAACCCATTGTAGGTGCTCTATAAATATCTGTTGAAAATGTGATTTGGGGTTGTATATGTAGGTGAATCTCTGTCTTTCATCAGGCTATAGCTCTGTGGTGACAAGGATCCCATCTGCCACGTTTATCTCTGTGAACTAGATGCAGAACCCAGCCCAATGGCCAACTAAGTAATGATCCAATTCTTCTTGAATGAATTAAAACATTATGAACCATTGCCCTACAGGATAAATACTTACCATCTCATTTTACATGTGTGGAAATGAGTTCTACAGAGGCACCATGAGGAGCCACATCCCTAGAGGACTGACTCATGGTGTTGCAGCTTTCCATCCTCTTGGTTTGGATACTTAAACGTAGTCAGATCATGGTTTGTACTTTTGCTCTCTTTTGGTCCATGTCCAACCCATCCCTTCTAATAAACTGTTTTGGGTTATTGGACAGAGGGATGCTGAGAGAAATGGCAAAGCAAAACACTGTTTTATTCATTGTAGAAATATTCTTTTTTTTAACTTTTAGGTTTGGGGGTACATGTGCAGGTTCGTTATATAGGTAAACTCATGTCACATGGGTTTCTTGTACATATTATTTTGTCACTGAGGCACTACGCCTAGTACCCAATAGTTATCTTTTCTGCTCCTCTTCCTCCTCTCACCCTCCACCCACAAGTAGACCCTAGTGTCTGTTGTCCTCTTCTTTGTGTTCATGAGTTCTCATCATTTAGCTCCCACTTAAAAATGAGAACATGCAGCATCTGGTTTCCTGTTCCTGCATTAATTTGCTTAGGATAACGGCCACCAGCTCCATTCATGTTTCTGCAAAGGACATAATCTTTGTTCCATGATGTATATGTACCACATTTTCTTTATCCAATCTGTTATCGATGGGCAGTTGAGTTGATTCCATGTCTTTGTTATTGTGAATAGTGTTGCAATGAACATTCATGTTCATGTGTCTTTATGCCAGAATGATTTCTAATCCCCTGGGTATCTACCCAGTAATGGAATTGCTGGGTTTGAATGACTGTTTTATGTCTTTAAATATCTTATGTCCTCATCAAGTGTAAACTGAGTTCTGAAGAGACATCATGAGGAGCCATTTTTTATGTTTTTGAGGACTTGCCATATCTTTCCACAATGGTTGAACTAACTGACACTCCCATCAACAGTATAAAGTGTTCCCTTTTCTCCAAAACCTCACCAGAATCTGTTTTTTTTTTTTAACTTTTAAATAATAGCCATTCTGACTGTGAGATGGTATCTCATTGTGGTTTTGATTTGCATTTCTCTAACGACCAGTGATATTTAGCTTTTTTTCATATGCTTGTTGGTGGCATATATGTCTTCTTTAGGAAAGTGTATAAATTCTGTAATCCCAGCACTTTGAGAGGCTGAGGTGGGTGGATCCTGAGGTCAGGATTTCAAGACCAGCCTGGCCAACATGGCGAAACCCCATCTCTACTAAAAATACAAAAATTAGTCGGGTGTGGTGGCACATGCCTATAGCCCCAGCAACTCGGGAGGCTGAGGCAGGAGAATTGCTTGAACCTGAGAGGTGGAGGTTGCAGTGAGCTGAGACGGTGCCATTGCACTCCAGCCTGGGTGACAGAGCGAGACTTCATCTCAAAAAAAGAAAAAAAGAAAAAAGTGTATAAATTGACAAACGGGATCTCATTAAACATGAGAGTTTCTACACAGCAAAAGAAACTATCAACAGAGTAAACAGACAACTTACAGAATAGGAGAAAATATTCTCAAACTATGCATCTGACAAAGGTCTAATCTCCAGCACTTATAAAGAACTTAAACAAATTTACAAGAAAAAAAAACATTAAAAAGTTGCCCAAGGACATGAATAGAGATATTCTTGATGATACAGATAGTGGCTTACTTATGAGGACTATGAGAAATTTCTCTCAGTCCTCTGAGCTGGGAAACATTGGCTCCTCCTGAGCAATTGGTGGGCTTTTCATTTCATGAATAATGTGCATTGTGTAACTGATCACAATTTGTTTTTCACTTTGTCCACTTAGGAAGTCAAAGCCAACTCTGAAGGCCAGCTTTGTTCATTGCATACCTATGTGTGATTTTTCATTTCAGGAATCCTTTTGTAATTCTGTTCCTCTTTTCTCATCATGATACTTGTTTATGAGTTTCACTCTTATTATATTTTAACATGCTATTATATGATGCTTTAATTTTATTAATTGGAAATTAGAATCTTAAAAAAAAATCTCCAGTAGAGGCAAGTTTTGTGGAGGTGGTTAAGGGAGGGTTTAAAAGATCCTGAGTTCAAAAATACCAGCTCTACCATTTCCCAGCTGTGTGACCTTGAGTCAGTTACTTCACCTTGGCTTCTTCATTCATAAGATAGGGTAATAATAATATCGACCACAAGGATTTGTTGCCGGGATTAAAAGAGATGATCTATGCAAAATATCTAGGCCGGAGCCCGGGTTGCACAGCACATGTTATTTTATTTTCTTGTTTCAGCTCTGCCTCTACCCCTCCTACCTAATCTACCTACTCAGTGCTCTAGAGAAGGGTTTCTCAACCTTGGCACTATTGAGAATTGGGGCTAAATAATTTGTTATTGTGGGGGCCTGTTCTGTGCAGTACAGGATATTCAGCAGCATCCCAGCCTCTACCCACTAGATACCAGTAGTACAACCTCAGTTGTGAAAACCAAAACATTACCAAAGGCCCAGTGCGGGGCAAGATGGTTCTTGGTTGAGAACCACTGCTCCTGAAGTCTCCTGGTGTTTCCTATTGATTGCGACCACATTCTCTTCAGTAATTTTCTGTTAGGTCACACTTCCCCAGACCAGTTGACACATTGTTGTGTTTATTTTTTTTAAATCCAAATGTATTAGTCCACTTAGTATCTTTACTAATCACTCAGTAAGCATTTATTGAGCACCAGCTAAGGTCTTTGCCCTTGAGGAGGCATTGCCCAGGGAGGTAGTTTAGCCATGTGTGCAAAGCACTATGGAACAGCCCAGTGACTGCTAAAACTAGGGCATGTACTGTACCTCTAGAAGGAAAAAGCAGAACACATGCTTTGACCCATGATTTTTTTGGTCAACATTTTAATTTATGTAAAATATTAATGTATACAAATACTCATAAGTAGGTAAGTTTAATAAGTCACCCTTTTGAGAAGGGTAAAATTATGAAATTAGAAAGTGCTTAGGAAAACTGGAATATATGAGGACTGTCACAGCAGGGAGTGATTAATTTTTCTAGATACAGGCAGATAACCTGAATCATACTGAGGCAGTGATAATTGATAAGAGGTTAAAGTGATGTCCCTTCCTGATGCCATTTACATTTTAATGAAGGGCTATAATGTGTTCAGGGAGTCACATGGGGATGATGCTTACAGAAATGGAACTCGAACATTTTCTGTAAACTCACAAAGGCAAAGCTATTGGGAACAGGGAATATTTCCTGTAATAAAAAGAAAACCAAACACATATTTAAAAAACAAACAACCCAGTTCTAGGTCCCCGATGATCTTGGGGACTTTAGCCATGAAAAAAACAGCAAGACCTGGAGCAAAAAGAGCTTGGAATAGAGTCAAATAAGCTTTGGAGGTAGAGTCCTAAGACTAATGATGGTATAGGAAATGATACAAGTTAATGATAGGTGGAAAAAATCTTGGCAGTATTCTTCTCAATTTTTATTAAAAATATAAATCAAGAAAGCACGACTTTGGCAAAAGTTTCTTCACTACACTTTCCTCTTTGCATTGTGGGCTACTTACCCTCACATGAACAAAACCACTCCTGAAGTGTGCAGTCATTTAGAGGTGGAATGAAACATTATGGAATTCATTGTTTTTCTCAAACGTAGCGCTGCTAATCACTAAACATGTTTCATTGTGAAAGCTTCCTTCTGATGGCTACTGTGCTTTATCAATGGCCCGTTTCCAAATACAAGTTGCTGTATCTCCAAGTACAATGGCCATTAGTATGGACTTGTAATTTCTTTCTTTTTATTGGTGAGATTGTGATGGATGTTGGAGATGGCAGTAAAATTACAGACAATACAAACTTTGCTTTTTGAGAAAGAGCTGGCATTGCTGTTCTTACACTAGGTTGCACATTGAAGTCACAGAAGACAAACCATACTTGTATACAAATCTATTTGACTTCAAGTCTAAAGAGCTGTGTATTTGGTTGATAGGTGCAAGAAACCACCATGGCACACATTTACCTATGTTACAAACCTGCACGTCCTGCAAATGTATCACAGAACTTAAAAGAAAAAAAGAACTGTATATTTCAATTCAGGGACGAGGTGAGAAGGCACTAATACAAACCAGAAATTCATTTTCCTTGTGTTTTCTAAAGCCCAGCTTTGTACAGTCCCATGAAAAACAAAGATACTTCCCCTGTGTGTATAACAGGGTCATTCTAAGGACATATTTGTTGGACTTTGCTCTGTTGGCATCTGTTCAAAACAGCTAACAAAAGTCGGTTGGTTCTTACCTTCTGATCACTACCCCAGCCCCCAACAAATCACTAGCAAATTCCACTTGCTGAGTGTCCTCCTATTAGCATAATAGTGTGTTTTAATTTGGAGAAGACACATGTGTTTCCTATAAGAAAGTTGTTTTAGGTCTTTAAATGTCTCTGTCAAACACTTTCTTTTTGTTTGTAGAAATAATTACAGATCAGTACTGTTGAAACCAAAACATCAGAGAAATTGCCTGTCCCAGTGTTTCTAATTTGGTGGACGTCTGCTCAGTGAATGACAAAAGCTTAGCTTGGCCATGCCAAGAAAAACATATCCAGTTTAACCATTGCAAATACTGCCTTGGTTATAAGGGATGACAGTCACTGTACTTTGGTTGTTTCCCTCATATCCCAATGAAAGAACCCTCATTCTACAAGGGCACATCTGTTTCTGTGACTCCAATAATGGCAGACACCAGGGGACACAGTGACACTTGTCTTTTGATGCTCTTTTCTCCTGACTTTTTAGGAAGCATCTATGTTTGCCCATAGATACTCAGGACCACTGCATTGATGTCCTAGCTGATGTGTCTCCACTTCTAAATGTTTCATCTTAGACTTTTTCTGATCCCTATCTGGGTGTATTTTTACTATAACCATCATAGCTACTAAAGGTAAAATAGTCATACATTGTAATTAAACAAAACATGAAAGGACATACACTAAAATGTTATGTAGAGATGAGACTATAGGTAATTTTTATTTATTGATCTAAATTTGTTAAAATTTTAATCCAAGCAGGTATTGTAGAAAAGAAAAAAATTTGTTTTTAAAAACTAAGGGTCATTTGGTCTGGGAAAGGAAAACAAACTATAAATAGAAAAAGAGTAATTCAAATTCCAGGGAATATATAAATGGTGATCACAAGTATTGATGTTAAATCTTGTGAGCACAGAGAAGAGAGAGCAAATACTAAGCATCAGAGGTGGTGGACTGCAGCTAGCATGAACTCAAATCAACAATAATAGCATTCAGGCATCTGAGAACTGCTTCATTAAGACGTTCCATATATTATCTCACAATAACTCTATTATGGAAGTAATGTTATTTTTCTTTTTTAAGATGAAAACATTTTGGTACAGAAATAAAAACTTGTCCTAGATCCCATGACTGGTATGTTTCATAGCCAGTATTAATGGAGCCCACTAATGCCAAACACTGCTTTACTCATCGTGGCGTATTCCCTAGAAGGGGAGGAAACACTCAGAAAGGAAAATTTTCTTTGTTCAAAGTCCACATGTGTGTTTGGCAGTAAGGTAGAGGAAGGTGGATGGTGACAAAAATGGAACCACTCAGGCAAATAGCGTTTCCTTCACCTGATACGCTTTTTGTCTGATATCAAGTCATGGGTCAGGAAAAATGGAAAAGTTCTTTTTCAGCATAGGAAGTCATTATTCAGAGGCTCTTATACTTCTTTCAGAATAAAATGTAATGCAACACTTTGGGTTTAATTTTTGGAACTGCACAGCCAAACTTTCTGCAAACTTTCTTTGGATGATGTATACTGTCTGTTAAGTTGTCTGCTCTTGAATACCTGGTTGGAGATGACATGGAGTTCATCCTTTGAGGCTCTATAAGAGCATTTTGGGCCTGTTTGTGAAATGCCCTGCTAGTTCTACAAACTGAAGGATTTTTAAGAGGTATAATGAGTGTATGCAGGTGATAAATCCGACAAAAATAAGTGTTTTACCATTCTGATGAAACATACGGAGTGTGAAAGGTACATAAAATTTATTTGATCTTATGCATCACCTATCTGCAGAAGAACCTTAAAATTCTGAGCATTCATCTAAATGGCTGACAACATAATTTGGCATTTATTAGACCAGTTCAGATATCAGGGCTTAATTTGCGTCTTCGAATAAGCTTTTGGCTTCATTACATTTTCAAGGAACTCTCTCATATGTGTATCTACAAAAAGGTAGGCCAGAATGACACTTTTTGTATCTTTTGTTTGCTAAATTGCAATGTCAGGATAATAAATGCTGTGGTTGGAGTATGTGTGTGTTTCATCTCTCTTAGGGAATTCGGTACTTCAAGGGCTTTCCTCTTCAACATTGCAGATAAAACACTCCATCACACTGTTTAGTGAAAGAGACACTTTCTCCTTCAAGATGCCTGCTCAGCTGTTCCACAGCTGAAGAGCTGGGAAGACTTAAATTACATTCTTTTTCCTGCCATTAAAAGGGAATCGGGGGTTGGGGGGGACAAGAAACTTGCATCTGGTTCAATTTCTTTGCCAAATTCTTCATTTAATTGTTTTGTAATTTGAAGAAAACCACAAATGACAAGATGAAATTGCTAGGAATATAAATCCAGAATTTAATTGTTCTTGTCAGGATTTCAATTCCCAAACCATGGTAATCTGAATCTCAGTTTTCTGAGCAACAAACATGAAAAGCATTGGAGGCTGATGCTGAGTTTGCAAGCCATCATGATCCCCACCACCCCCACCCCCTACCACGTTCACAAAACTGTCTTCAATCAGAGAAAGCGAGGAAGGAAGTTGACTTCTCTTATCCCTGTGGATTTGATCCCAACAGCTGGAATCCCAAAACAAGTTTTCTCAAGAAGAAATCATCACATCAAGCCCAAGATCCAAAATAAACCAACACCTGAGTGCTAAACACTTAATTGATAGGCTCCTACAAGTTTAGAGCATCTCTGATAGCAATGAGGTTCTCCTAAAGACCTGCCTTTATTTTGATTTGTGGCATAAACTTTCCTGGACAAAGAGGCAACTTAGTCTAGTTGGTATTATTCTGGATTTTAAGTTAGGAAACTGAGTTTTCTTCTCTTGTTCCACTGTCTGAAATGTTATTTTATCTACAGTCATGCTCCATTAGTGTTTGTGGAATGAATGTGTGTGATGAGCAAATGCACAACAGGATGAACCCTAGTATTTTGCAAAGTGGTTGGATAGACAAACTCCTCAATTCCCCACTCAGTGTTCTTTTCAAGAATATGATGGCTCCAAATTCTAGCTTCCTGGGTCCCTCATAGATTTCATCCATTTAGATATTGTTCCAGTAGGATCCTCACTCGATGTCCCAAACCTTTTCCTTTTGGTTTCCTTTCATCAAAATTTACCAGAGGCCAGGTGCAGTGGCTCAGTCCTATAAACCCAATACTTTGGGAGAGAGGCAGGAGGATCACTAAAGGCTAGAGTTCGAGACCGGCCTGGGCAATATAGGGAGACCCTGTCTCTACAAAAAATAAAAAAATTAAAAAAAAAACTACCCAGGTGTGGTGGTGTGCACCTGTAATCCTAGCTACTTAGGAGATTGAGGTGGAAGGATTGCTTGAGCCCAGGAGTTCAAGGCTGCAGTGAACTATGATCACACCACTGCATTCCAGCTTTGAATGAACCCTGTCTCAAACAAAACAAACAAAAACAAAACTTACCAGATCTTTATCTCATTCCCCTAAAGCTCTGTTTTTGACTGTATTATAATCTAACAAAGTCATTGAGACTAAAATGCTATTGACTTAGAATGGTTTAATTTGCCATCCAATCCAGATAATTTTCTTTTACCAACCTTAACACAGTTAAGTCACGAGTCATCATAGTCAAAAATCCCAGGGCCTATTATAGAGTCAAAATGAATTATGTTTGGGGCAATGGAAGTACCTCTTTATGTCTGCAGCCAATTGATTGCTTTCTTTGAGACTAACCTTGAAAGGGAGGATTAGTTCCTAATCTGACTTCAAGGCACTATTTTATGAAATAGTTTGTAAGAGTGATTGGTTACATTGTATGGTGAGGCAATTTAATCTCCTTTGTATAGACATATTCATAAAATTATAGAACAAAAACTGAGTCACCAGAAACAAAAATCTAGAATTACTAAAGTCATGTGCATAAATAAGAAAATATATCATGAAAAGTATTTATCCAGGAGATCCTTGAGAGATTTTAAAAGAAAGTAGAATTCTACATACACACTTCAAAATAGTTTTTTCAACAACTCCATGATAAGCATGACTCATTACTTAATCAAATATGGAAGAGTCTTAAAGTTTATATCATATTTTTGGCCCCCGAAAAATTACATTCACCATATTTCCTCTTCTGATAATAGTAGAAAAATTTAGGCAAATCGTACTCATTCAAGATAGTTCATATGGGCAGCTCGTAAACTTGTTTACATTGAATCCCACCAATCCATCAAAAATCTTGGTTTCACCAGCATAGAAAAAGGGTTTTTTCCTCAATAAGAAAAATCTCTAGTTTGACAGCTGCTCTATTATATTTATCAAGAACTTTAACTTTTAGGAATAACAAATAGTGTAGTAAAAAATACTGCTGGGAATGAATGGTATAGTCCTGGCTTCAATACTCAAATAAGTGAAAATAATGGTTTCTTGTATGCTTAGTTGCACCGTAGTACTTTCTGAAGATTTTCTGTATTTTACCATATGGATTTTGTATGATCATGCTTACTTAGATCAAAGATTGCAAGCTCTGGTGAATGGCCATGTATTTGCTTCTCAGTTCATCCCAGTGAACCACTATATTGAAAACAATTGCCATAAGAGATATTATTATTTCTCCATCTTTAGATTAGCCACATTAACCACCCCTTCCTTGAGAGTTTTTCAGATAGAGCCAATTGGTTTATTTATGGCGATGCACTTTTCTGATAGGGTACGAGTCATCTTAACGTATCTTTCCAACCACAGAGCTATCTTCTTCCATGTTAGTCTGTGAACTGCCTGCTGCCTTTCCCTTACATAGGCCCCAGCCCAGGAGTCAAGTGGTATCAAGTCTCTCATTCCTTTTGGATGCTCCCATAGCCCAGTTCAGGGATCTGTCTTCAGCCTGTGCTGCCAGCTGTCGTGTGGGAGAGGTGAAGTGGGGATTAAGACTAGGATTTCTCCCTATACACTAATCTCTTGGGAAATAATTTCAGCTCTTCATATCTGCCCAACTTTCTTGGGGGAGGATTCGAGAAGTATGCGCTACTTGATGTTCTCACACTTCTCAATAACAAGCTTATATATGGGCATATTATTTGTAATTTTTAACTAGGACATTGGTGGGAATCTTTCGGCAGGCATGTCCCGATGACTTCGTGCCAGCTGCCAATTACCAATGTTTTTGTTTTGAATAGAGTTAGTTACTGCATGTGTAGAATCCAACTTTCCCTTATTATATTTCATATTTTATTGTTTGACTTTTAATTTGTTTCAGTCTTGTATTTGGAGAAATTGTACCTTTTCGTTTTAGTAGAGTCTTGTAACCAACTTCCCCCCTCCCACCCTTGATTGGCATTTCTACTGTGATAGCTACATTTTCTGTAGTGTCTTGGTGGATGGAAAATCATGGGTCATACTTTTTTTTTTTAACTTGGTTCCATATTTTAAAGTCTTATATTTATTCTCTCCTTAGTGAACAAATATGCTGCTCTTCTAGATTAGTGGTTCTCAAACTGTAGAGTGCACCAAAATTACTTGGAGGCCTTGTTAAAATATAGATTGCTGGATCCCACCCCAGAGTTTCTGATTCATTACATCTGGAGTGAAGTTTGATCATTTGTATGTCCAGTGTGTTCCAAAGTGATGCTATTGTTGCTAGTCAGGAGATCGCACTTTGAGAATCACTCTCTAGACCATCAAAGGAAGAGGTGCTCTTGACCTTCCCGATGTGTTCCTTACCCACGAAACTAGTATCGTCATGCAAAACCCACCTGTGAAATTCTATTGAAAAACTTAGCAAGTACCATGGTGCTACTTAAGGACACAAGGAGCCATTGTTTCCCTTTATTTGAGTATTAAGGCCAGAACTCATGATTCATTCTCAAAAGTGCTTCCTACCACAACATTTGACATCCTTAAAAATTAAAGTTTGTGAAAAATGTAATTAAGGTAATTGTCAAAATAGGGATCTTATTCATGGTGAAACATAAAGACCTACTTGTTTTTATTATGATGAAACCAAAATTTTGTGTGTTTATTATAGACATTTTTATGTTTATTATAGCCAATTCAAGGCTATTATGAGATTTCTAGCATTGTCCTTCACCTGCAATCCAATTTTTTCTTGAATAGGAAAGAAAAGGATAGATCTGCTTCTAGCTTAGGATGAATTTTACTAATCCTCAGCCTACTATATTTATGACCTTTACTGATCCACTTTTGAATTGTGCCTATTTAAGAGTACTATAAAAGAGTACTATATTTCCTGGTACTCTTTTATTTTCTGGGGTAAAGACTTTTGGGGGGATCAAAATATGGCTAACCTTTGGGAACATGTTATTAGTGTGAATATCATGAGCGTAATAGAGGAAAAAAGCCTGAGATCCACTGTCTCATACGACCAACTGTCACCTCCTTCCCCTTGGATTTATTGAGCTATTAACAGGAAACCAAAACTTGGTTCTGGTGATCAGGACTCCCACATCATGTGCATGGCAGGGTTGCTGGGCAACATGAAAACCCAACTGAAGAGTCTTAACATTAGCATAGATGATTTAGAAACACAGAAGTAGATGGTGTCCCCTACTGCAATCTAGATCATCATCTTACCAAAGAGGCAATAGACCCAGCTGCCCTGGAGGCAAACCGAGAGGCTTTGGGAGAAGAGTCTTCAGAACTCAGAAGAAAGTTGCTAATAAGCACATCAGTCTAACTGAGGCTGAAGCAAGATTCTATGTTCAAAATTTAGTTCTAAAGGAAACAAAGACTTGAACAAGGCTTCATTCATTCATTCATTCATTCATGTATTCACTCATTTAACAAAGAGGTATTGAGGGTCTCTGATGTGTCAGGCACCATGCTGGGCTCTGGGGATCATGAGGTGAACAAGGAAGACATAGTCATGCATTCCCAGAACTAATATAGTACCACAGGAAAAAGATTAGGAAAGATTAAGCGTCCGGTAAGAGATGTAATTACACTTGTACTGTTACTTAAAGAAAAATACAGAAGTTTGGGCAGTCAGGAAAGTTTCCAGGTGGAAGCAAAGTTGTTTAAGCTGAGGCTTAAAGAAAGGAGAAAAGATTGATTAGGTTAAGAGGAGAGGGCTGGCGGGAAGGGGAAAATGATGGGAGGCTGTCCCAGGTAGAGCAAACAGCAGGTATGAAGTGCCTGAGGCAGGAGGGAGTGCAGAGTATTGGCAAACAGATGCAGGGGCTAGATTGCAGCCTTCCCTCACCCGTTCAGCCAGGGATTCTTGTGCAGGGCACAATCTAAATACCTACACAGAAACCTGGGGCTGTATACCATGGCAAATTCTCCTTTTTCGTTTTATTTGGCCTCTTAGTCATATTTCATACCAGTTTACCACAGCCTTCTTCTTGAAACACTTTCTTCCCCAGGTTTCCATACCTCACACACCCCTCATCTTCCTTTTACCTATGCTAGTCTTTCCTTCAAAACTGGGCCTCCATTCATATGTCCCAAGGCCTCATTTTTACTCCTCCACTTTTTATTTGCACACTCCCTTGGTGATCTCTTCTGAACCCGAAGCTTTAAATCTCAATATGGTGATGATGTCTTCATTATCATCTCCAGCTCTGACTTGCCCTCTGAGACTCACATTCCTGAGTCCTACTGTTTATATGACATCCTTATGTATTTAATATGCATCACCTCATAAAAATGAATTACATAGAACTCATTTCCCCCTCATACCCAACCTATTTCTCCATCTCAGGAAGTGGGATTTAATTCTTGTAGTTGCTTGGGTCAAAATCTCAGGAGCCATCCTTGATTCCTCTTTTTTTTCTTACCCTACAGCCACTCCATCAGCAAGTCCCATCAACTGTACATTTAAAATATATTTCAATATTTTACCAATTTTTCACTATCTCTACTTCTCCCACTTTAGTCCATGCCCATTAACACCTTGCACCTGGATGCAGGTAATAGCCATTCACTGGTCTCCTTCTGTCTACCATGCCATCTAAAATCTATGGTACATTAAGACGTTAGGAAATTCTCTTCCTTGTGTACAAATCTAATGAATTCCTATTCAGACAAAATGCAGTCCTTACTGTGGTCTACAATGTCATATCTGTTTTGTCCCCTGACTACTTGTCCACAGCTCTCAACTCCTGTTCCGACTGTTCTCATCTACTAGGATCAAGTCACACTGGGGACTTCTGTTGATTAAACTCATTGTGCTTACTTTCTTCTCAGGGTTTTTGTACCTCTTCTCCCCTTGAGAACCAAAGATACCCCAGATACGCTCACTCCTGGATCATCTCACCCTCAGGCCACTGCTCAGGGAAGACGGTCTCCCTGAGTCACCTTTAGTAGCTCTTCCACCCCATAGTCAAGGGCTACCTTGTGGCTTGCCTTCATTCTCTTTATAGGCTTATCACAATCTAAAATTTTTATTTATATTTGTTTGTTTTTCTGCTCATCCTCATCTAAAAGCTAATGTTTCTGAAGGCAGAGACTTGGTCTGACTGGTAACTCTTACACTTAGAAAATGAACTGATGCTCAATAAATAATGAAGAGTGAGTGAATAATTGAATTTCTGCAACCTTGAATGTTATAATCAAGGCCAATACATTAATTTCCCAGAAATAGTTTCCTTGAAACTACCTACTTTTTCATACATTACAATCTAGATTCAAGGCCTACGAGGACCCCTACATTGTAAACTTAGAACAAGGTCTACATTGTAAACTTAGAACAAGGTTGTGTGTACTGCATGTGGCTGGTGCTTAGAATTAGTAGCTCGTTGGAAGGGAATATATTGAAAATAACAAGGGTCTTTAGATCAAGTGATCTGGATTTTAATCCGATCTCCAATTTTGCTATGCCAGGTTACAGACTTTTCTTATGCTGTTTCATCAACTATCCAATGGAAAAATACTACCTGACCTGCAGGTCTGTAATAAGGATTAGCCATATGTACAAAAAAAAATATGAGACCTGGCACACAGTAAATGTTCAGTAAACCACACTGGGCTGGTACTGATATTACAGCTTTCATTGACTGAAGCTATGAGAGTAACATGCCTAACCTAATTGTTTTTCCCTCCTTGCATTTCTATTTGCTCTTCTTGATTTTTACTTTCCATTTCATGACCCTCCTTCCTTCAAAACTATTTTAGACTTAGCTCTTCCATGTCCTTCATGCTTCTACTCCTGTCTGTCTCTACAGTCTCATCCTCTATTCATGGAGGTATACATTCGTTCCTTCGCTCATTCAGCTTATTCATCAAATATTTATTGAGTCCTTGCTTTAGGCCACATTTTAGGCTTCAGCAGAAAACAGTAAACCACTTAAAGTTTCCATATTGGGTCAATTATTTAAGTTCTTATGTAAATAATAGTCAAGATTAGTACAGTTAAGGGATAGAAGCCAAGCCTAAAACATAGTACCTACATATAGCAAATAATCTGTCTTTCCTGACTTGGGATACAACCTGTTATAGTGGAAACTATAAGGGATTTAGAGCCAGAATGATCAGATTCACATTTTAGCATTACCAGTGATGACCTGTGTGACTTGGAACATGTCTTCTCAGCTTTGCATTCCTCCTACCACCCCTCGACCACCACTGACACCTTTCTTATGCTCTAACATTCAGCTCTGGGAAGCCCTGCCTGACTCGTCTCCTTCTGGATTCCTAGCACATGGGTTACCCTTGTCTTGGCACTGACCACATCTGGGATTCCATGTCTGCCTCCACATCCCATTTTTAAGCTCCTTGAGGAATACAAAAATCATGTTTTTCTACCTCTAGTCTTTAACATTGCACACACAGTGGCCAGTAAATGTCAAAACTGGTCCCAGTGAAATTTGGCTTTTCTCCTGTTTACACTGTGCCATTCGGTTTGCATGCTCTTCATTTGCCCTGGTGTGTTAGTTGTTTTGGAAGCATTGGTGCAGTGTTATTTGAGTGTTTGACCTTCCAAACTAAAGCATCACCTCTCCAAAGACAGGGACCCATCTTCTCCATGTTTATCCCTCCCACTGACATGTGCTCTGGTCTGGTCTGTGTAAATGTTCCCTGTTCATATTGTTGACTAAGTGTTGAGCAAGTAACTCTCCAAATGTTAAATCCTTTGAGGAGGTCAGCAAAATCCCTCCTTTGCCATTTCCCTTGTTCTTTGGGGACAAAAGAATCCCCCTAGAATTACTTCTATGCTCTTCACTTGCCATCAGCCCCAAATGACCTCCTTGAAGGCACAGCCTCTGTAGGTAAAAGGTATTTGTTCATCTTTATGAATGTCAGTCTCTTGACATTCATGGTAAATAGACAAGTTCTCAGTCTCTTGACATTCATAGCAAATAGACAAATCCTTCAGTAAATGACAATGGTCCCCAGCATCACATTAAAAGCTCTTGGGGATAAACACTCAAGAGTAGTCATGGTTCAGGCTCAACTTTCAAAGGCTTTGTAACGTGCTTACCTACAGAAAAAAAAAAAATTTATACCGTCACCTGTTATAGCCTCAACAGCAGCAGTTTGAGAGCCCTCATCTATATTTAAACTTGTTCTTTCTTAGTCAGGTACAGGAATGTTTTCCGCCAGCATTTCCAAACAGCAAGATAGATGTGGCAGCTTCCAGTATAACAAACAGCTCACAGGAGGGATGCTTCTTTGGTATTTACTACCACATAGGTTTGCCAGATAATGCCCATCTTATGCCCCCATCGGAGTTGCCATTTCAGTGACTTTCTCTCAAATCCTGAACAAATTCTAGAGTCTTGAGCCTCCCGGTGGGCCATTTCAGCAATAGCCTATTCATTACTCATTATTGAATTAACAAATATTTGTCAGGTATTTGCTATGACTTGAGCACCTGCTACTGCTTGAGAAGTAGATTGGTGTAATTAGTTAAAAGCACAGACTCAGAAAACCAAATTACCTGGATTGAACACCCAGATATCTCACTTATTAGCAGTGAAAGTTTACGGTAGCACACTTAACCTCTGTATGCTTCAGTTTTTCCATTAGAATTGGTTAGTAATGGCTGTTGTTAGTATTATTCCCATATTCCTGGTCCTGGAGATACAATGATGAGCAAATTGTTAAAGCTCTTGCTTACAGTCCAACAAGAGAGGTCAATACAATAATTACACTAATGATTGTATACAGTAATTACAAACAAAGATATATACAATATACTATATGGGAAAGGAATGCAAGAAGGGAATGTGAGGGCCTAATCACAAAAGAAACGGTCCTGAACTTGAGCATCAGCCCTGTGCACTACATAATCTATGAGCATTAGCTAGGCAACAGGGCAGAAGAGCGTCCCAGGGAGAGGGAAATACATTTGCTGAGGTTGCATGGGTAGAGGCAGGGAGTGGTAGGCTGGGGAAGAATGGAGAAGAGCTATGAAAGGTCTTTCAAGCCATGTTGAAGCTTTTAGTCATTATCAATTTGGGAGTGAGAATTCACTGAAGGATTCTAAACAGGTAGGGTCCTAGTGTTGGATTTGTGTCTTAAAGAAGTATTCTGCCTGCACCTTAGAAAATGGATTAGCAAGGCATCAGAAAATAGTCATCAGATGGCCCTGCTTAAGTGGCCATTCAACAATGGAAGCCAAAGATGAAGGTAGCTTTGATTATGATGGTGTGGGTAGAGAGGGAGATCAATAGTTTAGCTCCTT
Source organism: Homo sapiens (assembly GCF_000001405.40). Classification (NCBI taxonomy): domain Eukaryota; kingdom Metazoa; phylum Chordata; class Mammalia; order Primates; family Hominidae; genus Homo; species Homo sapiens. Next base: position 158,630,945 of record NC_000005.10, read on the forward strand.
TTTCATGTTACCTGGTATCTCCTACCCTTGGAATACCAGCTCCGCCTTTTACCCAAGGTGATGGAGTAGTTAATTTTCATAAACTCTCTTATTAGACTCTAAAATTCTCAGATCTCCTATTGGGAGGGAGAGACCACAAACTGATGTTAAAATGTTCAGAAATTATGTCCTAGATGCATGGAAACTTCTGGTGATGCTGAGGAGCCGAAAGATAAATATAGTACGTGTTCAGGAAGAAAAGAAGAGAATTGCTGAAATCAATGATAAATTTCATTCTCATAAAATAAAAATAAAGGTGGTCCAAGTAAGTGTGTTGGCCATGACTTTCCAAGGATGAATGAGTTTTATGGGATGGTGCACAGCCCTTTGGCACCTTCAGTGGAAAAGTTCTTCTCCCTGGATGTGGCACAGACTTTGCTTTTGCACAAAGGCAGACCTTGGCTAACGTTGCACACGCCTGTGTTGACAGTTTTAAGATATGAAAATTTCAAAGACAGGGGTTTGGAAAATGGGTCTTTGCCAGAGTGCCTGATGCAGGAAGAAAACATTTGGAATTAGATTAGAATCTTCCTGTTTACTACCAGGAAATGGAGACAGAGTCACAACTCTTAGGTACGAAACACTGAAATGAAAACAGCAGGAAAGGTTAATAGCTTAAATCTTGTTGAGCACTATTAGCTTCTTTACCTACTTCATGCTTATTTAGTCTTCATGACAACGTTGGGGTATTTCATGATACCCTCATTTTTTAAATGAAGAAATTCAAGCTCAGAAAAATTAAATGACTTATTCACGGTGACACAACTTGGGAGTGTAGAGATACGATTTGAACCTATTACAACCTGGTGCTCAAACTCATCCTCCTTCTACTTTATGAGATCTCTATGACATTGTTTGCCTAGTCTCATCATTGGCTTAAGCGAGTTTCTCTATAAGGACCTCCCTTCTCATCCCTCTTTCAAAAGTGTAAATAGCTCCCTTTGGGAGTAATAAGAAAGAAAGGCAAATAAGATGGGGAAAATCAACGGCTCTACTACTTTTCTGTTTCTCCAGCAGCAGAGCTTAGGGCTGAATGACAAAATACTGGAAGAAGGAAAAAATGTTTTATAAAAAACAACAGAAACATCATCTATGGGTAATGTGTCATAGCATTGAAATTGGTACCAGGTGCTACTTAGGTCTGATGGATTTATTAAGGGAAATATTGTGATTAAGATAGAGTTTACCATTCATTTTCTTGCCTTATGGTCTCTACCTTGTGTCCCTCAAATGCCCACTGGCATCCAGCCTTCTTTAATAACCTTCTGGTCATCAAAATCATTAACAGCAGTTTCCTCACTGGGGATATTGGTTGGGTCAGGTAGAGTGCTAACGTTCTCTGGAAGAAAGTAACTGCTTAAATCACAGGCAAATGCTATAATCCAATCTCTAACAGCTGTAGCAAGAATACATTAGTAAGTTATATTGAAATTCTAGGATGACTAGAATTTAAATATATATACACATAGAAATATACATACACATACACACACATATTCCAGGCCTTAAGTCTGAACCTCAACCCTGTATTCATTCCTTTGATATTTTTCCTGCTCTACATTAATGAGTAGATAGCTCTAACTTCCTTTGCTTCTATAAGTCACATTGACAACTTTAGCCACTTCAATGTCTCATCTGTATAACTACGGATTTAATATTTTTAAATCAACATAATTTCTCATACTCAGCTTCATTCTAAACATAAAAAATGAGACTGGTAGTAGTTATGTTTCTCTGTATATATTATAGTCAATACATAACTATTATTCCTGTGTACCCTCCAAGTTAACCTCCTGTGAGATCAGTATGTAAACTACATTAGAGAAACTTCCTGTGTGGTGAAAGGAGACCAGCTCTGTCACTTATAGGCCAGTGGCTGCAGTCATGTTCTTCCCAACTCCTAATAAGAGTCTCCCCATCTGCAAAATGAGAGTTATTACCTGTCACATACAGCTATTATGGGGATTCAGTGAGACAATTTGTGATAATTCAAATTGGTTTGGTTCCTACTGTCTATCAGACACCATACTATGCTCTAATTGTACATGTTTTCCTATTTTATTCTGACAACTGTCTTATAAGCAAAGCATTCCAGTTATGTCCACTTCTGATTATCAGGCTTTGGTGAAGAGGTTCCTCTTTCCTCAAGTAGTAGAGTGAGAATTTCTGCCTTATTATGAAGCCCCCTTTCTGCCTTATTATGAAGCCCAGGCTTCTGACCTCTTTCTCTGCACCATCAGTGTGTCTAGCACCGGGCTCTGTACCGTAATTAGATCTCTCAGACTCTCACACTCAATAACCATGTATTTCTCTCCCATTGTATGAAGGTACCAACTTATGTTGTTCTATCCAGGTTGCTAGATTCTTGCTGGCCAGGGCTGCCTTATTCTCCCCTCACGGCCACCAGTACCATATGGCATAAAGTTGATGCTGAAGAGCTATTTGTAGATGACTTAAATGAGGGCTCTGAGATCGCAACTGAATCTGCCTTGAGAAAGACAATGTTTCAACTCTCTGTAGTGACTCTAGGACAGGTTGGTTGTACACAGGAACCATACAAGCCTGAACAACTCACCAGATGAGAGTCTGAAAGTCAAGTTCCCTTGTTTTCCCTCCTTAGCCAAAGATTTCTGCCTTTATAAAGAAGACTTTTGTAATCTGTGTGTACCCTTTCAGAGTTAATTAGAAATCTGAGATTCATTTTTCACAGGGAAATGGAGAAATATTGCACTTGCCATACTTGGTGTCTGGAGAAGGATGAAAGGTGATACTGAGGTGAGAAAAGGGCATGCCTGGACAAACAAGACTCTGCTTCTTCCATAACTCCATGGAGAATTCTTCCCTATTCTGTCTTCCTTTATTTCCCTGATGTAAATAGTTATTAGCCTTTTCTGTTTTATGACTAGTTTTAAAGAGCTGATGGAAACTATTGGCCCTTCCCTTAGGAAAATGTGTATACACACACACACACACACACACACACAGGTTTGTACACAATTGCAAGAACTAAATGGACCTTCCTGAGAATCTACGGCCCTCTGCTCAGGCCCCACCTTCAGGTTAATATTCTCAAGGGTTCTGGAGACTTTGTGAGATATTCTCTCCAGGGAAAGATGACAACCCATTTGGGATGTCTTCTGTTATATTGGAAACAAGTATTTGTTTCTCAGGAACAACTTGGGTGCTTCTAAGTTGTTAGGAAGCATATTCATTTAAAAAGAGTTAAAATAACACTAGAATTTCTTGCCTCGGGCAATATTAATATCCTATCACAGCATTTAAACCAGAAGAGAAGAAAAGATAACAAAGAGGGAGAGATGGCATATCAATTATGGTAATTAAACACCCAAACCTGACTATTTAAAAGTAACTTTCCTATGTCTGCACTGACAAGCAATATAGAAATAATAATAATGATGAAAGCAAAAACTTAAACAGCTCTTACTAAGCACTAGGTGTTATTCCACATGCTTTAACTAATATGAATGATTACGTTATCGATTCCTTCAAGAAAAGTACAAGAAAGGGAAAAGATTTTATTTTTCTTAAACAGAGCCCAGAGTGGAATAGAGATTTAAAATATTCCATTGATGTGACTGTCGAATTTGTATTACTTTTTTGTTTTGATGCTTTACTGGGTAAATTTTTATGTCTCCAAGGATTTAATGGGATCCAATCAACTTGCCACTCAGCAGGGGAGGTCCAAGGATTCCTACCTCTCCATGGGCCATCTGGGTGGCAACAAGTGGATTAATTGTACAAAGCCCAGACTCCTTCAGAGGAATTTCATAAACCCTAATGCCTTGCTTACCCCCATTGTTCTCTAGGAAAATTCTTGTTTTCCACCTCTGTTGGTATGTTGCAAACACTTTATCCCAGAGACACTGGGGGCCATGGGGAATGGAATGCTGCCCATGAGCCAGATGTTTGTAAACCTTAGCTCTGAAATGTGGCACGATACCACAAACTGTCAAGTTGTATAAAAACTAAAGCAAAGACAAAAACAGAATGTAATATTTACCAGATGAGATTTGTGTGTGTGTGTAATCTTGTTGGAATTTTGGGAGTATCCAACTCTCATACATTTCAAAACGGGCCTTGTGTCCCACTCCATTCTACCCCCCACCCATCACCACCCCCCACCCCACCCCAGTTTCTCCCTCTTGCACAGGGAAGGAGAAAGTTAAGAGAGTGAAAGGTTTTGTCCTAATAAACAATGAGCTTGATATAGCCCTAGGCACTTAGCTATACATTGAAGGATATACAAGACGTTTTTGGCCCCATCTCAGAGGGAGAGTCCTGAAAATATTTCTGGAACAATTTTCAGAAGTAGTGTGAAACAATGGGATATTATGTGTGTTGGCAATTTTTATTCTGCATGAGTGGTTAAACAGTTATATAAGCTCTATGTTTGTTAGCTTGTCCAAAATTTTAGCATGTATAAAATGAAACTAGATTCAAGTGAGAATTCCAAACATATGGAATAAAATATTTTTCTCAGTATGACTATTGATATAATTTCATTATGTGTATATTCTGACACAAATGAACAGCCTGAAGAAACCAATAGGAGATACCTGTTTAAATGACTTTAGGATGAATCAAAATGGGAAAAGATGAGAGAATTTTAAATGCATTTGAAACACAGGTTATTTTGGAGAAACATCAGGTTATTTAATTTTGAAAAGGTAGGGAATCCTTTTAGTTTGAAGGGCTACATCACAAGTTTGGGTACCCTTCCTATTGAGAGAGGAAGTGAGAAATTTGACTGAGTGGTTTCATTGTGACAGACACATTTGTAAAAGGTAGGTCTAGCCCGCCAGTTTTGTACCATATTACCCTTCCTCCCTTACAACTGGTTAGAACAGGGGTAGATTCAGGACTTAGGGGGAGGTAGGCCGAAGACTAGATGATAACGCATTCAGTTCTTTCTCTTGAAAATCTGAACTAAGAGACGCGTCACCTGGAATCAGACAATGGCAGGCATCTTAATGAAAGGTTACATTGAGATGAGAATGAGGTGGCCTTTTTCAGCCAATTGTGAGCTGAGAGAGTAGCAGAGAAAGCCAATCTGCCCTGACAAGTGGGAACTTTGATCAGTGGCACAGAGAAAAGAATATAAGAGGTGTGTTCCCAGAAAGAGAAACATGGAAAGCGTAGATGTCTCGAGGATGGATGGTTTTCCATTTCCTGTCCACGTAAATCTCTAAAATGGATCACTCCCTGATTCGGAGCTAGCTATATGGATTTCTCTTACACAGATGCGAACTGCCAAAACGCCTCTGCTGGTAATAGAAAGTTCTAGCACCATTAAACTCAAGACTAGAAAAAATAACCAACCATTTCACTTTCTCAAGTTATACAAATGTAACATGTAAATTTTGCCTTACAGATATAGAAATTTTACAAAACTTGTTGTTTACTTGGTTGGTTTTTTACAAAAATCTCTCACACCTTTGGGTGACACTGGGGTGTAGCAAAACCAGTGTAAGAAACGTGTTTGCTGGGGAAAACATAGTGACTGTGCTTGGCATAAAGCTGTGTTTAATAATTGGGTATTGAATGGAATTTACGGCATTACACAAGATAGGTGAGAGCAGGGTGGGTTTGCAAATAAAGCTGCTAATACCTACATTCCAAGTCTACCATAGATGGTTGATTTTAATTCTTTTTATCCAGCTGTGTTGCAGCAAGTGCAACTGGATTTGTTAATAGTGAATTAAATGAAATAGATACTGTACATGTGCATTATGGGAACCATAAACTCCATAACCTTACCAGAAGATTCTAGAGGAGGAGACAAAGATTCCCATGGTGTGCTAGTGGATAATTTGAAAGAAACTACCTTACTTTCAAGTCTCACTCTGATTAATAGAGGCTCTGATGACAAAAGATCAAGCTGCCACTTTAGGAGGTCAAGATTCTAGTTTCAAATTGCAATTAAAATGGATTTCTGCATCCATTGCCAACCCCTCCCACCCTCCATCCAGCACTTCCTTTCCCCACCCCAGTCCCTGGATTTCTCATTTATGCTGTGGCTTTCCCAAACACTGAGCTGAGAAGGGAGTCTTTTTGCAAATTAGCACACACATTAATGATGAATACTATTGACTGACACTATGTGCTGGGCACCTTGCCTTCATATAACTTGTCTCCTTAAGGGTTATGTGTGATAGACATTTTTCTGATCTCTCTTTTACAGGTGCAGACAGCTATGCTCTCAGAGGTCAGGTTACTTGCCCAAAGTTACACAGCTCTTAGTGACAGAGCTGGGATTTCCCCACCGATCTGACTGCACAGCCTGTGTTATAAACAACTAAAGCCTTCAAATTACATAGTTGTATGCTTGATTCTTGAAAAGACCCAGTCCCAGGGTTATTTCAGATCTTAGAAATGTTTTCATAAATGACCAGGAACCTAGACCAGAAAGCTATAGATTCTCTAGTTAAGAAAATACTAGTTGCCAGTTTAAACAGTATGATTTTTTCATATGCCCACTAGTATAAAGTGATCTTGACAGTTTTTTCTATATGGAAATAAAAATCACCACCTATTGTATTATCAACGGCAACACATTGAGTTGACATATAATAAATGTTTTCTAAATTTGAACTACAAAGGTCATTTAACTTCATATAAATTAATATACGTATATTTAAAACTCATATTCTGAGATGGTCTTTATTCACTCATATTTCAAGGAACCTAGGGCAGGCCTACCTCCTGCATAATTCTATGTACAAACAAGGCTCACAAATAAGAATTTTCCTAAACAAATGCAAAATTCTTTGGATTTACCTGCTTTGTGTTAGGAATCAGGAGAGATTGTTGATCTACTTTGTGTTAGGAATCAGGAGAGATTGTTGATCTACTTTGTGTTAGGAATTGGGAGAGATCGTTGAGAGATCAACAAATTGAGGCTAAAAGATCAATAAATTGGGGCTATTTTTGCAGACCCATTTTCCTGGAAAATGAAAGTTCTCACATTCTGGCTTGCAGTTCATTTTTTAACTTTATACAATATATTTTAAATATAATATCAGATTAAATTTTATCTATAAAACATGTTAAGATATTCCCTGAGGTAATAAGGTCAGGGGCAGTGGTATAGTAGGGAAAATTCCTAACTTGCAGTTAGACATGGGCCTTAGAAGGTGAGGTCTGTTGTTGTTTAGTCCCCTGGCTATTCCCCAGTGAGATACAACGTCTTGTATACCATGTCTTGCCCTTCTGAATTGAATATTGTTAGTTTTGCTGCTGTGCTAATATAGAAATGAGAGTGACAATTATGCAAATAAATATTTGCTTAATATAACAAATTGTTCTATTTTGGCTCCTTTAGCTGTGCTGTCCGATTTTTTTTTTAAATAAGCTGACATTGGAAATAAAAGAAATGTAATAATTACCATGGGAAATATAGTTTAAAGATGGGAAAGGAGCTAAAATAGCAGTTGTAGAAAAGGGATTCAAAATCATTTGATGTTACCAACTGTACAATTAATGGGGCTCCAAGGAGAGGAAGGAGTGAGTGAGTTCCCAGAGCTATTAAGATTCCATCAGCCCCTCTCTTGCTTTTAGCAGTCCTGTTGTGTACCTTTGACAGTTGGCATGGATTCAAACGCAGAGGGTGCTTTGCTTGGAAATTCTCTCACCCACGCAAAGAAGGATGGGGACAAATTAATGTGATGCATAGAAATGGAAGCCACAACATACCACCAAGCAAGTATCCGTAACTAAATCATCCCTATAATTCCTCATATATGCTTAACCCCCTTGATCTCTTCTCTCCCCACCTCTTTTTCCCCTTCAGTTTCTTATTGTCATTTTTTTTTTCTTTTTTAAAGAAAAAACTTCATCTGATCTGGCAGAGAATGATAAACCTCCAAAGTAGGCATTTTTTGTTTTAATGACAAATGTTATCCTAGGGCAGCAAGGGAGGCCGGGATGTACACACAGAGTTATCTAGTTATAACTGTGACAATGGCTGGTAAGGGGAGAGCTTGGGAAAGCTCTTCCATCAAATGGCTGGGTGCGTTTTCTCTTCTGTGGAGAATCTGAGTCAGCATGAGGGATCTTCTCATTGCCCACTACAAAGGCTTGGGGGGATTAGTTAAGATTGTAGACCTTGCCCTTATCAGAGTGGTCAGAATACAGGTAACATTAGCCCCTTCTTTGTCTTCGTCCCAAAGAAGGCAATAGGAAACCCTTTGTGATTTCCGGGCTTGGATTGAGTTTAAGATGCTTCTCTGAATTGATGGTACACCTCAGGTGGAGCTACCTCATTCTCTAGGCAGTCTTGTGTCCAGGTGGAATTTGGGCAGTGAGGGGTGGGGGTGGGAAGGGAGATTTAAGGTTCTGGCTAAGGCTATTGGGAAGAAAAATGTTTGCTATTTGTTTTCGTTTAACTGGCCCATCATTCTCCTAAATAGCTTTAGAGAGAGAGCAAAAAAAGAATAGGGTTTGTTTGTCTAACTTTAAGATATTAAAATAGTGGGATAGAATGGGCCATTAAAAATGGTTCTAGAGAGCACCACAAATGCTAACATGGAAACACATGCATAATATATTGTGGAGGAAATAAAAACAGGTCATGAATTAATATGTATGATATCACTTTCTTTAAAAAAAAGTATGTGTGTATTTGGGGGTAAAAGTGTCTAGGAAAAAATAAATGTTAATAGAGGTTGCCTTGGAAGGAGGATTTGGACAGCTTTGCATTTTTTCTCTTTGCTTATCTATATTCCCCCTTTTTTCCTACAATGTTCAAGCTTTATTTCCATAAATTTCTATTTTAAATGAAAAGTTTGAAAAGTAAGATACCAAGGAAGGGAAGAAAATAAAAATGGGGGTTCCAAAGTCAGATCTAGCTGAGGCCCTAGCTGTGGGAATGTAATAATTTAACATGCATGACCATGCTTTGTAAAAACACACACCTCCTGTGGATATGGAGTTGTGTTTACTAGTATTTACCTCCTTCCGTTTTGGGAGAGCTGAGCCTTTCCTTAAGAATTTTCTGTGGCTGACAGGGTGGTGGCTGTGTGCTCCCCACAGGAACACCCGCCATCCTCCATAGTCCCCACAGAGCCCCACCAGCTTCCAGCTGGCCTCATTGTGGTGGTGGCAGTGGTATGTATGCATGTATGAAGGAAAGGCACTCCTGGACATTAGTCAGAGGAAAATGAGACATATGTAGAAACAGCTCCTAGATAGAATTGTGGCAACAAAGGGGTTCAAACAGCTTGGAATTCAAACCCTAGCCTCCCGTATATATGTATGTATGAGACAAGCCACATGCCTGGCCTAATCGCAGCTTCCTCATTCAGGAAAGACAATAACCCTGATGGCTCACTTGCTGGGCTATCATGACATAGGAGAAAATGAGTGTGTAGCATTTGGCAGGCAGCCTGGCATGAACCAAGTGCCCAATGCATGTCAGCTGCTGCTCATCCACCCAACAGTCCTTGCAGATGACATTCAGTGCTGATCAGCAGTTACTGTTACTGTTACAAACTATCTGGTAATGGGAAAAATCGTTATTGCATGACCCATTAATAACTGGATGGTAGGAGGAAGTAGCACCCAATGTACTACATTCTTTTGATACCAACTATCTCATCTTGGTGTTTGCAATGCAACAGGCTTGGTCCTCCAAATGGTTTCAGGGCTTTATTATATTCTGCCCAAGAGGATTTTCTTTGCCTAACTCAAGAAACAGGGCAAAAGATCAGAGAGAGAACGGCTATTGCAATGGTGAATAAATAAGGCTGTAATCTGACCACTCTTCCCACGCAGTGCTGCAAGCCTTGTGACTCATTTTTACAGCTTTGCCCTGACTGCTAGATCAGGGGCCCTGTCATTTCTTGGACATTCACTGGGTATAGTGCAACAGCATGGAGGATGACAAGCAGGTCCCCTCTGATGCCTGCAGATCTGTTTGAATCCTGGATTCTCTATCCCTTAGTGATCTCCTGTGCAAGCACCTTACCTGTCTCACTCAACTGTTTTAAGAATGGGAAATGATGTATTTAAAGAGTCTAGCATAATATCTACATAGAATAGGCACTTAATATATTTTTATTATTACTCCTCTTACTACCAAACTGAATTCAAAACAAAAGGGATGATAATCCATTTCTATCCTGTGAGGGACAAACAGCCCCTAGTGTTAGGCTCTGTTCTGAACACCATGATAACAAGGATCTAATACACTGGAGGTGTGTCTGGAAAAGATCAAGGAGATGAGAACAGTCAGTGCTGGGTGATGTCATGCTTGGCTGACACAAGGATGCTTAGTTGGACATTGACAAGAGAAGATACCTTTTTGCAAAGAATAGTAATAAAAGTAACAACAACAATTAATATTAATTACTGGTCGTTATATGCCCAACCTTGTTCTAATTTCATTGCACGCGATAAATTTGTTAATCCTCACAACAATTATTTAAGGTATATTGTCCCCATTTTAGAGATGAGAAACTGGGTCATAGGAAGGTTAACTAACTGATATATTTGGGAAATGGGATTTGAAGCTGGGGCATCCAGCTTCTGTGTCCGTGCTCTGCCCCACTGTGTCATACCCACCTCCCTTATCTAACGAGGCTGCCCTGGGGAAGGGAAATTAAACATGCTCCATTACCGAAGGAGGGCAAAATAGGTTCTATAGAAGAAACTTCAAGGAGAGAGATCTCTATATAAGAAAGGTTATCAGCAGTGATTCAAAGATTGGCTACCATTGGAGTTAGCAAGTCTTCTTTACTAGAAGTGTTTAAGTAGTTGTTGGCCATCTGGGCTGGAAAAGTTTTGAGAGGATTCTAGCATCTGGAAAATGGTTACAGTAAAGAAACTCTAAGTCTCCTTGCAACTTTAAGATTCTCCTGTGCCTAGCCTAACTGGCATTTTAAATAAGAATTTGAATGAATAACTGAATTCAATGAATCCATGAACATATCAGATCAGAGATTCACCTGATATGTGCAGAGCAATGATGACCTTTTCTTCCAGAAGCCTACAATGCTTAGTGACTTTAGATATGTCCATCAACAGAAAAGGTTATCCTTATATTGTAATTTTATATTTGACTATTTTCTTTGGTATAATTGGATGTAAAAATCTTTGCCCACAAGAGATAATGCCTACCTACTATAAAGTAGAGCACATATTAGAAGCCCTAATGAATGATGATGTCCATAGAAATATGATTCAGTTCCAGGTGAATATCCTAGATGCTGCCAAGGTGTCCCAGGTCAGAGATCTATCCTGAACCAGTCATTCATTCATTTACCAAGCACTGATTTTATTTAACTTAACCCTTACTATGTGCCAACTCTTGCACCAAGAAGAATGAGGAAGACCCTATTATCAAGGGAGGGCATTTGCCACGCAATGTAATAGATAAACATGGGGTAGAGAAAGCATGGGTGATGCCTCAGGGACTAGATAAACTAAGCCTTGTGGGGCAGGGAAGTTTCGAGGAGAACTCCAAGCTGAAGAAACTGGATATTCAAGGACCTAGAGGCAGGTAGAGGGCCAGGCACACAAGAGGCCCTTGATAAATAGTTTATTCACTGAATACAATGGACCTGTGGGCTGCATCACATAGACCAGTGGTTCTCAAAATATGGTCCCCAGACCAACAGCTTCAGCATCATCTGGGACCTCGTTAGAAATGCAAATGCTCAGGCCCAACCCCAGATCTGACTTAGAAACTCTGGAGATGAGGCCCAGCACTCTGTATTTTAACAAGTCCTCCAAGGGATTCTGATGCATGTTCAAGTTCCTTGCCCCACCCCTAAACCAGGCACTCAAGTCGAATTAAGCCAAATAAATCTTCCCCCAAAATACACACACATACACATACACCCCAAATGACATGCTTAGTTCATAGTGGTAGAGTATTATTTCTTAGAAAAGGGAAAGCTCTTCTGCAGGTAGATTATGCACAGCATTCTCCCAGTTTCAGAAAGGCAGATGGTCCAAGGGGTTAGAATCTAGAACAATAACACATAAGAGGCTGGTAACCTGCTAGCTCTGGCAGGCAGCCCATACACCCTCTCTGTTGATGGGAACAACATCAAGAATTCCCTTTTGTTCTCATAGGAGTGAATGGAAATCTGCCACTGATTTCCCTGGGACATTCCAAAGTGGGGATGCAGGTCTGCTTAATGGGTCTCCAAGGACAGCCCTGAGAATGGGGCTGTGTGTCTCTAAACAAACCAAGGAAATAGAAAGTGAAAACAAACATGGACATTTATTTTCCTAACTTGCCAATTGCAAACAGAATTTTGTTTAATAAACCATGAAATGATTCACAGAGGTCTGTGTATTATTCTGAAGTACAGCTGGCTAATGTAAAAGAATCTTTTTTTCTTAGTCTTTCAGGCCATATATACAATTCCCAGGCATGCCAATTTGTATTTATTTATTGGTAAGGCCTGAATCTGCTTTCTGAGTAGGTGATTGGGAATCTCATTGTCGATTGGGCATTGTAAACAAGAACCTGCAGCGGGGAATGAGCCTATATAAATCTCAGACACATCCTCTCAGCTCCACAGCCCCCACTCCAGCCCAGGTCTTCATCCCCACCAATAGGTAACTTCAATCATCTCCAAAATAGTCTTCCCAGATAATGCCACTACTTCTTTCCAGTTTTACTTCTATGTTCAGCCAGAGTGAATTTTTTAATGCATATCTGATTATGTCAACCACTTGCTTACGATAATACCTTCAAAAAGTTCCCAGTGTAATTATAATATATGCTTCTTACTATGGCCATCTGTCTGGCATGTGGCCCTTTCTACCTCTCATCTGTCTTTCACAGTGTGGCTCATTTCACTCCAGTCATACCCTTCCTCCTGGTTTTCAATTCATGGAAATTGCTTTCTTTTTCTCTGCCTCAGGGCCTTTGTACTGGCTGTTGACTCTGCTGTAAGTGCTCTCACTTTTTCTCTTCACTCAGCTATGTTAGATGCATGCTTGTGGTCTTTCCTATCTGAGTTAACACTTCCTCAGGGAGCTCTTTACCTCAACTCCACCAGACCCCAAAGACTGGCTCACGTTCTTCTGTTATATACTTGGAACATTTCTTGGATGACTTCCACATAAGCATTATCAAAATTGTAAGAAAATAATTGTTAACTTGCCTGCATAATATCTTCTTTCCTGGTAGAATACAAGTTTCTTAAGAGCAAGGACAATGACTGTTCTGTTCACTACTACATTCCCAGCACCTGGTTCAGTATGTAGCATAGAGTGCATTTCCATCAATATCCTCTGAATGACCCAGTGAATAAATCAAGTCTTTATAAGGATTTGGGATTTCTAGAGCAGTTTAAAGGAAGTGAGAGAGACATGTTAGATCTGGGGTGAAGACCATTTCAAGGATAGGAAATCATTTTGGAAAAAGTCAAATTCAGACAAATTTTTAGGTAGGGGACTTTGAAACAGAAACCACAGAATAAAAACTTGTCATTTATGGGTTTTCATACATAAGGCTCTACTGTTGCTATAGCCCATGAGTCATTTTCCAAATGGAAGGGAAAGGCAGATAACCCTAGCACTGTAATACAGAATGCTTCTTTTTACTTCAAGTTGGATACATTGTTAACTGTACTACAGGGCTATAGTAACCCACACAGCATGGTACCAGTACAAAAACAGGCACATAGATTAATGGAACAGAATAGAGAGCCCAGAAATAAGGCAGCACACCTACAAACATCTAATCTTTGACAAAGCTGATGAATGCAAGCAATGGAGAAAGGACTCCCTGTTCAATAAATGGTGCTAGGGTAACTGGCTAGCCATATGCAGAATATTGAAACAGGACCCCTTCCCTATACCATCTAAAAAAATCAACTCAAGATGGATTAAAGACCTTAACGTAAAACCCAAATCTATAAAAACCCAGGGAGACATCCTAGGCAATACCATCCTGGACATAGGAAAGGGTAAAGATTTTATGACAAGGACACCAAAAGCACTCACAACGAAACCAAAAATTGACAAGTGGGATCTAATTAAAGAGCTTCTGCATAGCAAAAGAAACTATCAGAGTAAACAGACAGCCTACAGAATGGGAGAAAACACTTTCAAACTGTGCATCTGCCAACGGTCTAATATCCAGGACTATAAGGAACTTAAATTTACAAAAAAAAAAAAAAAGCGATTAAAAAGTGGGCATAGGACTTGAACAGACACTTTTCAAAAGAAGATATAGATGCAGCCAACAATCTTATGAAAAAAATCTCTATCACTTGATCATTAGAGAAATGCAAATCAAAACCACAATGAGACCATCTCACATCAGCCAGAATGGCTATTAATAAAAAGTCAAAAAGTAACAGATGGGGAGAGGCGATGAAGAAAAGGGAACGCTTATGCACTGTTGATGGGGGTGTAAATTAGTTCAACCATTGTGGAAAGCAAGGTGGTGATTCCTCAAAGAGCTGAAAACAGAACTAACATTCAAACCAGTAATCCCATTACTGGGAATATACCTAAAGGAATATAAATCATTCTATCTTAAAGATGTATGTGAGTGTTCATTGCAACACTATTTACAATAGCAAAGACACGGAATCAACCTAAATGCCCATCAATGGTAGATTGGATAAAGAAAATGTGGCACATATACACCATGGAACACTAAACAGCCATAAAAATAATAAGATCATGTCCTTTGCAGAAACATGGATGGAGTTGGAGGCCATTATCTTAAGCAAACTAATGCAGGAACAGAAAACCAAATACTGCATGTTCTCACTTACAAGTGTGAGCTAAACAATGAGACACATAGAGGGAAACAATAGACACTGGGGCTTACCTGAGGGTGGAGGGTGGTAAGAAGATGAAAAGAAAAAATAACTATTGGGTACTAGGTTTAGTAACTGGGCAATGAAATAATCTGTACAACAAACCCCTGTGACATGAGTTTACCTATGTAATGAACGTGCACATGTACCCTAGAACCTAAAAGTTAAAAAAAAAAACCTTTATGGTTTATTAAATTATTTCTTTTCAGAGTTCAGAAGCAAGAGCAATTTCCTCTTGCCATTAGCATCTAAAGGCCTTGATTCCCATAACATTGGCTTTCTAGAAATATTCCCCATAGACAAACCCAAAAATGGAGACTCTAAGGACCCAGAAAGCTGGATTTGGGGTTAAGGAGTAGGCAATTAATACAATTTATAAAGTGGTTTCTCTTAGGTCTTTTTCAGTGTTTTATCGGGAAGAGTCAGCTGTCTTAGCTATTATTGCAGAGTTGTGCTGACCAGGAGAAATATATAAAGGAAGTCCTCTACTTTCAAATAAAGTTAGTGTCTTGAGCTAAACAAAGTGTCAAGACCACATCTTCTCTCAACACACATGCACACACGTGTGCACACACACACGGAGTACATTGGACCCTGTGTTGCCTGGGACACCAAGACAGCTTCTATCCCACATTCACTGATCACAACATGCCAACATCACACGGTTAGATCTCGGCTTGACTTGCAGATATTCTGAATCCCCTAAGGGATGCCAGGAAGACCTCCTTTTTTTTTTTTCCTCTCCTCCCAAATATTTGCTACTAATGCCTCGGCTGTCTGAAACTACAATCATATCAAATGAAGTATAAACTAGCCTGCATATGTTCCTAGCAGAGAGCCTAGTATATAGTGGTCATTCAGTAAATGGTAGAAAGAGCACTAGGGCAGTGGTTTTCAACCTTGGCTGTACTTTAGAATCAATGAGGAAGCTTTTCTAAAATACAGATGTCTGGACCCCCTCCGAGATTCTGATTTAATTGTTCTGTAGTGGGGCCTATGCATCAGCATTTTTAGTTTCACCCCAGGTGATCTTTCAAGCAGACAGCACTAGGAGCCACTGTCATTCAGACATGAAGTGGAGTGGTTGAACACATCGTTTCCTACAGCTGACTTGAAGGGCACACTTTGCTTAGGATTGGGCCCATAGCCTCCATAGTTTAAGGGAGGAAAGAGTTCCTCTAATGACCAAGGCCCGAGAGAAAACTAAGACCTCTTCCTGGGTATAAATCAAGACTTCTGCCCTTTCCCTCTACCCTGTCCATGGCTTCCCTGTTTATGACCCAAGGAGAACCAAAATGGTAAAATTATATAAATTATAAAGAGCTCTTTTGTCAAGGTAAATGGCTAAAATTACCCTTAGCAGTTTTAACTTTGAAAAACAGATATAATAGCATCCTTGAAGGGAAAAATCTTCTTTTCTCTTAACTTTTATTCACCTTCATTTAATTTTTAAATATGTAGTAAACATGATTGTAGGGCTTCTCATTAACTGGGGTATCTTACAGTCATAATTTTTGATACACAACATTACTTACCAATTAGCCTGTCTTGTTCGTTTAAATTTCTTTGCTCATATTTTAATGGGAGCTAATGATGCCTTTGTTGACTTATTTAATGTTATGTAAATGTGGCTATAAACTGTGAAGGGTTTAAGCAGAAGCACTATTTTTGCTTACTCTTCAGATTTTGGAGTGTGTAGAATCCCCAGGAAACACACATATCAACACAATGGGTGTAAGCTACTGACGAGACCAAATAACAATAATTTCTAAACCAAGCGGTGAAGGATATTTAGAATATGAAGTTTTTATTTTCCTCTGGGTTAATTGTTTATTTGAGTTTCAAAGGAGTTTCAGAGTTAGCTTCACAGAAGTTGTTTTTCTTTTTCTACTCCCATAATTACCCAGCAATAGGCCAGCCTAAGACCATCTTCTAAGCTCAGCTAGGGACAGCTGGGCTTAGCAGTGCCTCTCCTGTTGGGTTTCATGATCCTTGTTCTTAACAGGGTTCTATTCTCTTTCATGGCTGACAGATGTATAATTGAATGAATGAATGAGTTAATTAATTAATGAAAACTTTATAATTTCAATGGGTACATAGCTGTTCCTTCTAAGACACTGGCTTCTCAATAATGTCACCTCTGCTCTTCCAACGACCTTGTCCACTTCTCCAGCTCAGCCACTCACTCCCTTGCCATACCTTGGACCTCATTATCAGCAAAAATCAAACACCATTTTATTTTGGTTTTGTGCACCTCCCTTTCTGCTTATCTCCTGATATTCCAACTTCCCCAAGTGCCCCAACTTCAATCATCTTCACCTCCACCAGGAACTCCAATCCATTGATCCTAAATTAAACTTTTCTCTGTCCCTTAACCACTTAAATCCCATCTTTCCTCCCTACCTCACTTCAATTCTTTGGTAAATTATAATAATCACTTAATGATGTATATCCTTGAATCCCTTGCTGCTGTTATCAGGTAAAACCACAACCTTGGTTAAATCCAATTTTCTTTCTCCTTTATACTCGCACCATTCAACTGAATGTTGGTGGAGAAAATGGTCTCCCGTGCTGAATGGACTGACTTTGGAATTATGACCACAAATGTCACATGGCTCTTGGTGCTTCCAGGCAAATACGCTAAACTTCTAGACTATTCTGCTCTCTGTGGCCACTTGTGATAGGTTTGAACTGTGTCGCCCACCAAAATCCATATATTGAAGTCCTTAACCCCAATACCTCAGAATATGACCTTATTTGGGAATAGGGTCCTCGCAGTTGTAATTAATTAAATTAAGGTCAGCAGGGTGAGCCTTAATCTATGACAGCTGGTGTCCTTATAAAAAGGGGAAATTCAGACATGAAGACACACACACCGAGAACACCATGTGAAGATGAAGACAGATAGAGGTGGTGCTTCTACAAGCCAAGGAACACCAAAGGTTGCCAGCAAGCCACCAGCAACTGGGGGAGAGGTCTGGAAAAGATTCTTCCTCACAGCTCCCAGAAGGAACCAGTACTGCCAACCTCTTGATATCAGACTTCTAGATTCCAAGACTGTGAGACAATAAATTTTGGTTAAGCCACCCAGTTTGTGGTATTTTGCTATGCAAACAAATATATTACTCTATCATACCTTCTCTAGTTCCAACCCTCAACATCCCTTCTCCAGCTTCACTCTCAGCTGTTGATCCTGCTTCTTCATCCTTCACTGAGAAAAATAGAAACAAGCAGAAGCCCCTAGCCCTACCTCAACCCAGCTACACAGGCACATGGACTAACTGCCCTCCTTTCTACTGAAAGCCTATCAGGACCATGAGATGCCATCCCCACTCCCTCCTCCGATAACCCCAGCTATTCTCTCCTCTTCCTCTTTATCAGTTTCCCCCTCTCTACTGGATTATTCTGATGGAAATAAAAACATTCTGTTATTTCTCCCATTTTCTTATAAGGAAAGACATTTTTCCAGAAAATATTGAATCTTCACTTAACTTGCCCACCAATACTGTCTCATTTTCTTGCTCCTCTTCACATCAAGGGTCCTTGAAGAATTACTTTTTCCTTTTTTTTTTTTTTTTTTTTTTGAGATGGAGTCTTGCTCTGTTACCCAGGCTGGAATGCAGTGGCACGATCTTGGCTCACTGCAATCTCTGCCTCCTGGGCTCACGCCATTCTCCTGCTTCAGCCTCCCGAGTAGCTGGGACTACAGGCGCCTGCCACCACGCCCAGCTAATTTTTTGTTGTTGTTGTTTTTGTACTTTTAGTAGAGATGGGGTTTCACCGTGTTAGCCAGGATTGTCTCTATCTCCTGACCTCATGATCCGCCCACCTCGGCCTCCCAAAGTGCTGGGATTACAGGTGTGAGCCACCACACCCGGCCGAAGAGTTACTTCTCTTCACTGTCCTTAATTCCTTTCTTTTCCCTCTCACAAACCTACCCCAGTCAAGCTATCTCCCTTACAAGCCCACAGACATTTCTTTTTCTGGGTCACCAGTGACTTCCATGCTAAATCCAAAGTTCAATTCTTAGTACTCATCTTCCTTGACTTATTGGCAGTATCTGACACAGTTGATCAAACCTTTCATCCTAAAAACAATCTCTTCACTCAGCTTCTAGGAAACAGGAGACACCAGTGTTCCTTCTCAGTCTCTTTTGCTGATTCTTCTACTTCTCCCTGATTTCTCTCTGATGGGTTCCCCAGGGATCAGTCTTTGTTTTCATCCTGTCTCCAATCAGGCTTAGTCTCTTATATCCCTGGTACAGTGCACAGTGCTCTCTTCCCAACATCAGACACCAACATGAGGCTGCTTACCTGACATCTCCATTTGAATGAATGTCTGATATTCTAAACTCAATACATCTAAAATTAAATTGTTGATCCTCCTCTTCAAATCACTTCTACCTGTGGCTTTCTCCATCTTAGATGATTGCAATGATACCCTCTCCTTTGCTCAGGCCAAAAACCTGGGAGTCATCCTTGACGTTACTTTTTCTCTCATCTCCCATTGTCCAATCTATCAAGAAATCCTGTTGGCTTCACCTTCACAGCAGATCCAGAATCTAACCATTTATCACCACTTGCGTGCCTAGTACTCTAGTTTGAACTTGCTGTCATCTCTTGCCTGAATTACTGCAACAGCCTATGTCTATTCTTAACACAGAAGCCAAAGTGATCCTTTTAAAATATGTCGGGTCACGTCACTTCGTTCAGAATCCAGCAACAGTTCTTCATTTCATGCAGAGAAGAAATCAAAGCTCTTTCAGTGGCCTGCAAGGCTTTCCTGACCTGGCCCTCCCTTTGCTTTGCCTCTCTGACTTCCCCTACACACCCCTGCTCATTCTTCTCCAGCCACACTCTTCTTCACAGTGGTTCCTTACCATGTCTGCACACTCCCACCTCAGGACCTTTGTACTAACTGTCCCCTCTACTGGGAAGCCCTTCTCCAAGGATCTTCATAGCAAATTCCTTTATTGTCTTCAAGTCTTTGCTCAAATTTTCTCTTGCCATTGAAACCTGTGCCAACCCCCCTGTTGAATATTGCAACGCACCCCCACAACACTCCTGATCATCCTTAGTATTCACTTCCTCGCCTGTTTTCCACACTATTTATTAACTTCTTTTACGAGATGGTTTTGCCTGCTAGGATGAGCATAACGAAATACCAGACCAGGCAGCTTAAATAACAGAAATGTGTTTTCTTGCTGTGCTGGAGGCTGGAAGTCTAAGATGAAGGTTTCTTCCGAAGTTTTTCTTTCCTGGAGTGCAGATGGCTGCCTTCTTGCTGTGTCTTCACATGTTCTTTTTTCTGCACTCTTGCTCCTGGTGTCCTGTGTCCAAATTTCCTCTTATAAGGACATCAGTCAGATTGGATTAAAGCCCACCCCAATGTATCTCCAAATACAGTCACATTCTACATTACTGGGGGTTAGGGACTCAATATATGAATGGGGTGGGAGGGGGCCACATTTCAGCCCATAACACTAGATCTCTTATTACATTAATTACACTGTCTCAACCATCTAGTCCAAAACTCCCACAGGAAAGTAAGCTCATGACCACAAGAATGTGATCTGTCTTCTTCTCTGCTGAGGCCTCTGTGTAAGGAGCAGTATCTGATATAAGGTAAGCTCTTAATATATATTGAATAAATGAATGGATAGTTGCAAGTCCAGGTTATTGAGAGGAGCAATAAAAAGAGGCTATGTGGGTCACTAGGATTTAGACAATCCAGGCTATAATTCTAGCTACAACACCCTCAGCAAGTAGCTTATTCTTGCAGAGTATCACCTTCCCCATCTGGAAGAATGAGTGTTCTTGCTGACCCATCGCACTAGAATAGGTGGTTTTAAGGTTTAAATGTAATAATGTACATGCATGAGCTTCAGAGTCCTGGATTCTCATTCAGATAACAGAAATAACAGAATCATTGTGTTCACCTTGCAGCAAATAATAATAATGACTGCTATCTTCTATAATATTAAGTCCTCACTGCGTGGCAAGCACTGTATTAAGTGGTTGACATTCACTACTTAATTTAATCCTCATAGACATCTGTGAGGAAGTTACTACCTTCTCCATTTTTCTAACCAAGAGAACTGGATAGTAGCCATTGAACATTAAAAATATATATTTGCTCTATAATATGTGGCAGAAATTTGACCTTTAGCACTCAAAGAAGCATGTGTTTGTAGGTGTGTGTATATACAGGTTAGTAACAGAAGTCTATCCTTTAGATGATTAACTAGTAAAAATCAAAGATCTATAGGATGATGCTGTTTCTCATGACACTGTACTCTGTGAGGTATTGTAGTGTCCAAGGCATTTCAGAAATGGCAAAATCCCCTTTACTTTTTTAAGCTTTAAGGAAGGCAGTCACTAAACCCAGTGAACTTAGAAGCAGAGCATTCTTCTCTGCCCTTGGTAAATAACCTACTGGTTTTCTTAAGTATATATTTCTTATTTCTAAATGCCCCATTCTTTTTTGTTTTTCTAGCATTGTAGCAATTGCTAACGCTGTACCAAGGGGGATTATTGCTAAACCTTGTCAGTGCAAGAACCAGAGTAATTTGTGTACAGTACAGTTAAAATTACACCATTACACTTGAAGCTAACATTATCCTAATGAGTTGAAATGGAGGGAAGGAGCTTGCTTAGAAAAGAATGTAAGTGACTTAGCACTGGTTTCTCACTTCCAGTAATAACGTTCTTCAGAACTGTGTTTTGAACACATTATTATAGATTTAAATATTTTAATATTCATTTATTCTAATTTCCCTCTTGATAGGTACCATCTCTGTGCTCGCATTTCATCAACTCTGACTGGTGACACCACTCTATTTAATATCTTCCTTGGCCAAATTTCTTGTGAAGTGAGAACTAGATTTTAGCTGCTTATGGAGGTTTCAACAACTCCTTTGTGGTTCAGCATTTAAAACTCCGATTCTAATCTAAAATCCTTTAACAAGGAATTATTCAACCAAGGCTTATATATAGGTATATTGGGATAAAATCTATTGGAGATATTGTCAATATTTGCCCTAAATTACAACCTAGCTCCATTTTCAGTAGTGTTTTGGAATTGAAATAGAGATCTTTTATTCTTCTCAAGTGTGTCAATTTGAAGTATATTCCAGGCAGTCAGTAACTTCTCTACGCTGAAGAAGCCAGCCCAGACAGGGGAAATATAACTACCTATGCTGGATACTTTGAGTGCCGTAAGAGAGACTCGTTTGCTTCAAAATACCTGCTCAGTGGCCACCATGATTCTTGAATTCCCATCATCACTGCCATTCGTCTGGAATCAAGTTGCCTCTGGTGTGTCCCTGTGCAATGCTGATGTTATCTGGGAAGAATAACTGACATCTCTTAGATATATTAGCAGGTATCAGTTGTGGAGGAAATGGGACACAGGAAAAGCAAGTTTTGATGAAGAAAGAAATGTAAGAAAATCCCAAGCCCAGATGGTTTTGGGAGAAGGATAGGATCATGTAGATGGTCCCAAAGGGACAGAGGTACTGGTTAAAAACACTAGATTCCTGGGCATGAAGCATTACTGGTGGACACTGGTGGGAGAGAAAGGGAGGAGAGAGAAATTGACGCCCAATTTTGATTGTGCCATAATTTTACAAACGGCAAGCCTTCCTTACACACCCCTCTTACTCAAAAACTTATTCCTTCGTCCCAGATCTACACTTGACTGCCTTTTTCTCAACATTTGGGTCTTAGCTCAAATATCAGCCTTTCACATAGTCCCTCCCACACCATCCAATCTAAAATGGCAGGCCCATGTGTTTCTGTCAATTCAGGCTGCCACAACAAAATGTCACAGACTGGATAGCTTAAACAACAGAAATGAGTTTTCTCACAGATCAGGAGTCTGAAAGCCTGAGATCAGGGTGCTAGCATAGTCAGGTTCTGGTGGGAACCCTCTCTTTTCCTTCTTTGCAAATGGCCATGGCAGTATCTTCAAATGATGGAGAGAGAAAGCAAGTTCTGTCTTTTCTTATAAGGTCACTAGTCCCATGGTAAGGGCCCCACCCTCATGACCTCATCTAAATCTCATTACCTCCCAAAGGCCCCACCTCCAAATGCCATCACGTTGTGGGTTAGGGCTTCAACATGTGAATTTGTGGAGCACACAATTCAGTTCATAGCATCATGTTTTATTGCACTCTACTCAGCTTCAGTTTCTTCATAGAACTTATTTTAACTGGAGAGAATCTTGTTTTGTTGATTTGTCTGACTTCTTCTCCAATCAGAACATAAGCTACATGAGAACTTAAGCTTAATCTATCTTCTTCACTGCTATAAGACTCCTTGAACAACACCCAACAGAGAAGGCACTTTATAAATGTATGTAGGATGAATACACAAATGCTAACTATTTTCAGTCCCTCTTGAGCAATTAAGTTGGAGATTATAGAAGCTGATATCAGAATTGTTCTACTTTACACTGTGGTCTATGGACAGCCTGTCACAAGTCCCTACTTAACTCAATATTGTTTACCCATGCATTTATTCACTCAAAATCTGTTAAACTTCTACTGTATGCCAGGCAATGTGCCAGACTTACAGGTTTAGGTAAGAATAAAAGACACACAGAGAACTCTCAGGCAGATGAAAATGTGCTCTAGAAATAGCACAACAAAATGCTATGGTAGCACAAAGGAGAAGGCAGCCAACTGTCTCCAGGTGAGTTATGCAAGTGTGCATTCCAGGCAGAGGGAACAGTATGTGCAAAGGCCTTCAAAGTTGAGGTCATGTTCAGAGACTTCCCAGCAACTTTGTATAAAAAGATGACCCATGCATGGGAAAAGGGAGATAGGGAAGAGAAGGTGGTGAGGCCCAAATAGACAGTGGGTCAAATACCGAAGGCCTAATGTGTTTTGTTAACACATTAACAAAACACTGACCTTTGTTCCCTTGGGCAATAGGGAGCCACTGAAAGTTTGATAGGAAAGAAACATAGTCTGCTTTGCCCAGTTTGTTAAGACAGCAGTCCTTCTGATTCTGAGAGTATAGGTTTTCTCTGCAAATTCTCACATGCCTCCCATTTCTGGTGGTACATCTCCCATGTGTTAGCTGTGTGTCTGGGAGCCTTTGGAATGAGAATGCTTTGATAGCTTCACCCATACTATCTCTACTGACTGAAAATAACAGCATCCAATTCAAGAATACATTTGAGGCTATGGCATGACAATAAAATGAAAATCTGTGCTAAAAGGACACGCAGCAATAGTTAGAAGAGACATCCTGGATGGTTTTCATGATTTACGATGCTCTTCACCTTTCAATTCAGAGGTGGGTTTGAGAACACATGGGGACTATGGCCACCCCACACCACACAAATGTACACATGTGCATCAGTGACCCTTTATTCTCTGAATCCCAGGTCTAGCACCAGAAAGCCATGTGACTGTGGACAAGTCCTTTGAGAATTGCTTTTCTCATTTCTACTGTGAGTAGTAAAAATTTGTGTCATAAGATGGGGGTAATGAGAGTTAAATGTGCCAATGATTGTTGAGCACTTAATGCAGAGCCTGCATAAGACAAGTGTTCAATATATAATGACTAGTTGTCGTGTTATTGTGGCTGTTTTGGTCACAATGACAATTATACATTCCTCTCTCTTTTTTATCCCCCCAAACTCACTTATCTTTTATCATCTTTAAAATGTGGATGATGATACTTCTAAATTTCCTTTGAATATTAAAGAACGTTTATGTAGCACTATTCTTGGTCTACAGTAGGTGTTCAATAAATGTAGTTTCTTCTTTGTCCCTGTGGATCTTTTAGGGACATGAATATATATCAAAAACAACTGTACCTTTCTAACGAGATGGAGAAGCCAACAAAAATAACAAAATAAGTAAAGGTCAAGCTTTGTTAATGATAAATTGCAAGAAACATGTATTTCTTGATCTTTCTCTTCCTCTTTTATCTTGAAGCCACAAATTGTCATACTAATAATGAGGCTGTTTATTACTTAACAAAATTTCAATAATAATAATAGAAAATTATACTTCACTTAATTCACTTTTAGTTCTGTTTTGACATGTTTTCATGGATCTTTGCATTAAAGTACTATGGTCTTTAGCTAGAAAATGAACCAGCCAGTGACCAGAATGATCTCCTTGAATTCCTTTGTGATCTTAGGCGTATCTATCATTTCTTCCCTTACTCAGCCCTTCCCCACTCCCCAGCAAGATCTAAAATTTAAGGGCAGGTTATAGAAGTAGCAGAAATATTGAGTATAAAAATTCCTCTGAACAATTATTCTACACAACCATATGTTGGACAAGAACTCAAATAGCATCTGATCACTACTCACATTTGGAAAATGAGTTTGTCATTGTGCCTCTGTCAGAGAGATAGGGGTGTGAGAAGGGAGGCAGAAAAATTAGACTTATGAGGGAGAGGAAAGGAGAGGCAGCTTTTGAGTTCAGTGATTTTCTATTCTCTAGAGCCTCATAACCAAGGGAGTACTCGTGATCACTAAACCTTACTCATTTATTTTCCCTATTCCAAGATCAGATGGCCTTCCCAAGTCCTTCTAACTTGATTGATACATGAGCCAGAAACTTGAATCCAGTACGCCCTACCTCCAGTCATAGGATGCTACTCTTGCTTTTCATGGAAGATGTGAATCCAGCTCTATGACCCCCTAAGGTTATAAGTTAAATCAAATGTGTGCATGCCCATGGGTACTTTCCTGGGGTGCAAGTCAATCTTTTACTTCATATTCTTTGAGAAGTATATGACTCCAAGAAAACAGTTTTTTCTAGAATGGGAAGTATGGTTCCATTTCCAACTAGAATGTTTTGAACCCTATACCACTATGTTGAGATGTCATTTTTACTTATTTAGATTTTGCTTTTTGTTTAATTAAAGGTTGGAATAAGATGACCCTTTAAAACAGTCCCATATCTATTATATTACAAAAAAATTATAGCATTCGCTAAGTATGAATTAAATGTTTAAATTTTGTTAGTTGTAAAAAAAAAAAAAGTATATGACTCCAAAATATCAAGAACTCTAATTTCCTACATATTTCCATTGAGAGATCTTTCACTCACAAAATTTTAACCATTATCCTTAGATTCATTCTGATATTTACAAGGTGTCTCTATCTGCACCTCAAACTCAATGAAGCATCTTCTCCATCCTATACCAAGTGTTCCTTATCCCATATAGTATCTCTTAGTTCAGGTTCCACATTTGTCCATCCTTTCTCTGCCATCTCCCTCATTGCAACATCTGGCCAACCACAAAGTCCTAGCAATTCTTTATCAGAAAATTTCCCTGAGGTAGTCTTTTTCTCTCTGCCCTAAAAACCATTTCCCCAGTGCAGGCCTTTAGCGCTTCTCACCCTACTGCTTCTACTTCTGCCTTAAATATGTCTCCCTTGCTGCAGCCAGAGTTTACCATCCAAAACACAGCCTGCTCAAACCACTACCCAGTGCACACAGTTTCCCACAGCTTCATGGAAAAGACATATTTCCCAGATAGGCAAATAAGACCATCTGTGGTCCAGCCACCCTGATAACCTCTTCAGTCCCATTCTAACCCTGTCTCCCTAGTCATGTATCAAACCCCAGTCAAACTGCACAACTCGCAGTGACCCTTACATACCTCCCTGCTTTGTGCCTTTGGAAATCCTGTTCTTCATCCTTAGAATGCTTGACATGATATTCTTCCTTCTATAGTCGGAGCCTTCATATCTTCCCAAGGGCTTCCCCTAACTCCTCCCCTACCACCTTCCTCACTCACACTCTGCCCAGATGAACCATGCACCTTTGTCTGTGCTGCCAGAGCCCTATTGTGTATTACTATTACCGAGACCAAACCTAGTACTATATAAGGTTACCTGTTGGCTTCTTATGAGACTGTAAGCTCTTAAAGGTCTCAACCACCTTGCAGTCCAGTGCTGATCACGTGGTCTGCTCCTCAACTGATATTAACAGTGCCTACTGAACTGAAGACAGTTAAAGAAGATAACTATACTTGTAAGCAATCCTTGTATTTCTATATTTGGCAGTGCAAAAAAGCAACTAAAAATATTGCTGTCTTATAACTTTATTTTACTCACACTTAAAATGACCTGCAATTTGCTTTTCTTTTTTCCTGTTCCCTAATTCCTGTATTAATATTTTATATATCAATTTTTTAAAAACTCTTTGAGAACAGCAATCACACACATATGTAAGAATCAACGTGATTCCATGACATTGCTGGAGCCACAGTTTGGTCCATTATACTTTACACTCTCCAAAGGAATCTGCTTCCATGATTGATGACGGTCTTCCAGAAATGATGTTCCAGGTTCATCTTTATATGCCAAATTCTGGAGCCAAAGCAGAATTGGAAATTGGTAGGTGGAGAGTTCCAGTCAGTCAGTGAGATGTACTGTGTGAGATGGCCAAGACTTTAGTCGCACTACATCAAAGACCCACCATAGAAAGGTTCTCAGTAACGTATGAGCTTTTAGAGAGATCAGAAGCCCCGAGATAAAAATACAGTTTTATCAGTAGGACCATTTCACAAGAGCCCGTAGCTCTTATCATATGCTCAAAAGGGTCTCTGATACCCCAAAGCTTATGAAGTATTTAGGGAAGCTCTAGATTCCTTTTCACATGATATCATTCTTGTTTGAGAGTTAATCCTGGGTGGTGGTGGTGGTAAGTGGGTGGAGGAGTTTCTTCAGAAAACAAGTTGTAGCAATCTGTTCTTCATTGACCAACTTACGTATGGCTCATAAGTGAGTAATCAACATAATCTAAATCATCTAAAATAAAATTTTCTTTTGGGCTCAAGAAAATGGTTGTTAGGTTGAAACCAATCAGTAGGAAATGACTTGTGTTTGTTAGTGTTTGAGAGGAGAGACCAGACTCATTGCGCATTAGCATTCCAATTAGTGCCAACATAAACCTCCAGACCTCCAAGTTACAGAGTGTGTTATTGTTTTCATATGAGGGAATCTGGGACCACTTGTTAGTCCTTTCTTCATTGCTCACTTGAAAAATGGAGCTCCATGTGTCCACAGACTCTGGTGACAAAAATAACAAAACAATCCTTCTGGGGATTGAGCACTCAAGAAAGGATATTCTTTCTTAAATTGGTATAGTCCCGGCTATTGTTTTATATGATCATGGAGTTGGAAGAGAGTAAATGGCACAAACATTTATTTGACAGTCTTTTAAGCTAAAAAGGCTTACTCATGGAATTCAGCTCACACAGCAGGGGGCCCTTCCTGCTGTGAAGGAAGCTGCCCTAGGAAGGACACGGTAGTTTAGGCCTTTTGGCATTTTTCTAAGAGTGCCATAAGATATCATTTTCTAGTATACTGTCTCTTATGTGACACCAATTTTTCAGGGTCTCAGAACATGTTATTTCCGTAGGCAGAATCTTTGGATTTCTGGGCTTTAAGAAGAGAAGTGGTAATATAATCTCTTTTTTATATTTAAATTCATGCCAGTGACTCTTTAAACCTTACTATACTGCCTGAAGTGCCAGATCCCTGGGGAAGAAGGCAAAAGTTTGAAATGTTTGTTTGCTGTCACCTTCCTTTGCTAGTGAGTGTCCTGTTGGATTCAGGCTGTTAAGTTCAATAAACAAGAGTTTGAATCCCAACCCTTCCATTTACTAACTGTACGCCATGCAGATTACTTAATCTCCTAAGTCTTAGCTTCATAATTTGTAAACTCAACTAATTACTATATTGCTTCATGGGATTGTGAAGAGGAATTAAATTTAAAAAGACATATTGAATGGCATTGGTCAAAATGGTAGGGTAAAGGCTTCCAAGACTTTTTCTTCCACAAAAGTAATGGAAAAATGGGCAAAACAGGCAAAACTTGTCAGGTTCAATTTTTTAGAAAGGTAGAAATTAAGCAAAGGCTTACGGGAATCCAAAGAGCTCTTAAAAAAAAAAAAAAAAAAAAAAAGACTGCATCTCAGTAAGAACAATGAGCTTTGTGGCACTTTAGGTTGCCCTACTCCCATATCCCACCCATCTACCCAGCTCTGTGGTAGCCTTGAAAACTAACAGCCCACAATGGGCTGGTAGTCACTGAAGGAAGAATAATAGGGTTGTAGCTCTTTCAAAGCCTCATTCCCAGAGAATTATTATTTGCTCTGTCTGGTGATTCTATGGAAGATCCCACTTGGAAGTTTGTCTTTGTTTAACCTGATTGGGTTCTTGGCCATGTGAAAAGTCTTTTACCTGGGGGGCATTTGTCAAAAACAAATAGAAGCAACTGATTAACATCATGACTGCCTGAAGAGTTGAATAAAGTTGGGGCAAACAATAGGCTAACTGAAAAGCTTAAAAGGAAGATCTAGATAATGAGATGTCCATAAGAGCTTTCAAAAGATCTGACATATTCCTGGGAATCTGAAAGCCTATATGCATGCATAGGGCTTTGTAAGTGTTCAGGAAAGATCTAAGAAGACTCTAATTTCTAATCTCAGACTGACCTTGAGGTTCTGTGCAAGTAGAAAGTGAAAACTAAGGCAGAGTTGTCAACTGCTTGCTGAGTGTTGAAGGCATGCTGAACACATACAGAGTTACTTATCTCTATTTAAGAAAATCTGTCTAATTTTTTAGCTTATCACCAGGCTACCTGAGCAGAGACTTCAGTGTTCATGTACAATAAAGAATAGAGACTTCACAGAATTAGTTCAGAAAAGTCATTTAAATAAACAATAATAAACATTAAGCAGGTGAAAGAATATGATTTCCAGAGTTGTTACATTGTATTACTTAAAATGTTTACTTTTCAACCAAAAACTATGAGACATGCAAAGAAATCAGAGAATATGGTCCATTCATAGGAAAAAGGGAATCAATATATATAAACTGTCTCTTAAAAAAAAGCCCAGATATTGTACTTATTAGGCAAGAACTTCTTTTTCTTTTTCTTTTCTTTTTTTTTTTTTTTTTTGCGATAGGGTCTTGCTCTGTCACCCAGGCTGGAATGCAGTGGCATGATCATAACTCACTTTAGCCTCACCTCCTGGGCTCAAGTGATCCTCCCACCTCAGCCCCCCAAGTAGCTGGGACCACAGATGCATGCCACCATGCTGAGCTAATTTTTAAACTATTTACAGAGATGGGATCTTGTCATGTTGCCCAGGCTGGTCTCAAACTCCCAGGCTCAAGCAATCCTACTACCACCTCAGCCTCCTGAAATGCTGAGATTACAGTCATGAGTCAGCATGCCCAACCTTAGACACATTTTAAATCAGCTGTTTCAAATACATTTAAGAAAGAAAGCCACATCTAAATAACTAAAGTATGAAAACAATGTCTTACCAAATAGCATCAGTAAAGAAAAATTATAGTAAAAACACAATATAAATTCTAGAGTTGAAAAACACAATAATCAAAATGAAAATTTTACTAAAGCGCTCAACCACTGATTTGAGCCGGTGAAAGAAAGAATTGGGAAATTTGAACACAGATCAACTCAGATTATCTAGTCTGAAGAACAGAAAGAAAAAATAATAAGCAAAAATAAGTAAAGTGTCAGAAGCCTGAGCGTTACCATCTAGTATACCAACAAATACATAATGGGAATCCCAGAAAGAGAGGAAGCAGAAGAAATATTTAAAGAAATAATGGTCAAAATCTTCTCAATTTGAATGACAAATATTAATGTATACATGC
This sequence comes from Homo sapiens, assembly GCF_000001405.40. Lineage (NCBI taxonomy): Eukaryota > Metazoa > Chordata > Mammalia > Primates > Hominidae > Homo > Homo sapiens. The sequence continues at coordinate 158,661,463 of NC_000005.10, forward strand.
AAGTGGCTCAGCAGACTCCTGCAGGATAAACTCAAAGAGATCCACACCAAGACCAAGACACCATAATCAAACTGTAGAAAGCCCAAGACAATGAGAGAATCTTAAAAGCAGCAAGATAGATATGACTTGTCATGTACAAATAATTCTAAGTAAGATTAATAATAGCTTTCTTGTCAGAAACTTTGGAGGTCAGAAGACAGTGGGATGACATATTCAAAATGCTGAAAGAAAAGAAATGTCAACTAAGAATTATATATCCAGCAAAACTTCTTTCAAAATTGAAGGAGAAATAAAGACATTCCAAGATAAACAAAATCTAGTACAATTCATCACTAGCAGACATACTTTACAAGGGCAGTCCTTCAGGCTAAAATAAAAGAACATTAGACAGTAACCTTTATCCACATGAAGAAATAAAGTTCACTGATAAAGATAATTACATAAGTAAATATAAAAGAAAATATAAGTATATTTTTGTAACTCCTTTTTTTCTTCTATATGACGTAAAAAACAACTCCATCAAGCATAGCTAAAAATTTATATTTACAGATACATAATATATAAACATAAAATTTATATAACAGTAAATGCATAAAGGAGTAGTGCAACAGCTATATAAGAGCAAAGTTTTTATGTAACATTGAAATAAGTTGCTATTAAAACTAGACTGTTATCAGTTAAGATGTTAACTGTAAATCCCAGGGCAACTACTAAGAAAATAACTTTAAAAAATAGTAAACAACAAAGGAATTTAAAAAGATGAATAAGAAAATATCTTTTTAACAGAAAAAAGGCAATAACTGAGGAATGGAATAACCAAAAAAGGCATATAGAAAGCAAACAGCAAAATTTCAGGCATAAATCTTACCAAAAAATACATTGAATATATATTAGTTTATAGCTAAAATGTAAATGAGCTTTAATTAGGAGTAAATGAGGAGGATAGCTATTAAATAAGTTCAGCAACATTGCAATGATACAAGATTAATACACAAAAATCAACTGTATTTCTATTCACTGACAACAGTCTGAAAATAAAATTAAGAAAACAATTTTATTTACAGTAGCATAAAAAAATACTTAGGCATACATTTAATATAAGAGGAACAAGTCTCGTATGCTGAAAACTATTAAACATTGTTAAAAGAAGTTAAAGATCTAAATAGATGGTTATATATGTTCATGTTTTGGAAAAGCAACTATTTTTAAGTTAGCAATAGCACATAAATTGATCAGTTCAATGCAATCATTATTAAAATCTCAGCTACTTTGCAAAAATTGACAAGCTGATCTAAAATTCATGTGGAAATGCAAATAATCCAGAATAGTCAAAACTATCCTGAAGAAGAACAAAGTTGGAGGATTCACATTTCCCAATTTCAAAACTTACTACAAATCAATAGTTACTGAGATCGCAGGGTACCAGTTTAAGGACAGACATGTAGAACAGTGGAATGAAACTTCAAATACCGAAATTAATCCTCACATTCATGGTCAATTGATTTTTGACATGGATAACAAAACAATTTAATGGGGAAATAATAGTCTTTTCAATAAATGAATATGTCCTGAGATATAATCTTTCATATACAAAATAATAAATATGGATTCCTACCTTACACTATATTCAAAAATTACTCATAACAGATCATAGACCTAAAGGTAAGCATTAAAAGTACAAAACTCTTAGAAGAAAACAAAGGTATAAATCTTTTTGACCATAGATTAGGCAATGGTGCCTCATATATGACACTTAAAACACAAGTAACAAAAGAAAACAATAGCTAAATTGGACCTCGTCAAAATTTAAAACTTTTGTACAGATGATTCTTGACTTATAATGAGATTATATCCTGATAAGACTGTCGTAAGTTGAATATATCTTAAATCAAAAATGCCTTTAATGCTTCAATAAACCCACTGTAAAATTGAAAAATTTTAAGTTGAACCATCATATGTTCAGATTCTCCTTAACTTACAATGGGATTACATCTTGATAAATCTACTGAAAGTAAAAAAATTGTAATCAAACCATCATAAGTCAGAGGTTATCTGTACTTCAAAGGAAACTATCAAGAATTTTAAGACAACTCACAGAACTGGAGAAATATTTGCAAATCCTGTATCTGATAATTGCCTACTATTCATAATATTTAAAAAGTTTTTGCAACTCAACAATAAAAAGACAAAATTAGGCAAATAATCTGCATAGGCATTTCTCCAAAGAATAATACAAATCAGCCAGGTGCAGTGGCTCATGCCTGTAGTCCCAGCATTTTGGGAGCCTGAGGCAGGCAGATCTCTTGAGCTCAAGAGTTCAAGACCAGCCTGGGCAAGGTGGCAAAACCCCATCTCTACAAAAAATGCAAAAATTAGCACTGGGTGTGGTGGCGCATTTCTGTAGTCACAGCTATTTGGGAGGCTGAAGTGGGAAGATTACTTCAACCTGGAAGGTCAAGGTTGCAGTGAGCTATGATTGCACCACTGCACCCCAGCCCAGACAACACGGTGAGATCCTGTCTCCAACAACAACAGGAAAGAATATATACAAATTGCCAATAAGCACATAAAAAGATATTCAATATCATTAGCCATTGGGGAAATGCAAATCGAAACCAAAAAAAGTGATCAAAACCAAACCACAGTACAATAACAAAAATGAGATACTGCCTCAATCGCACTAGGATGACTGATCAAAAAGACAATAGCAAGTGTTATTGACGTTAGACAGAATTGGAACTGTCACACATTGATGGTGGGAATGTTAAATGGTGCAGAGTTGGAAAACAATTTGGCAGTTCTCAAAAAAATTAAACATAGAATTATTGCATGACATAGCAACTTCACTCCTAGATTTATACCCAAGAGAATTGAAAACATGTCCACACAAAAACTGGCACACTAATGTTCATAGCAGCATTATTTGTAATAGTCAAAAATGGAAATAATGCAAAAAACCATCAACTGATGAGTAGATTAGCAAAATTTGGCATATCCACGCAATGGAATATTCAGTCATAAAAAGAAACAAAATACTTATACATGGATGAATCTTTAATTTTACTTATGCTAAGTAAAATAATTCAGACATAAAAGGCTGCATATTGGACCATTTCGTTTATATAAAATGTTCAGAATAGTCAAGTTCATAGACAGAAAGTATATTAGTAGTTGCCAGGGGTAAAGAGAGAGGAAGATATGAGGGTCTGCTAATAGATGTGTGTGTATGTGTGATTACACATAAAATTATACATATATATAACATACATATAATTACATAACATGTAATATATGTACATAAATATATATTTACAGGGAAATTTATAATTTTAGATATTTATATTTAGAAAAAATATGTTTGAGACAAATGTTCTAAATTTCTATCCTAGTAAGCTAGAGTAAAGAGCAAATTAAATCCAATGTATATAGAAGGAAGTAAATATTAATGACAAAACCAGAAATCAATGAAATAGTAAACAATTACTATAGAAAATTTTAAAAAGCCAAAAGTTGATTGCTTGAAAAGATTATTGAAATTTATAAAACCCTAGAAAGACTGATCATAAAATAACACAAATTACCAAAACCGCAAATGAAAGAGGAGACATCACTACAGGTTATATAGGCATTAAAATAATAATTTGAAAAATTATTGTATACCAATAAATTTGATGATTTAGATTAAGTGGACAACTTCTTAGAAATACACAAATAATAAAAAAAGACACCAGAGGAAACAGGCAATTGGAATACCCCTATGTCTTTAAAAGACATTGAATTCATGTCTCTCAACCAAAAGCAAAGTAACAACAAAAAACACCTGTTGGTCCAGAGGGTTTATCTGGTGTATTCTAGCAAGTGGTAAATCTTATACAAAATTTTTGGGAAAATAGAGAAAGAAGGATTTTATTTATTTTTGGGAAAATAGAGAATAAAGGAATATTTTCAGCCTTATTTTGTAAGGCTAGCATAACCCTGATATTAAAGCCTTACAAGAGTATTATAAGGAAAGAAAAAGATTATGTCATAAATACAGACAGAAAAATAACACATATCAACAAATAGAATCCAACAATATATAAAATGAGAAATATATCATAATAAAGCAGGGTTTATTACAGGAATGGAAGTTTGATTTAACATTTGAAAAACAATCTGTATAGTTAGCCACAATTACAGAAATAAAGGAGAAGAAACCATAATCGTCTCAATAAATGTATAAAAAGCATTTGATTTGAATTTAGCAATTTAGTCAGACTCTCCTCACCTAAGGTTATATCCTTCTGTAAAGTCTTCAGTCTTCATTCTTTTTAGGGTATCTGGAATAAGGGATTTCATTATGGCTTAGAGACTCTCACATAGTAAGCATAGTGTTCTACATGACCACAGATCCACTTCCTCCAAAATAAGTCAATTACTTTAGTTTCTTAGTCTGTGCACTCAACAAATACACATGGGGATAAACTCTATGAAGAAAATAAAAGAGTGATGAGAGGAGTTAATAACAGGAGAAGGTGTTATTTTGAGAGCAATAGGAATTCACTGAAGACTTTATTATGCAGAATGTTATGATGTGATTTGTATTTTTAAATGTTTACTATGACCACTGGTGGAGAATAAATTGAAGGTGGTGTCAGGGTGGGTGGGTAAGCAAACAATGTAGCAGCAGGAAGACCACTTCGGAGGCTTTTTTGGTTGTCCAAGCAAGAGGTGATGGTGACTTGAATTAGAATTGTGCCAGTGAAATACAAAAAGGGTGGGCTGCTCCAAGATTTAGTTTCTAAGAAACAATAGATACTGGTGATAAATTGGAGTGGATTAGAAAATAAATGGAGAAATCAACAATGACTTTGGTTTCAGCTTGACTCATAATGCCATTTGCTGTGATTGGGATGACTGAGGAGCCAATTGGCAGGGGGAGGGGGCCATGCATTTTAATTTCTTAGGACATGTTACTTTTTTTTTTAAATTTAAAGCTTCTGTTTACTAAAAGACACATTAAAAGAAAATTAATAGACAAGCCATAGACTGGAGGTAATATTTATGAAACATATGTCTGACAGAGGACTTGAATCCAAAATATACAAAGAACTCCTACAACTCAGTAACAAACAAAACAAACTATTGTAATTTTAAATAAGCAAAAATTCTTAATCTGTAATAATTCTCTGCTTCACTGATTCAAATAGTTTCAATTTAGTAGAGTAAATAGCTTTTTTTTAATTTTTTTTATTATTATTATACTTTAAGTTCTAGGGTACATGTGCACAACATGGAGATTTCTTACATATGTATACATGTGCCGTGTTGGTGTGCTGCACCCATTAACTCATCATTTACATTAGGTATATCTCCTAATGCTATCCCTCCCCGCCGATGACAGGCCCCGGTGCATGATGTTCCCCTTCCTGTGTAGGGCATGTTACTTTTTAAATGTCCGTGAGATATCCAAGTGGACATACTAAACAGGTAGTTTTTACAAATGTCTAAAATCAGAGACAGAATTTTTGTAGTCACCATAACTTAGATGGTACTTAAAGAATTTAAAATGGATGTGATCACTATGGAGGAAATTAATAGAGGACAAAAGAAAACCCTGGACCAGAGGACACTAACATTTAAGAGTGTCAAGTAGAGGAAGCCAGTGAAGTTGAAAGAAAATTAGGAAAATACAGAGAAATAGAAGTTAAGAGACATTCAAAAAAAAGGCCTAGTCGACTAAGATAAATACTTCTAAGAAGTTTTCCTCTTCATGATCCACAATTTCACAAGATTGCAAAATATAATGGTATTTAGCAAATCATGGGTGTGAGGAACCTAATACATATTGAGTGTCCACTCTGTGCTTTGCATAAATCATTCCTATAGTAATTCCATAGGAAGTGGTTTGAGAATGAGAAACAGACTCCAAGAAGCTATGTAATTTGCTTAGGATCCTACTCTGCTAAGTTTCAGAGAATTCCAACCAAATCCTATCAAGCTAATCCTTTTCTTTAAAACAAAGCATACTGCCCTTCTAAATTGTATTTTACAATGCACTACTGTCAATTGATTGGTCAATTGTTTCTAGAGAAGGGAATACAGGGATAGATTTTAACATGCAATATAGTTCATTGTTTTAATTACAAATTAATGCATACTAGTCAAAGAGAAATGCAAATTACAATCACATTGTAATACCACTACACATTAACTAGAAGAGCTAAAATGAAAACAATAGAGAAGATCAAGTGTTGATAGAGATATAGAGCAACTGGAACTCTCTTAGGCTGATTGTAGAAAAGTACATTGTTATAACCACTTAAGAGAACTATTTCCAGTGTATATTAAAGCTGAATGTCCACATGGTTTATGGCACAGCAATTCCATTCCTACCTATATGACCAACAAATATGAGTACATATATTCACAAAGAAGGGTTCTATAATATTTATAACTACAGTATAACATAATATATTGGATATATCTTATAAACACAATGTTACATAAAAGAAGCTAGGCCCCAAAAATGTATACTATATGACATCATTTATTAAATATATTAAAAACAAGCAAAAGCATTCTATACTTTCAGAAATCATAGTAATAAGAGCTCTTGGAAGAATTAGTGTCTGGAAGGAAGAAAAAGAGAAATTCTGGGGTACTGATAATTCTATTTCTTGACCTGAGTGCTGGTTACATAGATTTGATTAATTTCTGAAAATGCATCATGCTGTACACATATGTGTGCTTTTCTGTATATATGTTATGTATGTAGTATGTACTTCATTCAAAATCTTTAAATATAAAAAAGGCGAAGAAAATATGTATTCCCCCTAAGCTGTTAACTCAAAATTATTATGGTCAATATTTTACACTATGCTCTTTTATTCAATATTTATATATATTTGAATACACATATTTTTTCTACAAAAATTGTATTGCACTATAGTCTCCACTTAATCTGATTCTTTCTTAGCAATATACTGTGACTATCTTCCCATGTCTGTATACAATGCTCTATTACTTATCGTTGGGACAATTCAATCTTGTGAATATAATTTACTTAACTAAACCCCTATTGTTGGGCATGAAGGTTGGCTCTAATTTGACCTTTTCTGTGAATTGTTATAATATGAATCATGGTACTCATCTCTACTTTTTTTAAATCTAGGAATGGAATTGCTGGTCAGGAAAAATGCAATTGTAAGCTTTTAAAAATCATCCTCCAAAAATAAAATTGTACCAAAAGTGTACTTCCATCAAATTTGATGGAAGGACCCATTACCCTTGCCAAGATTGGGGATTATGATTCTTGTTCATATTTTCCATTTGACTGGGACAAGTACATTATATATTTATTTTGTGTTTTTTATTACTGCAAGAGTTAAACATTGTTTTCATATGTGCATCAGCCATTTATATTTCTTCTTTTGTGAATTTGATGTTCATATGCTTTATATACATTTAGAATATCAACTCTTTGTCCATTTTATATTTCAGATATGATTTCCCAGTTTATTGTTTGCTTGTTGGTTTCTTCATACCATTTTGAGGATACAGTCAAATCTATCACAATTTTCCTGTAAATCATTTATTTAACTATATTTTCTGAAGTGGTTTTTTTTTCATTTAAATTGTTATGTCTAGAATTTACCTTGGTATGTAAAGTAAGATTCTTTTTATTTTTCATTAACCATTTTTCTTCATTTATTGAATAATACCTTCTAAGATGAGTGTACTATAAAAAGCATTTGCTTTTTTCAAGGACCAAGGAACAGAAGTTTTAATAAAAGATTTTAGCAAATCCCAAAATTCAAAGAAGTGGGTCTCTATGAAGATTTAATATTTTATTCAACATACTTGAAACAAAATTTTGCTTATCAGCATTCTAAGTTGCTTACACACTTCTTAGTCCCTTTAAAGTCTTCATCTGTTTAGAATGTTAACTCTTTGTCTTCCAAGATATGCATCAAACTGTTTCAGCTGATCTCTGTTTTCCTGTTTGAGAAATAGTAAATGATTGACAACATTGGTTGGATCTGAGTGTAGCTAAATTTGAACATGCCAAAAGCAAATATAAGAAGTCCTGTTGTTCATTTCCTTCACAAGTGGAATATCAGCCATGTGCCAAGTATGGTGCTGGATGTTGGGAATACAGTGCTAAAGAAGGTGTGTTCCATCCTGCCCTCCCTGAGTTTTCACTTAGATAGGCACACTGATACAGTGATTGAGTTTTATTTGTAGCTTTGTTATTACATGAGATCAGGTATATGATGTCCATATATATACACATATATCTATGAAGTACTTAGAACAAAGTATACAAACTGAATTTATAATGAATTACTTTGTAACATAATTAATATGTTGCCTATCAAACATTAATTGGACTTGGGAATATGTTTGTTTGAGTGTAGCCTTAAAAGTGATTATTATATGCAAAGCTTTTTAATTTGTTGCTTATGAACCGTGGTCACCAGCCCTTTCCTCATATCAATCAACATAACCACTGTTCTAGGCTTGGCTTCTTTATTGTTAGGTTGGTAATGGAGAAGAGGAAGAGGGGGAAGAGGAAAAGGGGAGACCTCATACTGGATGAGCATAAAAGAAGTTTTATTAACTGCTGTAGATGAAAAGTTCATCATGGTCAAACTCATATACTCAAATAATGCCAGGAACCTATCTCTGTAGTTTGTAATCCCTGTTTTCTTTGCTCTTAGCTTTTCTTTCAGAGAAAACCTCACTACATGGTAGCAAAGGTGGCTACCAGCTGCTCCAGGATTGTAGCTTTCTAGTTTAGCCATCTTGCCAGGAAGTAAGAGCACCTCTCTCCTGCTCGCTCTGGGAAATGCCCAGTAGTTTCCCCATCCATCTCCCCGAACTAATCACAATGGCTAGAGAAAAGGAGAATGTTACCCATGGGCAGGTGTGTGTCACATGTCCTTGACAAGGATTGAGAGTGGAAGTGATGATGTTTCTGTTGTCAGTTTCTGTTCCCAGAATGAGGAAGATGTGTGCAAGCAAAACAGATACTCTAGAAAATTCTGAATAGCTGACTTGGGCAATCTTGCTTCCCTGTCTCCCAACAAAAGAATGCTGCCTATGGTCAAAAATAAGAGCTCTCCTATAAAGGAATTTTAGAAAGGGACTTATTTTTAAGTGCTTCTTTTTAAAGAGCACTTCCTCCTTAGCTACTAACATTGGAAAACTTGTAACACTGTTTTCTTGCATTCATTTTGTTTTGCCATCTGCCATTGACTGTCACATTTCACAAGTTAAGAAACACGTTATTTCTTTGTTTATTTTGTCAGTCTTTGGTATTCTCTGGAGAGAAATTATATATCTGTGTTTCAGTGGAATAGATTTAATCTGTTTGTTTTATCTCTAGACTCACCTAACTCCTTGTCTTTCAGTCAAAGGTTTTCTTTTTTCTCACTTGGTGAACAGGTAAATTTATCTCAGATTCTGGAAAATACAGATTTCTAAGCATATCATGGTGAGGGCTGGAAAATACAGATTCTTAAATATACTGTCTTGAGGACTTTCCCATGTAGAAAGAAGTTGGCTTAAAACTTTGTCTCTTGCTCCAATATTTTTTGGAAATTGCTGTCAATACAATTATTCAACAACTCTAAAGGAGCCAAGACTTTATACTTTAGACTTTTCAATCATTCCCATTATCCCTTTTCTGCGGCTCCCTTTGTTAACTCTCCCATACATCAGACATCCACAGTCTTATAAATTATGTCATATATGTATATGTTGTACATCTGAGCTTGAGATTTGAGGCAAATCCTTAAAATGTTTGCCTTCCCTAGTAATTTGCCTGATGTTATGGGTTGCCTTCTGCTCAATAATGGGGATTGACTGAGGTATCCTGGTTATATTACAAAAGAGAAAAGCAGTTGACCAACTGGAAGCTTTACTAGATGTGTCAGTGATGTGTTTTCCCTGAAAACATTTGATTCCTATCATTTAAAGTCTAAGAAATATTTAGGTGCTGTTCATTAGGCTTAAGTTATGCTTATCTTCAAGTTGCCTAATTATTTATTTGCAGGTTATACTCTATGTATTGGACATCCTTCTCAGCCAACTACATATAAACATATTACATGGATATATATTATGTTTAATATATAGCACATCATTAGACAAATTAGCACATACATTTCTTATCACTAATAATTAAATGCATTAGCACTTTTCACTAGCTGTCTTCAAATTATCTGGCTTCTTTCCCCCGTTTTCTTTTCTTCCAAAGCATCATTCTCCAAGTACATTCCATGGAGCACTAGTTCTGGAAGATGCTAATGAGTGTTACCAAAAAGAAGTTGGGGTTTCTCATTCAGTTATATTTGGAAAAGACTGGATGACATACATTAAGCCTTTATTATGTCAAGCACACATTGTTATCCTCCAGACAGGTGACTCTCTGTTTCCCACACCAATGGGAAAGTGAGGCAGGTCTGACAATCTCCTGAGACTAATAATCCACCAAATACAAATTGGAAGGTGCATTTTTGAAGCTATATAACCAATGTCAACATTCCCGTGATTTAATCTTTCCATTCTTATCTCTTCTTCTTCTGGAAGGGCTAGGAGCTGCCCCTTCAGGATTCACCAAAGGATATCATGCAGGCTATCAGTGGAGCAAACATTGAGTCCCCTGATTCATAACCTCATAGCTTCTTACCACGAAATTGCCTGTTTGGCTCCTATTAAATTCTCCTGGAATTCATCTAAAAGTACAAAATGATGAGGGCGTACTCTAGTGGGAAAGAATTTATGGGCTCTTTAAACCTCACTACCTATACAATTAGATCTAACAGTAAATTGGAGCACTCTGGAGAAATCCAGTTCTTCTTTGTTTCACTTGTAAGTCATGGTCAAATGGAGTAACAAAATCAGTTATGATGTCTGCCAAAAATATGTAGTTATTAATCTCGTATTATGGTATGAGGTGTTTAGAATATTGGACAGGTGCTCAGAATATTGGATAGGTGCTCATATGCTCTGAGTTGAGACAGGTGTTGGAAAAAAGACAAAAATATGTAAGACAGGATTCCTGTCCTCAGGGGAAGATAAGACTAACACAAACAGTTGCTTGATACATAAGATGGTATATTGTTAACAACAAAACTGAATACAGAGTAGGCTGTTGACATTCAAAAGGGACAAGTTCAGAGACCACTTGATCCCCCAGTATGTACAATTTTATCACAAAATGCATGGGATGAAAACAACAACACTGAGTTGAAATGTGAATGCTGATGAGAACGTTCAGCTCATTCATCAGGTAAAATATTCATTCACAGGAGCCCTACTGATCTCCAGCTCAAAGTTTCTGCCTTGGTCAAATGGCCAGTACTTCTGAGTTGGACATTTTGGAAAACTAACAAGTGGTTAAACCAGAGTGTAAAATACATGAATGCTGTTGAAACGGGAAAAGTTCCCTTGTCCCACTTGCACGGCATGTGATGACAGCGTGGCTTGCTTCTTCAGTGCCCCGATGCTGGAACCTCTAGGGGAGCACACAGATGGCCAGGCTGTGGGGCTCCAATCCCACAGCAGTGTCTAGGGGTGAATGTTTACAGCTCCCGAAGCCCCAGTGGGCATGTGTTACAGGGTGCTTTTTTGGTTTGCTGTCTATAGGCGACTTGTGTTAGTCAGCTCCATTAGACCCTCTACCTTGTCACAAGGACATGGAGCTTTCTGTATCCCGGGTTCTTGCCTTGGTGTTCTGGAAGAATCGGATCACGTGTGGGCTTGGAGAATGAGTGCAAGGTTTCATTGAGTGGAAGTAGCTCTCAGCCAATGGGAGAGCCAGAAGGGAGATGGTCTTCCCCTGAAGTTGGACCACTCGCCAGCCCCGGCTCTCCCCTGATAGCCTGGGCCAAACTCCGCTTTGTCCCGCCTGTCGATGACCTGCCAGTGTGACAGTGCCTGTTGGTGTGCTTTTCTTCCAGCATGCCCCTCTGGACTACCAACCACTTGCGTCTTCTTCCACCTATGTGTTTGTTCCTCACGATGTCCAGCCACTTGTGTGTTTGCCTGCTAGGGTGTCGGGTTTTTATAGGCACAGGGTGGGGGTGTGGCAGGCCAGGGTGGTCTTGGGAAATGCAATATTTGGGCAGAAAATGCCTGTCCTCACGTAGGTCCATTGGGGTGGAATCTTAGCCAGGGACCATGCCCTTTTCTACCTAGCACTTCCCTTCCCTGCTTCTGTATTATCTGAAGGGACCACACTCTTCCCTTCCCAGCCACTTCCATATCACCAGCAGTCCACTGCAATCATGGCAATGTGTATCTTACGTACAATAAATATTTTGAATAGCTCAGAATGGGAGATGGTCATTTGAGGGCAGAAGTACCTGGCTTAAATCATGAAGAATTGAAGTCAAAATGGACAATGAAATATTAGTAGAATTAGGAAATCAGAAGAAAGGTATTCTAGAATAGGATTGAAAGAAAATGGGGCAGGTCTGAGCTCTACCTTAGGCTACAGGCAGTACTTAGGAATGCACCTATGGTATTACAGTTAATCCATGTCCTCTTAAGCTGGAGCCCCTCCTCTGACCTCAGGCCAATTGTATATAGTCTTCTCCCCCATGACAGCTAATCTCCGTATCTTTGTGTCCCATTCATATTCTTCCCCTGGGTACAACGTCACCATATTGTGCAGATTGCATACTGCACAAGTATGTCCTATCTAAGGGAAGACAGTTCACATAATAGATGTCATAGATTGGTTAAATTATGACTTTTCTGCAGGTGGCAGTAAAGTATCCACTCCAAACCAAATCAATGTGTTATAGTCATTTTCTGATCTATGGAAATAAAGTGTCTTGAAAGAAGAGGTGTAATTTTCCAATTTGCACATGGTTACCGTAAGGGCAACTGGTAGTCTTCATTATGTTCTTGAATAGTCAGAAATATGGACATGTTAGGGAGGGAAAAGTAGCCTAGACTCTCCAGGCTTGTCAAAGAATATGAAGAAAAGGGAGAATAGCCCTTTGCTTTTATGGATGAGTTAAGACTATTTCCTAATTTTGTGTTTTTAGCAAAAAGGTTAAGAAGGTCAAGCAGCCTGTGTAATCATCTGTGCATAAATTTGTTTTTATATCACAGATAAATATCATGTATTATCTGATCCACTAACATTTTATATTGTGTAAATTGTGTCCAAATGTGCATCTTTTAAATTTAGTACAACTTTGGAATTCTTCTATTCTTTGCTTAGATGGTATGAAACTTCATAGTGAGACTGGCTTCTAAAGCTCAGCCTCATTTTCTTGCTTGCACACCTTTAAATGAGCTGTTACTGGTTACCTTTGCCTTATGCTAGTCAACTGTGTTCAGCATGGCACACAGATGCATTACATGTCCACTGAGCGGGGTCTAGGTCAGTTTTTCAAAAGATTTACTCAATGACCAATCTGACCAGTTATCAAGTCACTAAAAACTGCCAGTCAAATACCTTAGCCCAGGTTTACAAGAGCCACAGGCGTTTGGCAAAGCCAGCCAAAGGTCAGTGTAGTCTATGTTGTCCTGTTCCTTGGGGCCTCTGAATTTTCGGAAGAAAACTCCTTTTCTATTCTAAATTAAAGGCAGCGTGTATGTTGTTAGTCTAGGTTTTATAAATATTAGGGTGGGATTCTCTTCCAAAACTTCTTTTGTGTGTAGTTTACTGAGTTTCCAACATCTCTTAGTTTGATAATTTGTCAAGGTAGCTTGATTAAATGTGTATTTTGTGGAGTATCCAAACTTCAAAAGTCTCAACTATTCATGTACAAAATGACACATATGCCTTTTATGTGCAGATCTATGCTAATTTGCATCTATTTTAAAAATTTTCATGGCCTTGATTTCCAAATGGTGAGTGTATATGCATGCCAATTTCACCCATCTAGGACTTTCCCTAATTGTTGAAACTAAAACTTTGAAAAAACAAATCCTCAAAGACTAGAAATCATCTCATGCAATATGAATTCTGTAAACTTTATAATTTGACAAATTGGTTATTCCAAATTGCTCATTTAGCAAATTGGGGTTTTTTTTCCCATGAAGAACTTCCCAGAGAATTTTCCAGCCTCTGTGTCTCTATCCCAGAACACACATCCTAGTGCCTTCATATGAAAACAAGGCCCTTCCTGGTAAGAGCACTGCGATGTGAGATTGGAGGGGACAGCCACAACATGGGTCACTCCGTGTTTACTCTGTGGCTCACCACTCATGTGCCCAATGTCCTTGACACAATTCTAGTTTCTTTCCTGTGCTTTCCTTACGTCCCTTCTAGCATCAGCTACTTCCCAGGTGTTTCTCAGTTCTTGACAGTTTGAGGGATCCCTGCAGCGAGTTGCAGCACCTCTAATTCACTTCATAATGAAGCAGCTTGTTGTGGTGTTTTGTGTCCATTACAATCTTTTATTGCTGGGTGTGCAAGGGCTAAGTTTTCTTTTGACTTTCTTTGTCTACATGGGAGTTTGCAACTGTAACAAAGTAACAAAGGAGTCCCAGCAAGCTTGTCTCAACACGAGCTAAAGAATTAATATGCAATAAAGACTCTGATGTCTGGTGGTACTGGAGTCATTCTCACTAATCTAGGATTCTGGCTATTTCAGAGTCACCATGACTATTACCTATGGATTATCACTCTTCCAAGGCAGAGACAACTGTAATTTCTGGTAAAATTAGATTAAATAATTGCACCTTTTATAGTCCAGAACATGCTTCAAGAGTTTATGAGGCTTCAAGGTCCTTTTTGCCACCATCAATTTTGAGTTTACCACAGATGTACAGAAATTGTCAAGAGAGAGTTTTTACTAGTAGGATATTGAGTGATAGAGATTTGCAATATGCAATTTTTCTAAAGGTATCTGATTCTTTAAAATCACTGGTCCATTTTGTTTGGGGGAAGGGCAATGATTAAGATAGAGCGAAAAGACAGATTTTCTGATTTTTCACAAGAGTATAAACATGATTACAGTTTCAAGGCCTTTGCTTTGCCTTATTGGGTCACGTTCATAAAGGTAGTTATTTTACCTGATAAATTTGGAGGTACTCCTATCTTCTGAAGGTAAAAAACAAACAAACAAAAAAAAACAACGCAGTCATCTTTCTGGAAGAAGAGTACATGTTTAAGGAAATACCTGAGATCCTCTGGAAGAAGCCCACACTGGGCAGCTCTTAAAAGTTAGACCTTAGATGACTTGACTCTTTCTAGAAACTGCACTTTCTCAACCATTGACAGAAACCTGGAGACCACTTCCCCACTCTTTGGGTGCAACTCCAGCAAAGCTCACTGTGCCTGGGTCTCTCAATGGGCATTCTAGGCTATGCTGGCTGTCAGAAATGGCTCGCAGAAAGTGGGGGGCGTGATTAGCTTTAAATGAAGTTCTAAGCCACTGGTACATGAAATGAAACTTTTTTTTTCTCTCTCTCTCTCTTCTTCCCCTTCTTTAACCTGAGCTGCTGATGTAAGTGGCTCTAATTTACTTTCCCCGAGAAAACAAAGCAAAATAAAACAGGGAAAGGCAAAGAAGATCCGTTTGCGAAGTGTAGTGCTTCTGCTCCTGATAAAAGGGAGCCATTTGCTGCTTTCATGGTGTCAGTATTAATTTCCAAGCAGTCAAAGTCACCGCTAATTTATTTACAGAACAATCTCCTTGCCCAGGAGCTGGGCTGGTGAGGCAGTGGTTTCCAGCCTCCAGCTTTGTTTGTTGACAGGCTGATTTCCCACAAGGCCGTTTCCACCTGTGTTTCTGTTGTTTTTAGTACGTGTCTCCCTTTCTTCTCCCCCGCCACCGCCTCCCCAATGGCTGTTGAAGGCCCTTCTCATCTCCGGTCTCTCTCATCCCCTTCCTCCCTCCTGCCCCAAGGACTCCTGGCAGGCCTTTGCAGTCACGCTGCACTTAGAGTCTCTGCCGGTAAAGTCCCAGGGGGCGCTGCATTTCTTTCTTTCTTTTTCTCCCCCCTTTTTTTGTTTCAAGGACAAGATTCAAAAGAGCCTGCTCCACACAGGTTGTAAGGTGCACCTTCAGATCTGTCTTCAAATAGGGGCTGAGCAATTTGAATATTTGTGCTCCTGGAAATCAGTCTGTAAAATCGTCTCCCAACGCCCATTAAATTCTGCAAAATTGCTAAGCTTTGAGAACTTCATGGTGGGGTCCAATCTGGGGCCCTGGCACCTCACTGCCAAAGCACGCATCCCCAAAGATACTTATAATGGAAATGACGGAGTGGCTGATTTGGCCCTAGCTTCTTGCATATCAAAGGCAGGAGGGCGGGAGGGAAGCATCCATAGAGCAGTCAGGATGCACCCCGCATGCCAGGTAATATATTGAGATGTTTAAAGCACACTGCTCGGCATGCACATGTGTCTGTCTCTCTGCTATTTTATACATTATCTGCAGGGCGGCAGGTACAAGGATAAGGCATGCTTTGAAGTCAGTGGCAGTGCCACCTGGGCATGGAGTGGGAAATAGGCATTATATAGCCTTTTTTCATATGACATATTTGCTATCTCCATGAGGAATACTTTGAGACCAGAAAAGAGATCACTGCGGCTATATAACCCACACCAAATCTTGCCACATTGGACCTATGATGTATTTACTGATTTTAAAAATACCAGAGGTATAATCTTGCCCAGAAAATGTGCCTCCACCCTAACTCCTCAGCCTCTTCATAGTATGTACAAATTGTTTTTCTGCATATTTTTTTTAACAAATGTTGTCTGTCTAGATTCAGAGATTTTTATTAGTGTGTTTGTGTTTAAAGGTGCTGGGTTAAAAATACCCCCTCATCGCCAAAGGAAGGCGAAGGGGGACAAAAAAAAAAAAAAAACACAGAGCTTTGTCCACTTGGAATTGGAGGGTAATCTGGAAAATTATAAAGAACTACAAGCCTGGCAAAGAGAATTTTGTTCTTTTCAGTGGTTGAAAAGAAGAGTAAAAAGGGTAAGACATGGCCTGTGGTTTCCATCCATCAGTAATGATACAATTAAACTGAAATAAGTTAACTTGGTTAACAGAATCTACTTTAACTCTCCTCCTGTCCACAGACTCCTACATCTTCTCTCTTCTCCCAGTCTCTGAGGTTTGTTTGCTACCAGGGATGTGGGATTCCCGGAGTCTAAGGATGCAACCATTCTTCAGTTCTTGTTCCTGAGCTCTCTGTGACCAAAAACTCCTATTTATTTTGAAAGCGGAAATAATGTTATTTCATTGCCTGCCTGCGTAACTCCAAGATGCCTGAAACAATTCTGCTCAAACTTCCTACCAACTCACCTTTGGGCTGAGACAAAACAGAGAAAGTTTGGGCCCCAAAGGACAATTTTTCAGAGAAGTTGGGAGCAGGTAGAGGCAAAGCCGAGTGATGAAACTCATCTGACAATTGTCATCTGCCCTCTTTGCATCTCTGGCCTCATTCTTCCCTGTCTCTTGGGGATGCCTTACTTTCCTTTCTTCTCTGTAATGTTAGCAGTCCCCCATTCCTTTCCCCTAGGCTGCTTGTCCTCTGGGATGAAGAAAAGGCTTTAAACCTGTAAACTGTATACATTTTCTCCAAAATCAACTTGAAACTCAGTCTGAATTGGATGGAGAGGATTCGCTTATGGAAGGAGCAGCTGTGTACCCACACACTGATAGAGACATCCCTGCTCTCGGAGGTGTTATGATTATGCGGGCTAAAAAGCTCAGATGTCTGAAGACTGGAGTTTCTTGTGTATATTTATATGAAGACTGTTCCCCTCCAGGACCATGAGGATGTGGAATGAGGCTGTTTTTCATTCCCCACCCAGTGGCTAATGCAGCTCAGAGACTGTATTTGGGAGTTGAGCCTACATGTAGTGAATCATCAGGAGCCCTGTGGAAATGAGCAAAGCAGGTGCAGTTTAAAGACCACATTCTCAGAGGTGCAAGAAGCTGAGCTTTCCCTTTCTCTAAGCTCAGTTTTGGTTTCAAGACTGATCCCCACTGATGAGGCAGAAACCTAATCTCTGTCAAAATGAGTTGTTTTTCCAATTCCTTTTCCCCAAGGGTGAGCTTTAATTCCAGCAATCCACATGGTTCCCAGACCTTTGGAAGATCAGCTCTCTGATCCTCCAGACAACCTTTCCTGAGCCGGATGTGGCCTGGCGATCCTTAGTTGGAATCCACGCTGGCTACTGCTGAGAGATTTCTGATTCCATCTTATCCCTCCAGCACTGGCAATTGACTTGTCTGCTTCTGTACCACCTGAGGGCAGGAGTGCTATTCTGTGACCAGGTTTCTCCCTTGGATATGGATCTCCTGGTTGTCTGTATGCGTGATCTTCCCTCATTCCCTGCTGGCGTTGGGGTACTCCGAGGCTCTGCCCCAGGAAGCAGAGAACAGAGCCCGTCTCTGGGACCCTTGGTGTTCCTGCCTCACCACCTCTTCTCCACTCTCTCCTCCTCGAGTCCAGAAGATCTGACTTCAATAGGAAGCCTAACTCTTCCTAAGCCTCCTTGTTCTCATCCTGATTCCTTTCCCAAACATTTTGTTATTGCCCACAATCCTCTTCGTTCCCCTAAGGACACACAAGCCTGAAAGGAACTCCTTTTTTCTCAACTTTGCATCCTCTTGCAGCCATTTTAAAAATATGCGACATGGACCACCGTAGGAAATGTTTTGCAGAAGAGAAAATCTGGAAGAAAAAGCATGTACAGATACCATTGAACCAACTATCCATGCTTTTTTGGATTAGTTGCAAAATCCCAGTTTACTTAACTTTTCTTTTGCCTAGAGACTGTTTAAATAACTTTTCTAAAACAGCCAATGAGAACAATGTACATAGTTAATGCTGGCAATTAGTATTTTTTTACTAAGCAATTCCTTTTAACAGTCTTTTAGATCATGTACACGGGCAGTTATAGTCTTTGAATTAGCACTGTGATTAAAAACACGAGCTTTGGAATCAGACCCAGTTCTGCTCTCACCTAACAGCTCAGTGGCCTTAGACAAATTAAAGAACTTTTCTAAGCTTCCGGGCCCTCATGTGTGAACGGCTTTAGTGTTGTTAGAAAGTGTAGATGAACTAATGTGTGCAAAACACCTAGCACCTAGTAAATATTGTGTTTCCTTTACTTGTCTCTTTGACTTTAGCACTCAGCTTGTATTTCCATGCACTGCCACTAGCACATGTTTCTTCTTATAAGAAGTCTGTAATATTACTGCTCTGAAAATGAAGTAGAATGGACTGAAGTGATAGTTTACAGTCAAAATTAAAAGATGGCAGAGAGAGAAATTCTTCCTGTCATCTCACTGGGGGAGCAGAACAATTGAGAGAAGAAACAGTAGATATATTTTTTCTTTAAGTTAATTATCATTATTAATATTATTATTATTATTATTATTATTTTTGAGATGCAGTCTCGCTCTGTCACCAGGCTGGAGGGCAGTGGCGTGATCTCAGCTCACTGCAACCTCCGCCTCCCAGGTTCAAGAGATTCTCTTGCCTCAGCCTCCTGAGTAGCTGGGACTACAGGCACATACCACCACGCCAAGCTAATTTTTATATTTTTAGTAAAGAAGAGGTTTCACAATGTTGGCCAGGATGGTCTCGACCTCTTGACCTCCTGATCTGCCCACCTTGGCCTCCCAAAGTGCTGGGATTACAGGCATGCGCCACCATGCCCTACCTTTTAAGTTAAGTTTTCTATAACTTATATCCAATATATTTTAAAAATTTAAGACAGTTCCCACTATAGCATATTAATATGTGTAGGAAGATAAATAAAATAAAGTTTGGAATTATGAGAATTGACATTGAAGAGGGGATGCTATTTGGTCAAATTTTGTGGTTGAACTTCAGACTTTCTCCTGAGCTCCCTAGAGGCCAAAGTAAAAAGGAAAACACAATGTATAGTTTGCATTATTGAAAGGGAGAGGCACATCAAAGAAGGTCAGAATGATATCAGGGAAATGAGAACTTCTTCCTCTTCTTCTTGACCTTATTATTATGTTGTCAATCTGTGGACTGGAGAGACTAAAAGAAATCAGATAGGAAGTGGCATAGAAGACAGACTAGAGAATTAAGTTTCTCTCTCTAAATGAACAAAGACTCCCTCAGAAAAAACTCTCCCTAGATCACTTAAAAGGAAAAGAAAAGAAAGGAAGTTGCCGGCTTGACAGAGCCTCAGAATATCCCCTGAAAGCTCTGGAGGCTCTATCTGGCATTGTGACCTCCATAGCAGCCCTTGCCACTGCCTTTGCATTAGAGGTGCAGCCTCTGGGAAAACCCTGCCAATCACCTTGCTGTACCAGCCAGTCCTGGGAAATTAAATTATAGCTCTTGATCCACTGGGCAAGTGGTAAGTCTCAATTACTCTGTGTAACGTAATAATCACAGTCCCTGCTCTTCTCTACTCCTAAAGTAGGTCCTCACACATAGGATCCAGAAGCTTAGAGAAGTCCTTTAATTTGCATAAGGCCACTGAGCCGTCAGGTGGGAGCAGAACCGTGTCTGATTCCAAAGCTCATGGTTTTTGTTTGTTTGTTTGTATTTTGAGACAGGATCTCACTCCGTCACCAAGGCTGGAGTGCAGTGGCATGATCTTGGCTCACTGCAACCACCATCTCCCAGGTTCAAGTGATTCTCCTGCCTCAGCCTCCCATGTAACTGAGATTACAGGCATTCACCACCACGCCTGTCTAATTTTTTTTTTTTTTTGTATTTTTAGTAGAGATGGGGTCTCACAATATTGGCCAGGCTGGTCTTGAACCCCTGGCCTCAAGTGATCCACCCATCTTGGCCTCTCAGAGTGCTGGGATTACAGGCATGAGCCACCGTGCCCAGCCCAAAGCTCATGTTTTTAATCACAGTGCTAATTTACAGACTATAACTGGCCATGTAAATGATCTAAAAGACTGTTAAAAGGAACTGTTTAGTATGAAAGTACTAATCATCAGTGTCATTATTCCCCCCCAAATACTTCCTAAATGTCTGTGTCATACCAGGCACTGTACTATACATTGAGGTTATAACTGTGAACAGTACAGACATTGTTTCTGCCTTTATCAGTACCTGAATTCTAGTGGGAAGTACAAATAAACAGAAAAATAAAATTATCAGAGCTAGAGATAAGTACTGGAAGAAAGAAACACAGGGCTTAGGGTAGAGAATATCCGGATCAGGAAAGGATTCCTGTTTGGGAGATTCAGGGATTGTTCATTTGAGAAACTGACATGTGAGCCAAGTCCTGATGGAGAGGTTACCAGACATACAAAGAAAAAGAATAGACCCTTCCAGACAGAGGAAAGAGCATGTACGAAGGTCCTGAAGTGGGAAAGAGCAGGGCATACAGAGGGGACATGAGCAGGTGGGAGATGGGTATAAGATATGCTTGGAGAGATAAGCAGGGCTCTTATCATGTAAGGCTTTGCGGCTATGAGAAGCGGCAGGTGCTTCATTCTGAGTGTTATGGGAAGCTATTGAAGGAGATGGAGCTTTACATAATCTTATTCGTGATTTAGGAAGACCACACTTACTGGTAATAGAGAACAGAACAAGAAGAGATGCAAAGAGGCAGTTAGTAAATGCATCACCATTTGTGTTTGCTGAGATGGAGGTATTTCCCAGCTTCCAAATTCCTCCAGGACATCTCATTTCATCAGATGGGCAGAATGCTAAAAAGAAGGAGCCTAGGTTTGACTGTTTGCTGGTTATTTTCTCCTAATCCCTCCAGAAAATTCCATACATATATTACTAGGTGAACCATTAAGTTGACTTCACAAATGAGGAATTACATGAGTTTTCTTAAAATGATATATGCTAATATTTCTTTGCTATTATTGTAGGTGTACCACGCAATGAGAAGAGGACATTTGCCTTTTTATTCCACTTCTCAACTTTAAAAATTGCCTTTACAGATCTTTATTTTCACTGACCCAGAAACTAGAGAAGTACAGAGAGAGAGAAACAGCCAACTCTTGTGCTGGGAATGGGGATGCTGAGGCTTGTGCAAGCTCTGTTCTTGTTGCGTGATGATAGGCAAGATGCTTCCCCTCCCTGAGTCTGCCTTTTCATCCTGTAAGTGAGGGCATTTGAAAAATAATCTCTAAGCTTATACCTTTATCTTCTAAGAGTCTATAACTCTTTAGTGTTGGGTTAGAGCAACGCAGAAGAGGTGGATCATTAGCTGCTGATTTTTCTGAGTGACAGCCTCATAGGAAATAGCATTGTGATCCTTTTACTATGTTTTGTGGTTCCTTTACCTGTAAACGTATTTTTCAGTTTAACATGTGGAAAACTCCATTTGGAAGCAGGCAGTTTTCATCCCCTTCCTCTCCACTCCCAGATGGACCAAGCTGAGGTGTCAGAGGGTGATGGCACAGGCCACAGTCACTGCTTGGGTTGCTGCATGGCCTGGCGTTCTGAGGCCAAGCATGTGCTGGCTCTCCCCAACACCACATTAGAGTACAGATATCTCTTCAATATACTGATTTCCTTTCTTTTGAATATTTGCCCAGTAGGCGGATTGCTGGGATCATATAGGAGCTCAATTTTTAGATTTTTGAAGAACCTCCAAACTGTTCTCCATAGTGATTGAACTAATTTACATTCCCACCATTCTGTGTGGGTTGCTGGTTTCTCCGTTCTGCTGGATACCTCGTGGATAATGTGATCAATGGCATGGATTGTCTTGCTGTTCCCACTGCCCACAAATCAAGCTCTTAATAGCCCAATAAAATCATGAGATTCAGGCTAAAAAAGTGATTGCATTGCTCAGATGCTAATGAGACACATATATCTGAAACAACTGATTAAAGACTGTGGAAAGGAGGTCTCAGCACAACATGTGGGGTGGCTAATTTACAAAGGTGAGGAGCATTCCAGATAACAGAATGTCACGCACCTTTACTTCCAAGGAGATGTATTTAAAATAGGCTGATTTTTCTTACATATTTTCCCATGAATGATTGGGACACCAATGCGGTGAGTAAAAGCAAGATGGCTGAGTGATTCTCCCATCAGGGTCCTTCTGTCTGCCAGGCTGTAGCCAACAAACGTTCCAACTTGGCAGGTCAAATGTCTCCAATACATTTCCAGAATGTGTTGTGCAGTCGATAATAAATAAATGCTAAGATATGTGATTACACAATGATAGCCACATTCATTGACCTGTCTATCAAAGGAGCCATATTTGAGTTTGAGTTCCCTTCCCCTGGGCCCGTGGAGTGAAGGTGGAGTGTTAGCTTGTCGTCTTTAACATTCCTAGCAACCCTGGGCTAAGTGCACTGGGGTGGAAGGCAGTCCCTTTTGCTTAGTAATCCATTAGCTAATGGGTGTGAGCCCGTCAATTTTCTATTTATTCCTTAAACCATTAAGGTTTACCTGCTGTGTGTGAGACTACACTTGACAAAAAAGAGTGATAGTTGAAATAAAATAAATATCAAGCCTTACGAGGTCTGATGAGTATTGCTTACACCATAGCGGGCTTCATGGAAAGGTAAAGGTGAACCAACTCTTACAAGTTGACACATGGCATTCTGGGCAAGAGGAGGTAAACAACTCTGCTGTGTTTCAGTCCAGAGGCATTCACCAGCGGAGGGGTGTTGTTTGAGAACTACTATCCAAGTGCCCTCGATATTTGTCAACAATGCCTTCCTGAGTGTCTTGGAAGCTGGTAGTTTTACTCTCTAGATAAGACTCAAACTCCTGACTGGCCTACACAAGGCTCTGCATAGTCTGAGCCTTGCTGCGTGTCTAGCTTTATCTTTCACCTCTCTTTCCCTTGCTCCACCCACACTGATCTTTTTCAGGTCCTTTGCGTATGATATTCAATCTCCCATTAGTGTTTTTCTTGCCTAAATCATCCTTCAGATCTCAGCTTGAACTCCATTTTCTCCGAGAAAAACATCCTTGATCGCCCAAGCAGGGTCAGTCTCTAACTCGATGCTCTCTTGGTTTCCTGTCCTCCAAACTAGCCCTCAAAACACCTTAATATACTGTATTTAGTTACATAAATATCTGATCAATGTTTGGCTCTTTCACTAGGTGGAAAGTTCCTTGAGGGCAAAAACCACCTCTGGCTTTGCTTGCCACAGTTTTCTCAGCACTTTCCATAATACCTGTTGAGTGAAGAAAAGAATCAACCCAATCTTGAGAGAGCTTCATGTTGAGAACAAATGTAGAGGGACAATGAGGGCTCCTGAGAACTAAACCTTGGCATTTCTTGGGTTTTGTTCCTTATAGGTGAGGTTTATTGTGTCATATTTCCATGATTATTTACAGTAGTTTTTATTTTGCCTGATATAGACAGCCTTATCAACAATGAAAACATTTAAGATAGGTATACTGGAAATAACACTCTAGTAGTCCTGCTCCTCATAACTCAGGCAGAAAGTATTTTCTGTCTCCTGGATTACTTGGTTATTTAGAGTTACTCAGTTACTCCAAGTTACTCAGAGATGGTTCCACTTGCTGATCTTATTCAGATATAATTAATTAGAGCACATATAGGTTTCCCAGTGAGTTGTAACTATCCCAGGTCAAGATGCGCTTTACACAAATTATAATCAGTGTTTTGAGGCACTATTGAAGGTGAAAACCAAACGTCTTCATAATATCCCCAGTACAACCTGTGCTTACAAAAATTATAGAATCCTTGAGAGGGAAATCAAAGGGCATCTATTCAGTATTACTATGTGCAAGAAACAGTTCTAGGTGCTCAGATATGGCAATAAATAAGAATGCTTGCAAATAAGCAAATATACACATGAGATAATTCCAGAGAGGGAAAAGGGCTATGAAGAATATAGAAAATGGTGATGTTAGAGAAGGTGACATGAAAGAGGTTATTTTAATTGGGTGTTCAGAGTCAATTATGTTCAGATGGTCCAAATTCTGTCTGAGAGCAAGAATCAGTATGTCACCTATTACCACAATAATGCTGCCAGACCAAAGCCGTATTGAGCAAGCCACATGGCTTCCATTCACAGTGTATCCATTTTCATTCCATTGGTCCAAGCAAGTCACGTGGCTAGCCCGACATCAGTGGAGTGGGGAACTACATGCTTCACCCTAATTCTGCTTCCTTGAAGTGGATCCTTACACAATTGTTTTCCACAGGTCTTGGTTCTGCCCTCTGGGGACCCGTTCTTTTTTATTTTACCCTTAAGTGAAATAAAATTTTAATTTAGGTACCTCAGGCTTCTACGTGATCTTTCTAGGATCCCCTTTGTCCGTTTGGAAGAATCGACTAGGTTCCACTTCAATCCTTTGGGAGGTCTTAACAAAGGGTGTGATGGGCACACTTTTTATTTGGAATAGGCTCCTAGGCTATATCTGAAAGGCCATGTCCTTATTTTGGTCTTTGCCCTTGGGCTGTATTTTCTTTGAGGATATTTCACTGGATGAAAATTCTGGAGATGAGAAACAGTATCATTTTCCAGTGTAGTATGTCCCAGATTTTCTGAGTTCTCTGTGTACTCTCTCAACTGTATTTGTAAACTGGACAGCTCTTTTCTGAGCTCATCTCTTTCATGTAGTACCTTATCAAGTGTGGCTACCTACAGCCAGTTCAGGCTTTTAATATTCCATTTCTAAGTTCAACAGGTACATGTCTTCCTTTCCAGATGATCACAGGTACTACTTTTACTAAATGTTTCACCGTTGCATGACACAGGTCACAATTTTTCTAAACTACTAAACTACTTTTGTTGTTTCCTCAACACTCACCACTGAGTTTGAAAACATCTTTTCAGGTTTTTCTTAACAACCATGCCTACTTCTAGGTTTCTATTTCAGCCTCAGTCAGCTATTGCCACAATCATGGCATTCAACAAGTTACCTCGAAGGTCAAGAATTAACAGTAAGTGTTAATTCTCAAGCTTGCAAATTTGCAGGGCAGTAGGTCTGAGGAACGGCTGATATTGCAGGCATGGCTGGGTGATTGCTCCCAGTTGAGGGGCAGCAGAGATTAGCTCCAGGATGTCACTGTGCTCATACCTGTTTTAGGTGTGGACATTTCAGAACTCAGGTTGGAGTTTCAACAGCTTCCATGGGGAAGCCCTTCTCGTGGCCAATCTCTGCAGTGTAAGAACCAGGACAACGCCTGTAATCCCAGCACTTTGGGAGGCCGAGGCGGGTGGATCATGACGTCAGGAGATCGAGACCATCCTGGCTAACAAGGTGAAACCCCGCCTCTACTAAAAATACAAAAAATTAGCCGGGCGCTGTGGCGGGCGCCTGTAGTCCCAGCTACTCGGGAGGCTTGAGGCAGGAGAATGGCGTGAACCCGGGAAGCGGAGCTTGCAGTGAGCCGAGATTGCGCCACTGCAGTCCGCAGTCCGGCCTGGGCGACAGAGCGAGACTCCGTCTCAAAAAAAAAAAAAAAGAACCAGGACAGACTTCACAGTCGCATCTAAGACCTTTGTCAGTATCTTACCACCTATTCCCCCAGGCTGTAGCAAGCCCATGGCCAATCCCAGCATCAGTAAGATGAAGTGTCCAATATCTTGCCAGTTTCTCTCACAGGACTCTTCCCAATGTGTAATTACATGTGAACTTACTAATTTGCTTTTGGTTTTATACTGGGTTATTGTCTACATCCAATGGCTCTCACACCAGCTTCTAGGTCAGCAACTGGCAGATAGTAACCACCTAACTATCTGGGTAAGTAAGTTATTTCATGAGATTTCTCATTCTGAATGAAAATGGGGACTCCTAGCAGTCCAACTTGTAAATGAATTCATCATATCTAAATTACACCTAATCTCATTTCTCTGAAACCTGTTACATTTGTATTTTTTAACTCTGAAGGGGCTTAGTAGGATCTTACTACTAAGTGATGTTGGTGCATAGGAAATATTTCTTTTTTTCTCCTTCCCTGTGCCCCTACATTACCCACCTCTCATCTTTATCCTCTTCCCTGACAGCAGTGCTAAGCCTTTGCCCTGCAGATTTATTGCCTAGAATCTGCTTCCTTCAGCACATGACAATATTCAGACTGATTATTTTATTTTATTTTTTGTCTGGAGTTCCCTGGTACCTTCCCTGGTACTATATAGTATAGAAATATAATGAAAATAAATGATTTGAAGGAGAACTGTTGTTTTGCTTGTGCTTATGACAAGCATCAGCCACAGACCATCTTTTGGATCCATATGGAAACTATTGGGCAAGTCTCCCATATTAAAGGAGTCTAATCTAATCTTCAGGGTGGCACTGTGAATGCTAGGGATACTATACAGTTAGCTTTCAAGAAGCAGTAAGAATTTGCAAGAGTTTTATTCTTTTAAATCAAGGAGTCCATCATAATGAGTGCAGTATCAAGAAATAAGAGACAACCTAATGTCTATTGGTTTGAGATCAGTTAAATGTATTATGATACACACACACACAACTTGGAATTGTGGAACGGAATAACAATATCTGATATTGACAGAGTGGCTAATATGTCCTGGGCACTGAATCACTCCATATGTGACTTATTTAACATCATCTTCTTAGACACCTTTTAACATAAATACTCTTATTGTCACTTAAAACAATAAGATGAGTAACTGAGAGTTATAGAATTTGAGTGATTTAAGTCATTTCCATAGATACGAATTATTGAAGCAATGCATTCCGTAGATATACTAACTACTGTGTTTATAGGCATTAAATAAATGGCCTTCAAGTTCCATTGGGGATCCTTTGTTCTTATACGGGATTGGTGAGCAATTCTATTTCAGCAGGAGATAATTGCTCCCATATCACATGGCTACTGTGAGAAGTTAACAAACATGTTTCTATAGCTAATAGTATATCAGCTCATCTAAAAGTAGGCCCCCAGCAGGGTGTGGTGGCTCATGCCTGTAATCCCAGCACTTTGGGAAGCTGAGGTGGGAAGATCACTTGAGCCCAGGAGTTTGAGACTAGCCTGGCAATATAGTGAGACTCCGTCTCCACAAAAATTAAAAAAATAATTGCCCAGATGTGTGGTGCACGCCTGCAATCCCAGCTACTTGGGGAGCTAAGGTGGGAGGATTGATTGAGCCTGAGAGGTTGAGGCTGAAGTGAGACATGATTGTATCATTGCCACCTCAGCCTGGGAGACAGAGTAAGACCCTGTCTCAGAAAATAAAATAAATTAACGTGAATAATAATACATAAAAGTAAGCCCTCAACAAGGGATGCCAATTGCCATTAGTATTGATTTCCTGCTTATCTTTACTCTCTTCTTCTGGGCTCCTTAAGTTTGATAAAGTAAATTGGCATTGTACTGGACACAAAAATGTTCTATAATATTCTGTGCTTGTGAAGAATAGGAGGCTCGTTGCTCTTTTCAGTTGGGCACTTTGAGCTGCAGTGGTTTGTAGGGCATGTGATTGGGGGGTAGGAATGTTTTCCTTTGAATTCTAAAGAAGCACATTGGGAGGCCCAACCTTTCCTCTGATTATGGCTGTCTAAAGGGTTGAAGAGAAGTTGACTATGTCTCTAAAATTCCATGCAATAGATTTAGGGGTCAGGTAGGCATGAGGAGAAATGGAAGGAGAGGGGCATTGGAAAATCTAGGATGCTGGCTCTTCTTTAAGAGCTACCAGTGAGCGTAATACTCTTCAGCACTGATGCAGAGACAAAGGTGAAGGAAGTCATGATTAAAAGCAGAAAAAAGAAATGAGAAAAGGAAGAAGGAGATGAACTGAGGAGAAGAATTCCCCAGGGGAAAATAGATGGTACCAACCCTCTAGCCTTCTTTCTGTTCTTCCACTGCTCCATAACCTGTCGTCTCTATCTGGAATATTTTTCCTCTTCACTCCCAACTCTTCCTTTCTGACTTGCTTCACCTTCTCCAGGTCTTCTCTCAAACATAACCAAATCAATTTATTTGCTATATGTGCTCATGGTTCCCTATGCTTGCCTCTCAAAGTAGAACAGATCCGGGATTATTAGTATTATTTATTTTTAGAAATAGGATCTCATTCTGTTGCCTAAACAGAATGTTGCCCAGGCTGGAGTGCAACCTGTTGCCCAGGCTGGAGTGCAGTGGCCCAGGCTGGAGTGCAGTGGCATGATCATAGCTCACTGCAGCCTCAAACTCCTGGGCTCAAGTGATCCTCCCGCCTCTGCCTCTTGAGTATCAACAAGGGAATGTTTATGGACTTTCCCTCCCACAGCCTGCCAAAAGGAATCATAGTTAACCAGCACCATATCTCCCTTTTTTCCCCTGCTCTGCTAAAGACGAAAGATGTTCTTGCTGGAAAAGAGACTTGCTAATGTTGGAGCATAGAGAGCGATCCCCCAAAGTATGGTGCTTTGGCATGCTGAGCAGAATTTTTAAAACTTGGAAGGCCTTCGAAGCTGCCTCAGAGGCCAAAACTTACTAACCTTATCTATTTGTTACCCTCCCACCCCACATCCCCTAAAAGCACAGGGAGAGATTTTCTCTCGAATTTTCTTATCTGACTAAGGAAACTTCTTTCTGAAAGAAATGCAATTGTCTTAAGACCCACCTCCCTAGGAATCTCATCAAATAACCAGGAAAGATTAACAAACAGAGAAGAGGCTAAAAGTCATCACCATGTTCAGGCAGACCTTTATCTCCTCTTCTGAGAGCAGCTCAGAGAGATTACCTGGAAGACCTTATCTGCACAGTAAGACAACCTTTGTTCACAATGCAGTTTTGCCCCTCACATTCCTATAAATTGCAGTTTTATAAGACAGTCAGTTACAAGATAATGTCTGCCTCCCCAGTCTATTCATTTTCCCTAAAAAATATGTACTATCCTTGTAAGATTACCTATAGTCCTTCGTTTCCCTCTCCCCTATGAAGAGGGTATTTAAGCTATAGCCATCTGGCCCTTCTTTGAGTCTCATATTTGCAGGGCTCCAGGGTCCTTGTGCAAGTAAATAAGTTTGTATGCCTTTTTCTCCTATTTATCTGTCTATGGTGAGTCATTTCAAAGAACCTTCAGAGAGGGTGGAAGAGAAACCTTCTCTGCCCCTACAGTAAAAAATAAAACAATAAGAGAGATGGACAAAGAGGGAGAAGGCAGAAAGAAAAATCATGGAAACTTAGAATAGAGCAGGGGGTTTTGGTCAGATGGATTGGAGAAAGTAGTATCTGAATAAGATGAGAAGTGAGGGAAAAGATAATAGAAGAAAGGTCACTTTACTAGATATTGCTGTGGGCTTTATATTTAGATTATTTTAATAGCTTTTGATGGGTCTAGATAAGGAATTTGGTTCCCCTTTAATTAATTTTGGCTGTTGAGCTAGGCTCAACTTTATGCAGAGATAGAGCCACATGCTCACTCAGATATATTAGGGTTACAGAGCAGTTTATCACAGTATGTAATTATATGTTTGTGTGATTGTTTGAGTCATGTCTCTGTCCTCCTTAGGCAGTAAACAATGAAGGAGATAGGTCTATTTAAGACATAAATCATATTCCCAGCCCTTAGCACAGCACTTGACACAAAGATGTTCAGTAAGGAGATATTGTGTAAATAAATGCTTCAGAGAAGGCCATGGGTAATGCCTGTTTCTCATTCATTTCTCCTTGCTTTCCTGGCAGAATCCCATCCATATCAATGTTATTGAATGAATCGCCCTCAATGGCTCTCCTTCCTTTGTGTTGACATTTCATCAGCGTCTTTGTGGAGTACTAAATTTTCCTTATAAGATAATTCCCAGTGCAGGATATTTCCTACAGAAGGCCAACCATCAGGCCTGTGGTTAACGCCAGGGCCTAGAATGTTTGTTCTTAATATAGAATGTGAAAATTCTACAATCAGTGGGAAAAATGTATGCTAAGTAGATAAAAATCAGTCCCACTGTAGCATAACTCTCCAGAGAGAAGAGATAAAACTGCTTGATGCTTAAGTTAAAAAAAAAAAAAAGTAACAAAGTGTTTCCAGCTCCAGAAACTGAATTTCATTCCTAATGTAAATACAGAAGCCTCTGGAGAAGAGGATCATATTTGGAAGAGGGAAGGAAAGCAAAGGCAATTCGAGGAAGGGGCTTCTTTATTGCGCTCCAGAGCAAGGAAACAGCCCAAACAGAGACATCAACTATTTCTTTACCAGCAGTCACAAAACTGAGCTTTATCTTGACTTTTTCATCTCCCTCAATCCCGACATTGAATCAGTCACCAAATCCTGATAGTTCTATTGCCTAAATATTTTTTAATCCTCTCTATTTTCCTCCTTTTTCTTCTCCTAGTCCAAGCTGTTCATTCCTTGCTTGGATGACTGCAATGGCCTTCTAATGTCCTCTATTTTCCCTCTGTCTCCCTCCAATTTGTTCTTTTTGTAGCAACCAAGATGGTACTTCTAAAATATAAATTGAGATCCCTTGTTTACAACATGGAAGACTCTCCACTCTTCAAAATTACAATAAACATATATTGTAATATGAATAATGAGAAAGTATAAATGAAGAAGAGAAGATAGCAGACATAGACAACTCTTTTGAGATTCGCTACTATCAGGAGCAGGAGGACTGTGGCTAGCTTACAAGCAAAGTGAGGTCAAATCTTTTTTTTCCTCAATGAGATCACATTTGTAAGCTGGTCTGAATGTAAATTGAGGAAAGAGAATGTGATGGTGCTGGAGAGGGAGAAGATAATCTCAGGAGCAAAATTCTTGATGATATGATGATTTTGGAGCATGCTAGGGCAGGTGTGGCTTTGAGCATGGTGTGTTGGAAAGGGTCCACTTCACTGAAAGTGTACTTAAAAATGGATTCATTCATAAGGGTCTTTCTGCAAGGCAAACAGAATTGTTGTTGTTGTTGTTGTTTTTAAAAGCTGACCTATACTTCTGCATTGAATACAGCTACTGCAGAAGACAGAGGATTTTTTTTTCACAAGCACATGATTCCAATTTTCCATATTCCTATTTGGATTTATGGTAATAATGTTTTTTCTCATAAAGTCAGCTGCCAGGGCATTGACCAGTGCCTTCCATTACCTACTTTCCCTTATATGTTTGGAGAACTCTTATCCTATAGAACACCACTGGAGTATCCTCTTCTTTGCAGTCTTCCTTGATCTCCATGGAGAGAACATGTCATTATGACTTTCAAATCAGGCTGTGTGAACATCACCGTTCGTAACTTATCTTTTGGTCAGAAGTCTCAAACTGACACTCTAGGGGATTCTGGACTTAGTTTGGCCAAGAAAGTGTTTTTAAAACACTGTTTTTAGATAAGTTGCTGACATTTTAAAAATGAAAATTTTATGCCAGATTTTTAAATAATCTAGTAACATATCTGGCATTCTTGAGAAATGAAAGATGGGCAACACTGGGTCCACATTCTCACATGGGAGCAATTGCCTGGAGCAAGTGGGATTCTCACTTTGGACAGAGCATGCACTTGCCAGTGGCCCCAGCCCTCCCACTCCCTGTCTGGTTGTTTTTATCCCTAGTTTACCCCCTCATTTTTTGTTTTTCTTGAGATGGAGTCTCGCTCTGTCACCCAGGCTGGAATGCAGTGGCACAATCTCGGCTCACTGCAAGCTCCACCTGCCGGTTCACGCCATTCTCCTGCCTCAGCCTCCCCAGTAGCTGGGACTACAGGCGCCCACCACCACGCCCAGCTAATTTTTTTTGGTATTTTTAGTAGAGACAAGGTTTCACCATGTTAGCCAAGATGGTCTCAATCTCCTGACCTCGTGATCCACCCTCCTCGGCCTCCCTAAGTGCTGGGATTACAGGCGTGAGCCACCGTGCCTGGCCCACCCCGATTTTTTAACCAGCATAGCCCCTATGAACAAATATGGGGCTGTGAGTTTATGAGCCTTGCCATAGGCCCTACAGGCAGGAACTATGGCCCATTTGCTTAGTGTACCTGGCAGCTAGCACAGTACCAGGCACGTGGTAGGTGCTCAGGACATGTTCTGAATTGAACTCCCAAGCCCCACAGTCTCATTGTGCACATCTGCACACTCCACTCACATAGTTTTTCTGTTCCTAAATGTACCTTATGTGCTCCAAAGCTCAGTGTTCTTACACCTCCCTCATTTCCTCTGCCTAAGGGGCCAGGCCCACCTGGTTAGCTCCTGCTGAGCTTTTATACCTCAGCTCAAATGTTACTTTCTCTGGAGCCTTTCCCAGCACTTCAGGTTAAATCAGATCCTGCTGCAATGTACTTTCAGAGCATTGTAGACATTTTCTTCATTACCATGATTCGTTTGTTACAGGCACTTGAGTGGCTGCTTAACGTTCATTTGCCCCACTCAAGTATGAGCTCCAAGTGGGTATAATGTCACCATGGCCCACCGATGTATCACCATGTCTTGCCTAGCACCAGAGGCATAGGAAACGCGCAAAGTTTACAAGCATGAATGAATAAATGAACGATCGAGTGAATGAGCACTTTCAAGAGGTAGCCCTTAAAGACTGTAGGGGCCAGCGTGTCAGAGGTGTGGACGTCAGCTGTGCTCTGTGGAGCATTGTGGCACACCTGTCTCAGCCTGGCCGACCATTCTAGCATAATTTGAATATAAGTGTGTCTTTTCTGAGATGGTGTGCATCCTGAGAAAAGGGGCCTCTTGTTCAATCTTTATCTTCTGCATCTAATACAGGAAACTATATCAAACACAGAATTCAAAAGAAACATATATTGAATGGCCACACTTTTCAGCAAGTTTCTTTAAAAGGATGGCAGCTTCTCTAACTTATATATCACTCTCTTTCATTACTCAAATCGGGCTATATTCCAAAGCCGAAACAGTGCCCACCACATGTGACTGTGTTGCAGCCATCCTATCACCTCTGGCCATCAAGTTTCCGTTGGCCTACAGCCTATCTGCTGAGTTTTTGAGGCATTTTACAAGTATCATTAACCTCATCATGTTCAATAACTGTAAAAGTAGGAAAATCATTGAGTGTGCATTTAGAAAGACTCATGATCATGATGGAATTTAAAGTGAAACAATTTTACATGAGTAGGTACCTATCTAGTATTTGTGGAATGTTTCACTCCTGTCCAACAGGAAAAGTATCTTATTCATGTGGGGTTAAAAAATATTGATAACAGAAGGCTCAGTTCACACATGCCTCCTCATCAATGAGCCAGGGCACATAATTAGTTGACCAGAAGGCTCGCTGGGATTAATTAGCAGCTGTGTGTGAAAAGCTTGGTTCAGATTTGTAGCACGAAGGATAGGGGTTCTAGAATGGCCACTTCCTGGATTCACAGTTCAATCACGCAGGAGGATCTCAGGGCTTGGCTGTTGAAGTTGCTGGGGGCTCTTGGCTCCTATATGGACCGGTGTGGGCATGTGCACATCCAGCTACCGCCGGCAGAGGGCAGCAGTACGCTGCGCGTGTTCAATTTGCATCCCAGATTAGCAAATCCCCAAGGACCTACATAAGAAAGAGGGTGTCCCAGCACTACCCTAATTCCTTTTCACTGGGTATCAAGACTGATCTGAGTCATTGCAAACACAGACCTTTTACATTATGTTGGACTTTGGCTCATCTGAAATAGAGAAATGAATACACAACTAGGAGCTGCCATCACAGACAGGAAGTAACTTTAATTAAATATTGTGAAAGTTGAAAAGTTTTTACAGCTTGAATTTTTGCAAAAAAAAAAAAAAAATTTAACAATCTCTACAGTAGTTAGGTTCTCTAACAATTGAACTGTACAGTGTGTGTCTATTCAAAAAGTTTTGATAAGAAGGTGAAAGGTTAGTAGATTTAGAGATGACTTCATTTAAGCTGCATCCTAGTACAATGTGAGGCCAGGGCAATGTTATGCAATCCAGTCATCCAGAAGCTGTATTTTTTCCCCCAACACTGAAATCTTAATTTAATTCTTCATTTCATTTTCTTCTTAAAGCCATATTCTGTATTTAGGGGAACATCTTTTATTTGTAAAACTTTTGTGGAGAAGAAAGAGGATCAGAGGGCCAGAATGTCTTTTCATCTAATCAATAGAAATAGAAGCAACAAAACACAAATTATACACATTTTAAAGGCTCTTTGGACTTTCAAGAAGAGTTCTAACCACTGCACATGGCTGACAGATGGGTAGTGTCTGTTGTCAAGGTCTAAGCCGGACACCTTCCCGGCTGACCGTTCATTCCTTCAGAAACAGTTAAGGGGCTCACCAGATAAAATATGGCTTTAACTTGTGTACATCTTCAGGCCAGCGCTTACCACGCAAATTCAGATAACCTTTCTGAGTACCGAGAAGCAATGCGTCCACCTTGCTTACATTTTCCAGTTTTTTTTATTATTATTAGTCATCATTATTATTTCTCACCATGAAAAACAGCTTTCCTCCCTCCCCTACCCTCCCACAACTCCCCTCCCCCACCCACCCCAACCCATAAAAATCGCACTCTTGACAGCCTAGTGAAAACCATTGCAAAATCCATATGGGGGCATGCACAGTTGCAGCATTGTTGTAAATGATTTCTTGCTCTACTAGAAAAAGTTACATTGTCTTAAGGTAACAAAACAGTTCTTTTGTGCTTTTCGATTTCTTTGTTTTTTTTTTTTTCTTTTTTTCTTTTTCTTTTTTCTTAGAATGTTAGTGATGACTGACAGTTCTGGTGCACAGTTACAATGTACAAGTGAAATGAATATGATTTGCATTGTTAAGGCATCCAATCTGCTGGTTTATATTTATGTGAAAGACAGAGGAAATATACAAGCAGACTTAAGAAAGAAAGTATGTTCATTGATTTCTATGAAGTTTCTCCCTAGAATTTAATGCACAAAATGCGTCACTCCAAAGGGAGAGATTCCATGCATATTAATAGAGTAAAACAGCATTAGGGTTGTTTTGTAAGCTTCCAAAGCAAAGGATACATTTTTTTTTAAATCTACTGAACTAAATACTACAAGAATAATATGCTACTATTTTTTTTTTTTTGCCATATATTGGAAAAAACTTCTTAACTTACAAATAATACAAAAATAGACAATGACTTTTGGGTGGAAATTAAAAAAACTGAAGCATGGTTTATAACAATACTAAAAATAACTATAAATGAAATGTTTAAAAATCACATTGAAACAGCTAATACAAGTGTAGGTGACCAAACAAATACGCACTTTTCACGTAGCAAACATACACAATAAAATAAATTGGGGGTGGAAGGAAGAGGAAGAAGGGAAAAGCAATGTACAAATTCGAAAGATAAATACATTATTTATATGGATATTTTACAAAATCCCCTTTAAAACAAAAAGCCTTTTAATTAACTTTGCAAGTATGTGCAAGCTAAAGGTAGTGAGCTTTTTTTCTTTGCAAAATACGCAGTAAAATCTTTTTGTGATATTGAAAAAATGTCTTAAGACATTAAAATGTATAAATAGAACAACAACTTTGGCAAAAAATCACAAAAAAAAAATCTACAGTATTTATAACTACATACAAAAACACAAGAGCAAAGAAAAAAATATCAGGCAAATGCATCCTCAGAGCTTTGCTGCATCTTTGCTATTAATTCTTATTTTTAAGAACACTTCCCAGATAATGAGAGCAAAAATTCCCATAGAACAGAAAACTATGTTTTGGAGGTCTCAACCTTCTTTTCCTTTCTCCACCCCCGGTTCCCTTTAACTCTTAATTCCAAAGCACTTAACCTGTTGTTTCAATCTATTATGTTACAAATGGTAAGGGTCGACTGATAGAGGCAGTATCTGGAATGGGAAAATCGAAAATACCTGCCACGTTGCTTTTATCAACTTTTGGAAGATAGGTATGAAGTCTGCATTTAGGACGAGTAAACTTTAAACTTGCAAATGGGGGAGCGTACGTGAGGTTTTGGCTTGTTAACTGGAGGGCAGAGTGTGGAATTCTGTGCCTGGACCCTGTTCCATGAAGTCTCAAAGGAGATTCTCACACAGTATGTGTGCCACCAAGCTCTCGAGAGGCCATCGGCTTCAGAAGAAACTGACTTAAGTAAAAGGAGAGAATGAGATCAGATTTAAATATGCAGTTTTAACAATCTGTCTAGAGGCACTGGATTTTCGAGTAGAGGGAAAAATGTGATCACTTACATCGCGTTTTAACTTTCCAGGCTGCATTTATTTACACAGTTGCTTAAGACAACAATACAAAAGAGATAAATAAGCTTGCACTGCTAAGGGGTGGCATGTTAAGTTAGATATTGAAAATGCACTGTCTGAGCTAACTACCATTTGATATGCTTTAAGGCGCAAAAGCCGACCCTTAGTTTTTCTAAAAAATCTAACTGGCATTCCTATTCTGTCCCATACAAGCTTTTTTTTTTTTCCTTTTTTTCTTTTTTTTTTTTTTTACTTTTTTGTAAATATCACCACTTCATTCTTCCTTTACACAGCTTTAAAAACATCATAAATTAAAACATGGAGTCTTATTTATAGTGTCCCTTGTATAGAGCTTTACGGTTTATAAAAGACAAATGATTGCAGAATTAAGCTTAAAAAAAAAAAAGAAAAAGAAAAAGTGGATTTGCTTTTGTCAATACAGAATAAATATATCCCCCAAATACTTGGGAGGTACAACTTTAACCAACACCCTGCACTTGCAGATCCCTCTTCCAATTTCAGTATTTGCAAGGTCGGTGATTTTGTTTGTTTAAAAATCTGCAGTTATTGTGATTCCTCTTAAAAAGGCCTGAGTTAAAAGTTCCACTCTGGGACTTGTATCAGATTACTCTCTGTAGCAGAATCCAACCTCTTCATTAATACAATTCTTCAAGGCAATTCTTTCACATAGGAGGAACAATCATGCCAGATATCGCTATGAAAGAAAAGACAGAAGTCAATGGTTTCTTTGCGTTCAAACTTCTCACTGAGAAAAATAATGAAGACTAAAAAAAAAAAAACACCCACACACAACTATGTTGTTCGACTATTAGCCACAAATTTGCTCTCATCTTCTCTGGAATGAATTTTCGTTATAAAATATACATGTGCTTTATTAAAAATTATAATAAATCAGCATGGGTATGTGTCTTTAACAGAACAAAATATCCTAAACATCTCTCCAAATCTGATTTCAATTTTAAGGCATAACTGGAAAGTTGCATAGTTTGAATACCACTGGGAAAGTTGCAGCTTCGAACCTTGCAAAATAGTGAGAATTTTCACTTTGTCACTCTTTTTTCCCTCCCCTTCACACCCAAAATATA
The DNA here is from genome assembly GCF_000001405.40 of Homo sapiens. Lineage (NCBI taxonomy): Eukaryota > Metazoa > Chordata > Mammalia > Primates > Hominidae > Homo > Homo sapiens. The sequence goes on from NC_000005.10 coordinate 158,699,534, forward strand.
AAGAAGTGGTCCATCCAAACTGCAAGCAGTTTCTACAAAAAACTTGGCATTCCCTATCCTCTGTATTAGCACAAAAACTAAGCCACAGAGCAGAAATCTTGAGTGCCTTTGCTTAGGTCCTTAAGCTGGGAGAAGGAAATGCCAGCTACAGCAGGCCTTGTTCACTGGGAACATAAAGTTGGGAGAAAGCATAGCTGGGAGGAGAAGACAGGTTTGCATGAAACTGCAGAATGTCTTCCATATCACGGCTTCACTCAACGTTTCGGGAATGATCTGACCATATTTCCTAGAAAACTGTAGCCTGGGGAAGCTGGAGTGAGATCCTGGGAAAAAAGAAGCCTGTTTGAGGTAACCAAAAATTGTTGAAAGCATTCAAAGCTAGGAGGTCGCAGATAGTGGTATTTAGAGAACACAGAATCAGATAGGCCTGAGTCCCACCTCTGGCTTTTCTGCTGTGAAGCTCAGCTTCTGTAGCTAGAATCACAGCAACACTTAGGGTTATTGGAGAGGTGAATAAAATGACACATGCAAAGTGCTTAGCCTGGGTTCAGCTCCTAGTGAGGACCTGATAGACGTTAGCTGCTGGGATTTTTAACCCATCACTTCTGCTACTAAACTAGCTGTGTGACCTTGTGTTAATTGCTTAACTTTTCTGAGGTGTATTTGCTCTTATGTCAAATAGGCACCATCCCATGTGGCACACTTTGTGTGATTGCTGGGAAGAATAAAAGGATAACTAAGAAAATTAAAACAGGGTGGCACCTTTGAAACATGTCAAAGTGAGAGAGATGCTGACATTACAAGCAAGGGGCAGCCGTCTTTGGCTCCCAATCACGGTTAAGTGTCTTGTCAGGCAGAGAGAGTCATTGCTTTCTTTTTATGGCAAATCTAAACGTAAATTAATTAGTGTTCTTGTCAGTGATGACTGTGTCTAGGAAGTGGCCCTCTTAGTTTACTATTCTGGAAGAATGTGCCTTTAAAAAAAAAAAAAAAAGCGAACCCCAGTACCACAAATCCTGCAAGTGGACACAGGGAGGCCACCCTGGGCTCTTAGCCCCAAGACCCCCACGTTCCTCCGGCTTCCCCACCCCCACCCCTGGTATTTTAGATTCAATTAAAATGAAACCCAAAAAGTATTTTGCCAAACACTTTTTCCGTTAATTTTTAAACCCATCTGTATTCACAAGGAAATTCAATCCACATGTTTCTGATTCATTTACACGTAAATCATCCAAATGTTGTTTTGCAAGAGCCTTTTTGCAGCCCAAAAGCTCCTGGAGTCCTTTCTGTAAGCCCTCATAAGCCTTTTTTTCTTAGAAACAGGAAGTTGTCTTTTGCCAAACGCAGACCAACTTAAACCCCCAAAGACTTGAGATCAGTTGGAAATGCAGTCCCCCTAAGATTCAAGTGAGCCCTAGGTTTGACTGAAACCAGGAGCTCAGTATTTCAATCCAAGCCTTAACTGGAGAATTCGAGATGCTATCACTCCAAAGGCAAGGAGGCGCAGGGGAGTCTTTGCTGTGTGACAGCCCAGCATGGCTCTGCCTCCCCAAGGATCTTTTCATCTGGGCTGGAGGTGGGTCCAGGCACCTTTATTAAAGACAGCGGGAGTTTTAAGCCTGTGGCAAAAGGTGCAAGTCTACTTTCGCTTTCCACCAAAATCTATTCTGCGTGCCTGGCATTAAAGAGCAGTTCCCTATAGTATAGTCACACAACTCAGGCAGTATCAATATGATTCAAAGCAAAGGAAAAAGCTAATTTGGTTGGTGGGTCCAGCCAACATTTATTAGCTGGTCTGTGAAAACATCCCATTTGAATGGCCAGAATTAAAAAAAAAAAAAAAATCTAAGCAGGCTTTTGGTACCCAAATAGTGTGTTAGATCAACTAGATTAAGCCTCCACTTAGGGCCACATTAAAAGTTCTAAAGCAAAGCTAACTGATGTACCAGTTCATAGTTAACAGCGCTTTTTATTTTGGACCATTGGGGCTGCAAACTCCAGCATCCCAAGAGCCCAGGCTGCGAACAGCAGTGAGTGAATCCCCTGGGTGCGTAAGTGAGGATGGAGGTGATGATGCCAAGGGCATGCCTGGGCAGTGACTCAGCTCCCACCAAATGCCACTGGGCAGGAATGCCTGCTCACAGCCACTGATCTTCTCAAATGTTTCAAGAGAAGCTAGAGATTTAGACTTTGTTTTTTTAAAAAAAGAAATAGCCAAGTTTATACATGATAGCACAAAATTGAAATTAAAAACAAATATATGGGTCTAGGGGGTGGGTTTGGCCCACTCCTACTTTCCTACCTCGCCTTCATCAGCCGACAGACTTCTCTGAGAGTCTAATGGGAGCTATGGAACCTCTCTTCAAAAGAGGTTGTGATGTCTTGGCACACAGTGCTGAGTATCCTCATGGGGAATCTTCATGTACCCTACTTGGGCAAGACAGCATGCCACAGCATTTCTGGAACATTCTAAGGCCCATGTTGCCTACACCCAGAATTTTGCATGTAATATCAAAGCATTACTGTTCTCTAAATCCCAATCATGACTTCCTAAACTCCAAGGGCAGAACCCTTGCGGTTGAGTAAATTATGGGAAAAGATCCCTGCCTGTGGCCTCTGAGCCTAGATACCTCCAAAGAGGCCCTTTTAATAGAGAAACTCCACTGCAAAACTGCCTGAAGATCTTGAGTTTTAGGAGTTGTTTTTCTTATATCTGTGCTGCAATCTGAAGATTATGTGGGTGAGAGGGATGGGTGTCTGGAGCTTGGAATGTTCCAGCAATGCCATTGGCATGCTAACTTGCCCAAGTGGAGTGCATAAAGATTCCCATGAGGACACCACCCTCTCAGCACCATGTGCCAAGACATCACAAGACCATGGTGGCTCTGCCATTTTCCCCAGCAGCTGGATGATCATGTTCTCTGACAGAAGCTCAGAAAACTATTGCTTTGAGAGGCAATGCATTTTTCATTACCGTTTCCATATTTTTGATAAAAACAAAGACAAAACAAAGTTCTGCAGAGCTGGGAGGGTTTGGAGTGAGAGGGTGGAATGTGGTCGTACCCAAACCACCACATGTGTAAGAATTATGAGCTAATCACTCAGGAGGCTGAGGCAGGAGAATGGCATGAACCTGGGAGGCAGAGCTTGCAGTGAGCCGAGATCGCGCCACTGCACTCCAGCCTGGGCTACAGAGGGAGACTCCTTCTCAAAAAAAAAAAAAAAAAAAAAAAAAAAAAAAAGAATTATGAGCTAATCAGGAACAGGGGGGTAAGTGAGTGGGTAAATCTTGCACCGACTGAATATGTGCATGGAAAAAATGACGATTCCATAGGATTTGGTCCTGGGCTGCATGATATCTAGGGTTGAGAAGAGCCAGCCTGAGCTTCAGCAAGGTGGAAAAGAAAAAACATCAGTATATGGATACTACTTTTGTGAAATTACTCTGGCCTTTTTGTTTTTAATTTTTCATGCGTAGACTGTCCAGGACATGGCTAAGGTTTAGAATCACTACATCAGCGGGGGTTCCAATGGCATGTAACAGCCTTCTTGGGGATGCCTCTGTCTTGAATAAATGAAGTCCTCTGAGGCCTAAATTGCCTGAAACCCAAGCTCTAAGCAGCATAAGCTTCAGGAGAAAGGAGAGGACATCTCCATGGACAAAGACTGAGCATAGTTGGTGACTCAAGTCTTTGGCTCTGGAAAACAGACACAGTTAGGTAGTCTGGGACCAGGATTTATCAATTACTTCACCTGCATAAGAATAGAAAGAGGTATCTCTGCATTTTTCTCTTTAAATCCAAAATATAGTTGCATTTTCCAAAGTTTTTCATATGACATTAAGTGTTCTTAACATGCAGAAAAGGACTCTGTAGGCAAACAAGTTTGCCAAACTAAATGAAATAGTCATTTTTATTTAACTGCAGGATGCCCCAGAGACTTTAATTGTGGATCTCCAAGATAGTGATCCAGGGAGCACCACATTCTAAATGTTTTTGACTACCATATTTTTATTTTTTAACAGGACATTTTGTGAGGCTCCAGAAGTTGAGACTAGAGTTGCTTTTTCAAAAAAAAAAAAAAAAAACCCTCAGATATATGGTAACTTTTCAAACGTTTTATCTACCTGGGAGACAAAGCCAGCTGGAATCATGATAGAATCTGTGAATCCTACTGGTCACCGCATGTTATCCAGGACATGTCTGTCTCTGCTTCTTGGCTAAGGTTGTCCTCAGTCTTTCTGCTGAAAGTGCCCCTTGCCCCCATCTCCCTGGCCCTGAATCCCACTTGTTCCTCCTTGAGCCTGTTCTGAATTCTCCTTCATCTTTCCTTCCTCTGTACTTCCACAGCTGGGTGCCCAGCCTTTCCCAGACAGATCTTCCTTATTTACTTTGGTGTCATGTCTCCCCTAATACAGGGAAAGATTTTGAGGGCAGGATTTTGTAGCCCTCTTGTGCCTAACCTAGTGACTTGAATATAGAAATGTAATATAGCATAGGGGCTTAACATAGTCCAGTCAATCTGTCTGGGCTTAAAGCCCAGGCTTCCTTGTTTGCTAGTTGTGTAAATGGGGACAAGCCACCTTAGCTTCAGTCTCAGTTTCTGCATCTGTATAACAGGGACAACAGACAAGCTACCTTAAGGGTGGTTGGGAGCCAGGCTGGGAATAAGCCCTCCTAGTCAGTGGCTGTGTTCACCATTATCACCACCATGTGACATGGCCGTGCTTAGTTCTTGGGGAATAAATATGCGTGTAGTAACCGGAGGAGACTAAGGGAGTGCTGCTGGGGAAGAGGTCTTTTAGGAGTCGGCTTTAAAAAACAGAACCATGCACAGTTAACAGAGTGGTAGTTGGAGGTAAATAGGCCTTGAAAACACTTAAATGGCCTAAATGTGGCACCTCTAATCTTGTTGACATGGGCAATTTGCTTAACCAAGTCTTCCTAGTCACTTAACCTGTCTTAATGATCACAATTCTGAACTAGGTGGGTCCCAATGAAGTAGGTGCTACTGTAACATTGAAAAGGAAAAACGTGGAATAGAACACTTCAGGGATCCTTACACCAATTCCATAACCTGCCTTCATCCTTTTTTTCTTTTTTTTTTTTATGGTAGAAATAGTTTGGAAAGTTAAAGATGAAGTAATTCTCTGAATGTCACCTTTCTCAGGGAAAACTTTTGTGGCTCAAGCAAGAGTGCCCTGAAAAACTGGTGCCCACCTAAGGCTGGGTCCTCTTTGCCCTGCTGGAGATTGTGTGCAGAGGCTAAAGAGGCAAGTCCCAGAGTGTGGGCCCCACCTGCCAGCACAGCACCTGGGGGTGCAGTGGGCAGAAAGAAGAGCTTAAAGTGAGATGTTTACATTAATTTGACTTTAATTTCTCCATCCGTATGTCCATCACTGACATCTCAAAAGTAGGGATATTTGGTATATGACAGTACGAGCAAACCAAAAACCATTTTCTTTCTTTCTGTCTTTCTTTTTGAAATAGTCTTGCTCTGGAGTGCAGTGGCACGATCTCAGCTCACTGCAACCTGTCTCCCAGGTTCAAGTGATTCTCCTCCCTCAGTCATCCTAGTAGCTAGAACTACAGGCTGCACCACCAGGCCCGGCTAATTTTTGTATTTTTAGTAGAGACGAGGTTTCACCATGTTGGCCAGGCTGGTCTCAAAGACCTGACCTCAGGTGATCCACCTGCCTCAGCCTCCCAAAGTGCTGAGACTACAGGTGTGAACCACCACGCCCAGTCCATTCTTTTTATAGTTGTTTTATCATGCTCAATAGTCAGGGCATGGGATAGGGGAAAATCCAAAAAAGTCTCCTTGACATTTGTTCAATCAGAAGGAAAGGGCAGTGTCATCCACAACAGTGAATCCAGCACAAGGTGTGTCCCTGAATCAGACCTCAAACCTCCCACACTGTGGCCCTGTGTTAGGAAAGGTGACAGAGAGGCACAGACTCAGCAGTTATTCAGAGAAATGGGGACAGTCTCTGTACTTTTGGGATCTGTAATTGGGTAAGAATTGAGTTGGAAAATCCCTGGGAGGACAAATGCACAAACTTTGTATATATCCCTGTCCTGAAGCCATTTCATCATGACTTAAACAGGCACATACCCTCATCCAGATCCTGGCTTTCAGTTGATAACCAGATCTCCTGAAACCCAGGAAGTCATAAGATCTGAGCCCAGCCCCTGTTTCCAACCACTTCCTGCTCCTTCCTAGGACCACAGGGCATGAGAAGACATCGGGCCTCCTGGGAGCTGCCCACTTCTGTCACTGTTGGCCTATGATAGAGCCACTGACCTTCCAATAGTGGGGGCCTTTTCTTCTCCAGTGCTTCCCGTCAACTGCTGATTATAAACCCCATCATATCTTGTTTCTGATGTCAAATCTATGTTTAGCAAGGGCTGAGATTGGCAGCTCAAGAATGGTAAATTTCTGCTTTCCATATGTATGATCATTATTTAAACCTATTATAAGTTATATTCGCTCAAGCATTATATCCCTAGTTTGCCAGCTGGAGGTGTACTGAGGGTGACAAAGCATTATTTTTAGCTGAAAGAGAATGAGATTTGCAGGAATGGGTGGCTCTACTTTGTGGAGGTGGGCATTTTCTATCATGAGTAATATTGCCTGAAATGCAGTTGCACAGGCACGCTTTTTTTTTTTTTTTCCTCTTTCCTCTAAGAAGATGGATTTGCCACTGTATGTTAGAGTGGGGAAGAGCGGCGTGCTCTGTGGGGCGCTGAGTCTGGGCTGTGCTGGGCAGATTTGCAAGCAAGGTTCTGAGGAGTATTTTGAAGAGTCCTCCTGGAGGCAGAAAGACAACGTGATCGGGTGCTCAGGCTCTGGGGTCACATGGCTTGTGTTCCAGTTTAGCTGTACTATTTATTAGCCATGTGACCTGGATCAAATTAAGCCTCAAGTTTCCCATCTGTATAATGGGACTAGTGCTGACATCATACGGTCTTCAGGAGAATCACTATATGCTCATCACAGTGTAAAGCATCCAGCACACAGTATGTGTAGACAAGTAGAAATATGCATGTACTTGTACATAAGAAACAGGGCTGAGATATCCCAGACATGTGCACTGCCTTCCTCACCCCTCCCTGACTTCCAGGCTGACCTCCATCAGTGAGATGCCAGCCACCAAGGGAAGACACTGTGGGAAACTTTGTATGGCTGGGCTTAAGGGCACAGACTCTGATGGGGCTTACATTCATCTCCACCGTTTAACCGACTATGTCTGTGGTCAGGTATTTACCCTCTTTAAGCTTCCATTTTATCATTTGCACAATGAAGACCATAATGGCCCTCATACTTTAGGAAGATGTGAGGATTAAATGGTATAAAATCTGCTCCATGCATAGGACAGCCCCAGGTACACTGTTCAGTGCTCAATAAATGGTGGTTGACTAGTTTACTAATCTTATCTCCCTACCAGCTGCCTTAGGAACCCTGGCTATGTCTCTTTTAGCACCTCTGAATAATAAAGTATTTAGGAGATGAATGTTTCAGTCTGAATTTGAAGCCAGCTTCTGCCATGTATCAGCTGTTAAAAGTCAGGCAATTTCATAACCTCTCTAACCTTTAGTTTTCTCATCTGTCAAATAGCAGATATGAGTACCTACCACACAATCCTGCTGGGGGCAATGAATGAGGTTGTGCAGGTCTCAACATATGACACACAACAGAGTGCTAAGCTCATAAGAAAAATGTAAGAAATGGTGTGCTCAGTTTTAAAAGGTGGGTAACCTTTTATTCTTAATGAAAAGGTCATCTCAACTCTTAGCAACTATTTTATTTTCCAAATGCAATGGTGGGAAAGCGATTGAACAATTTTAATATGAATCAGAATACTCTAGTGGTGTTCTGGGGTTTCTTAATCCCAGTAGGAAGTCTTTGGCCTTTGGTCTATGATGATCTAACTTCAGGGCTCTGATCAAGTTATGGCTCACCCCCTCCCTGTTATCAGCCCCACACACGTTCACTCTGACACAGGCAACAGGAAGGGAAGGTTGAGTGACCTACTTCAGGAGAAGGCCAGTCCCGGGAGAGACCCTGCACTGGAGAACTTGCTAGAGTCCACAAAAGACTGATCTGATAATGGCGACCACAAGGAGTGAAAGAGGAGAAAAGAGAAATGATGCTGTTAGTCAGTAGAAACAGTATTCCCAAGCAAATCCCGGGCCTGAGCAGAATTGCTGAAGTTGGAAAGAGGACTTCTTGAGCACCTCCAGCAGAGGAGAGATGAGTATGGCCAAGGGCCAAGGGCCAGGGTTGAGGAGAGCAAATACAAAGGAACAGAAGAGATGAGGGCAGAGAGAATCAGGCAGGGCCCAAGGCTGATACCCTCAGCAATGGTGATGCATCTGCTTCAGGCCCTGGGAGGGTGAAGTCAGGGCATTGAATCTGGATTGGCAGGTGGGGCCTGGGGCTTACCTTGCAGGCTGTTCCCGTTGGTGCTGGTGCAGGTGGGAGGTGGGGAGGTCTGGGGTCTGACGACTGGTGCGAAAGCACTCTTCTGTTTCACGGCTGAGACCATGTTGGCTGGTGAGAAGGAGAAGATGCCCGAGGAGCTGCTGCAGTTGGAGGGGAGGCTTGTGGAGGAGGCCATGGTGGGGCTGGATGGCACTACTGAGAGGGGCAATGAGAAAGGAGAAATCAGTGCCTTTCATGGCATCCTGAAGCAAAGAAGCTCAGATCCATCCCTCACCCAGCCACCTTGCTCTGCCCTGCTCAGACGATGCTTCCAGCACAAACCTTCCCTGAATTCGCAGGCTCTCATCCACTTTCACTATACAGAACTTAGCACGTGCTACCTTTCATTACTGGAGATCTTTTATGTGTTTATTGTGGGGCCACTGTGTGCCAGGCAGTGTGCTAGGCACTAGGGTCATCAGCAGCAATTGTCATTAAGGGAAAATGACCCCTGGTCATCAGCCCAAGGCACTAACCAATCCAAATGCACCGAGTGCCTTTATGGGGCAGAACACAGAGCCACCATCCTCAGAGTATTCCAGGCCAGGAAACAAAAGTGCAACACCCTCTTATGAGGGATAGAGTAGCACAAAACAGTGAGAAAGGTGAACATAGCCATCTCAGTGGAGGCAGGGAAGGGAAATCAGAGAAGACTTCATAGAAGAGGTATCAGGGGATGCATCCCAGGTAGAGCCTAAACTAAAGTTCTAGGAAAGAGGCTGGGGTAGGGGGAACAGGAAGAAGCCAGCTTGAGAGGATGGCCACCAGACTGCCACATGCAGCATTTGTGAAAAATGCAGAACTCTACAAGTTCCAAATTCTTTATAACCGCCATGGGATATACATGAATGTTTGGGAATTAATAAGCAGTAGGATCAGAGCCTTACATAAATACTCACAGTTTGGTAGTAGTAGGGATGCAGATAACCAATGATGGGAAAACTCTGGCAACTCAGAGAAAACCTAGCAGCTTGGGGATATGAAAGAGCTCGGTAGACGTACATTCTCTACCGACCATGATCCTCTTGGCCTGGCCTCTCATCTTTTGTTCCAGGTTAATAATCTCTCGGTTACTTTAGGAGACAGAGATTTCACATACGCTAAGTCAAGACTAATATTTTCATACACTCGCTTTCTATTTCCTCCATTTCCTGCAGGAAAGTATGTATCCTAGATATTTCTTCTATGTTATTATTTTTTCACACAACTTAATAAAACATCAGATATTGTTTTATCATTCACAAGAATCTTCACGTCTTTTTCATCTTGTCATGGGCAATGCAACCTTAAGTCGGGGCCTATCACATATATTTTTTTTTTTTTACAACCGAGGAAGTGAAGCAAGCTGGGACTCAGAAAGTAGTGTAGCAGCTAGCCCAAGGGCCATAGCTAGAATGCGCTGAAGCAAGGAATCACGCCCAAATTTGGAGCTCTTTCTGCTAAGCTACCCTGCAAAGGAAACAGATCTCCAGGGGGAAAAGCCTCGTTCCCATGAGCCCACCAGAGTCAAAGGAGCTGTTTGGGTGGCCTTATCCTTTGCAAAGTGGGAATCCAATTGGTCATAGGCAACAATTGCCATCAGGGGAAAATGACCCCTTCTAATCAGTCCAAGGCACTACCCAATCCACACGCACTGAGTGCTTTATGGGGCAGAATGCAGAGCCACCATCCTCAGAGTTTTCACAAACATTTTCTAAACTGTACTTTTTCTTTTAATGAGGCCAGCATTTTTATACATCTCTTAGGATTTGTAACTGTGAAAATACGCTCAATAATAACACCCATTTAAATTGCAAAACTCCTGCACTGGAGGTTTGATTTTTAAATATTCGTAGACTTGAAATCCTGCTGGTTCACTGAGGAAGGCAATTAATCTCATTGGCAAATGTGATCATTATGTGTATTTAGAGGTGGGGAGTTTTGGGGTGGGGGGCCAGTTAACAGAGGTAGAGGTAAAATATAGTCAAGCAGCTCCATTTGTTATAACATTATTAGTTATCAGCCACCACACCAGAAAGTGTGTTCACCAGTGGAATGTCTTATTTTTTTATTCCATTGGAATTTTTCAACATGAGTGCTTTATGAATAATTAAATATTATGGAGGCAAAAATTCAAATCAACTGGGCTTTGTGTTTATTGTTTTATTTGCATTTGTGCAGATAAAGCCGTCCCATCTGAGAGCATATTTGAGAATTTAATACTATGTTTGTGAGCACTGAGAAAATCAATTAATGGAAATTAAATGTTCAAAGTTTCACAGTCTGACAGATGCAATCTCAGGCTGAAGCGGCTGAGTGTCTGCACAGGCTTGGGGAGGAGAGCATTCCAAGCCCCTAAATTGAATTGCTACCATATAGCAATTAGTTTATTGATTTAATTAAGAATGCCATCTTTTAATTTTCAGGTCATGATCGAAACATTTTCTGACTGAATAAATGGGAGAACACTGAAATTATAGATCTCTATGAGAAACAATCTTTTGATAAATCAAAATCTAATGTGAAACTGATCCTAAACATTGACTTGTGAGTAGACAGACATAATATATGCAGATTATTTGGGGAGTTGTAAATGTTCAACAAACTGCTGATTCCAAACTAAGATGAAATGTGTAATTTTGTGGACCTTGAGCAGAAAAATTCACCCAGAAAGTAAAAGTCTGTAAGTACATTTTCAGAAATAACTTCTCTTACAGGGCAAGAATGATCTTTCCTCTTTCAAAGAACTAGAACAATCCATACTTTCACTATGAGACAGGGCATCATTTGCTGTATTTTTAGCCAAGACTCCTTAAGAAATCATGAATATTCTTTAATTTAATGGTACACCTATCTATCCTTCCACAAATATCTAAGAGTTTGGCCACATTTTACACATCAGAAGAGTCACTCGCAATGTCCAAGATGAACTTCAAAGTCAGAGCGAGATCAAGAGATTGTGAGAACACGGGTTATGACATTTTATAGATAAGGAGGCCAGTTCTCTGAGGTTCTTTAGAAGCAATATAAATGTACCAAAATGTTTTTGTAGGCAAACTTCTTTAAGGCAGAGACAAGGCACCAAAGAACGTTTTTTTATGTGTATATGGTTTTCTTTTCCTTTTTTTTAATCTTGCCAGATTTCTGGAAAAGTGTTTTGATTTGTTGTTGTTTTAAATATACACCAAACACAAACAAAGGGGAAAAATCCAAGCATTAAAAAATAAAGGAGTCATATGTGTGTTCACCAGAGGAATGTCTTATTTTTTTTTATTCCATTGGAATTTTTCAACATGAGTGCTTTATGAATAATTATGAAGGGAGAGAAGTTAGGTTTTAGACTATTGTTACTATGTTATACCACCACCACCACGTTATTATCTTTGCATCACTATGATTATTAGATTTACTAAATGTGCCTCTATCCATGTGTCCGGCATCAGGACAAGCTCACTGTATGCGCTATCTTCTCTATGTCTCACAACACTGGATGGGGTGGGTGCTAGTTCCTTCCCAATTTTACAGATGAGAAAATTGAGGCTTGGAGAGGAAATGAACTTGATTCCTTTTATGTAGCTAAAATAATCAGGTGAAACAAGACGAAACTAATAGATGTTTTGGGATTAAGTAGATGACAAATATGGTGTCCTCATTGTTTATGGGGGTTTTTTTGTTTGCTTTTTTTTTTTCTTTGAGACGGAGTCTTGCTCTGTCACCCAGGCACTGGAGTGCAGTGGCACAATCATGGCTCACTGTAACCTTGAACTCCTGGGCTCAAGCAAACCTCCTGCCTCAGTTTCCTGAGTAGCTGGTGGTAACTGGTAGAAGTGGGAGTTAGTAACTGGGAGAAGCAGGAGTCAACCCGTCTTCATCTAACTCAGAGCATGGGTTCCTGAAGCGACTTCATACAGCTGCTTTGGATGGTAGCAACATTCTGACTGTTAGGGAGACTTTGTAGGAAGGAAGGTGAGCACTGGAGAGCGGAGATTCCTGCTGGAGACGATGGTGCCTTTAGCACCATCACCCAGGGGAGTGCCTTACAGGAGGGAAAGATGGGGGGCCTCAGACCGAGAAGCCCTGCCCACTGGGCCACATGGCATGATGCCAAGTTCTTCTAGCGAAACGTGCAGGAACGCAGGATATGCATCTCTACTTACTGGCATAGGGGGAGTTGGCAGCTGAGCCGTTGAGGAAGGTGGGGGAGCCGCCCAAATTGGACATTGCGGCAGAGCCGTATCCGTTCATGCTCGTGGTGACGGAGTTATAGTTGGTCTGCTGGGGAGTGGTGCTCGGCACGTACCCGTGTGGTGATACGCTGCTTGAGTTGCGGGTGAAACCTGAGGGGCGGGGGCAAAACCGGAGGTGAGGGTGGCATTCAGATGGTGGCAATCCTGGAAGACTCGGGGAAAGGAAGGTCTCTGTTTCTGGCCCCGTCGCCGCAACCCAGAGGGAAGGGATTGGGTGATTCATGTGCGTGGGTTGGTGGTGCTAGCTCTGTGATTAAAATGGGAAGCGAGCAAAAGACACATTTCTTAGGAGATCATAAATACTTAGCAGGGCCGTGAGAAATGGCAATGCTGGGCCTATAAATTATCATTTTAGAGCAGAAATAAATCCCGATCTAAGAGATGTACCCTGGAGTTAACAGGTTCCTATTCCCTGGGCAAGAATGATGTGCTTTGGGCCCTCAAAACTTTAATTCCATCCCTCTCTGTGATCTGTCATTCATGGTTTATGGTGAAAAGTCAAATGTAGAGAGATGGCTAAATGCATGCATCCTTTCTAGCCCTCTATATTAGATTACCCGAATGATAGCTAGGACCAATATTGTACAATAATATCTTATACACATAAACTAAGAATCTCCCTTTTGGGATGAAAATAATTTTTTAATGTAAAAATTGTTCATGACCAATAAATGAGGAGATGGGGTGCTTAAGGTTGGGGAGGGAAGAGAAAAGCAAGCTTCTGACCCTGATTGGTGGCTTGTGATGCCTCGGAGACATTCACGGCCAGTTGTCCACTGAACGAATTCACGCCCATCATCCCTGCGTGGACCGAGGTGTTAGCAAGGGCCGGGAGTTGGTTGTGGTTGCGGGGAACACTGTACAGGGCCTCGGCAATGTCGGCCGCTCTCTTCAGAATGATTTCCTGAAAAGTCAAAGGAATATCCCCTTCAGCTGCCCCCAGTCATATTCCCAATAATACCATTTTTTCGGTGCCAGGTACCGTGCTCAGGGTTTTCAATGGTCAGCTGCATTAACTTCTGTGACCCTCATGACAAACCTGTTATATTAGTCTCACCATCATCATGCCTGTATCCGAAATGGGGAAACTGAGGCTCAGAAAGTCAAAAACCTCACCGAAGTACACTCACCTATTTAAGAACAGAGCTGAGATTCATAAGCCCATTTGTCTGACTTTGAAAGTCCATTATCTTAACTATACCTTCATACTACCCTACAGTCCATACAGGACAGCACCATGGGGTTTTCCATCCTTCCCAATAACATGTAGGAAGTCTGAGGTTACCCAGGGGGAGAGGAAGAGAGGCTGCAATTCACCTCCCCTATTGATGTTAAGGGAAGGCTGTAGATGACTACCTGCATTACTGAGTATTAATGGGACTGTGTCCCCCAGACATTGACTCAGGCTACATGAAAAAGGAGTGAATGGTTTGTCAGACTCAGTTTCCTAAGCTATGTGAATCTTATACATGGAGTTCTATGAAACAGAAGCAGACAATACTATTCAGGCCTTGCTATACTTTTTGGAGAAAAAATTAAACCCTCTTTCTCTTCCTAAATTTGCTTGAAAACCTGAGAGAAATAAAATAAAGCACCAGTAACTCTCCTCTTCAATTAGGAAGTATGTTCCCACTAAAGATTAGTTTTAAATGGAGTACCTTTTCTCATACAGAAAATGATTCAGTGGAAAGGGCAATAAAAGGTTTACAAAAGAGGATTGAATCATCTTGCAACATGTTATATCTGAATTACTTATACTCTTAACTCATGCACATGGCTTTTATATTGTTTGTGCTTTCTCATTACGATGAGGAATCTGAGATCTTTAATTGCATGTGGCAGTCCACACAGGCTAGACACCCACAGCGCTCACCTGGTTGTTGTGTGGCATCCCATACAGTGCTTCTACCAGATCCGCAGCCCTTTTGAGTATTACTTCCTGTCAAGAGAAAAGCAGATACAATCCTTTGAGTGAAGGCAGGTTGTCGTTATCTTTTGACATGATCACATTCCAGTCCCTCTGGCCATACTTTGCCAAGGCACTGCTATAAAGGCCGTAGCTTGGGGAACCCCAGAAGGGTGTTAAATCACCAATTTATCCCTGTTCACATACACACTTAATTGAGTCAAAAGGTGAGCATCATTGGTACTGCGAGATAAAATACATCACTCAATAGTCTGCCATAGGCATGATAAAGCACTCATATGTTTATTGCTGAATACAATTCCTAGGTCATTTACTAGATTACTACAATTGATGTCATTCAGTCGTGGTATGAATCCCTAAGATGTGTTTATTTTGCACTTAATTGCTTATTCCAGTAACCATGACCTTATCAGACAGGTCATTTTCGAGGGATTTCCAATCAATCTTCAGCTACTAGAAGCATGTAGTATTAAACTTCTTTTGTTTATCTCTCTTGGATGGTAGAGACATAATATAAGAGGGTGATGTAGGAAACCCACATACTGAGGCAATGCACTGTTTGTCAAAAACTCTTATGAAAGGACTCTACTGTCCTCAGAGGCCCCCTCTGCACCAATTTTCATTACTGGCAGTATCTATTTCTTTAATAGCAATTATTTGCTATTTCAGTATTGTGTGATTTCCCCCATTTGCTCATTCATTCTCATCCTAGATAGATGCTTGGCTACTCATTCCAGTTGAAGGAAAAATATCTCCCTCTTTTTACTTAGGTGGACCTCCATATTTAGCCTGCATGCTTGGTTCTAATAATAGGGAGTACTCTACAAAGTGAGTGTGGTGCTAATATTTTTGGTTCTAACTAAAAGAAATCTCTCTCTTCATTTTTCCCTAATTTTCTTCAGATTCATTTCCACTAGAATGTGAAAAGAAAAGCAAAGTTAAGCTTGATGCATGTAAAAGGTAGGGGCTTGTCAGAGAACCAAACGTAAGGGTGTGGTAGGATCATCAGAGGTGATTTGCATGAAGATATGTTTACCATTTTTGACTGTGGGTAAAGTTTCAAACAGAAGTGTAACTTTAAATATTTTACACAATAGATTTCTACATGGAGAAGCAGTGCTGTTCAATTTTCACAGACTGCAGTCGCTGATCAGAAAATAGGGAGATAATCGCATTCATTTTGCTGTCATCATAGCCTCTTCAAAAATCCTTGAACAACTCTTGAAATGACAAGCTTTTAGATACATATTAGCATTTTTCAATTTTAAATTCTCTATAATATAAGATAAAGTAGTTGTCATACTACAGTAACTACTTATGACATATCTAATGTCCTAAATTCAAAAATAAGATAGTGGGGTTTTCAGTTCTCAATAAACATTTATGCTTGCCTTAAGCTGATAGACCCCCTTTATAAAACAGTTTAGTTATTTTTCATGTAGGGAGTAAAGAACATTATATAATCAAAGGGATTTGAACCAATACATCTGAAATCATTTCTTTATTTTTTAATGTAAGCTACAAGCTAATTTACCACTTTTTGTTTGCTGTAGTAGTGTCTGACCACAGCAGTTAATAATTTACTATTGTACGGGCACACTAAACCCTATCCCCAGATCAAATTCAGCCTGTGTTGCCTTCACTAAAACCTCTTGGCTTTATCTGGCTCTTAGGAAAGATGAAAACAAAAAACAGGATCAAGTGAGTTTATTTACTAAGATTAGACTTCTCTAGGCCTATGTTCATTTATTTCTCCAAATAAATATTTATGCCAGTGTTGGGGCTTGGCAGGGAACGTATTTTCCTTTCTTTCCATTTTAGGGGGGAAAAAGGCAAGTCTCCCGTTTGTCAAAAGCGTGATGAGGCACAGAAAGAAACTGCACTTGTGAACTTCACTCTTGTAACACTATAATTGAGGACTTAGAGCAGTGTACCTTATTTTAATTAATTTCACAGAAGCAGGGAGGAGGGAAGTTCAAAATTAAACTCCAAGATCTTTGAAGTTTTCATAAGCCTGAAAACATACCATCTATCAGTATATATTATATATCCTTGGTGATAGAGTTTTTCAATGACAAAATCTACTTTTTTTTTTCTCCTTATGTCGATATCCAGAGCTCTCATCCCCATTTAATCCTTTGAGAATAAAACACGTGGATCTTGTTTCCTAAAGGAGCATCCTTCTTTGATCCATGATGCTGCCTTCTTTGATCCACCATGCTGGGGCATGTTTTCCCATTGAGTACATTGCCATAGGTAGGTCATCAGTACAGCATCACTTCAGGCCAGCAGTCTTGGATTTGAGGAGTGTGAACCTGGATTTCTTGTCTTGAAAGGGACACCCTTAAATAATATCTTACCCATTAAAAAATATCCTTCACTGTAGTATCAACTTGTAAGGACTTAAGAAAGACTTGGTTGAGCTTTGCCCATGTGATTTGGCTTCTATTAGGTATTTCTGCAAATGGGAAGGAGAAAGGAAATTTCTGGGTCCTCCATGAGTTAGTGCAATGGACCTGCAAACTGCTTGGATTTCGGTGACCAGAAAATTGCTCTCACCTCCATGTCATTACGCTCCCAGTGAACTAGCCCCCAGGCGTGTTTGTGTTGGGGATCTAATATATTGCCTTTCAATCAGAGCTGAGAGCCACTGAACACACAGACAGAACATGACGAGCAGGTCAGGAAAGCAATAAAGATTTTACAGAGCTGTCCAAGGTGCTAAATTTACTCAATAATGGGTTTGGCACCATAGTGTTAACCTCTCATTTACTACCAGTTTGAGGGACTAAATTGAAGTAGCTGACTTCATTTACCTTGAAATGTATATTTTATGACATTATGTAAGTAGATTGAAAGGGCACTGCAGTTTTAACAATTTAAAGGCTAAAGCATGTTTAAGATGAAACTTGAATATTTATTGTATATTGCACTTAAAGTATATAGAATGTTAAAATGTATTGATTAAATTTGTAAAAGGCATTATAAAAATGACAGGTAGTATAAAAGATGTATGCCTTTTAAAATCAAATTGATAGTGTATGCCATCTCTTCTGTGGTCACAAGTGTAATTTTTTTGCAGTTTTATATGGTAATTTGAAAAATCTGTAATTTCACATTAGGAAATGATTGAGCCTTGGATGTTAAAAAAAGAAATTTCCCATAAGGGGAAGAGCTGGATGTTTCATATAATCTTTTGTCTCTAAAATTGTTCTTAAATTCTTATTTTTTGTGGCATTAGGCAGGAGCACAGTCTAAGGATCTTTCATTTTAATATGCAATTTTAATATTTCTGAAAAGAAAGAGCACTTGACTAGTACTAATATCTAATGTTTCAAGGCATTTATTTGTCAGGGGAGATTTTCTCTTCTTTTCATAATGTTTAAAACGTCTCCCTGCTTGCAATTTCAAACATAAGAGTGGATATTAGACAATTCCAAGATAATTAATCCTATCCTTGGATTTTTTTTTTTTAAAAATCCCTTTTGGGAATTAAAGACAAATACTAGTATCCTAAATATTGAAAAGCCCCAGAGTCTCCTTGTAGAGGTAATGTTTGTTCTCCAATCTACATTCTGAGTCAGACAATTTTTCTGCTCATGGCCTTGGATTTCTTCTCTCTTAAAGATACAAAAAAGCTTTACTCCTTAAAAACAACAACTACTTTTCACTGATTGATTTCATCTCACTATCAAAACGTGGCTTCACCTGTCTTGCTATGACCATAGGTTGATGGTTATGTGAGTGGGGTTCTATGGAGAAAAATGTGGATGCATTATTCTTACTCTATTTAGAGTCTACAGAAATGTTAGGGAGACCGAAGGAGGAATGGGGTTCCAAGAAACAGTTCAAATGTAGCTGGCATGGGTTTTACTTATATTTTGGAAGCTTTATAATAAAAATGCTGAATGGGCTACAAATATAAAGGGAAGATTCAGCTTTACTTTCTACTTTGCAACCCAATTAGCAAATATTGTTTGAGCTTCTTGTTGCCCTTGTCTGTCATCATATGTGGATCTTATTCTCCAGCAACTTTCAGGGCACATTATCTTCCCAGCATCGACCTACAAAGTTTGATGAGAGTCACAAAAGATTGTCGCCATCACTTGGTCCTACCATCTTTGTCCAGTCATCTCTCCCTATGTATTTGAAGAACTGCTCTCTATGCTTGTCCTCCCCAGCCTAGAAGTAAAACATTTGGCTCCTTTCTATCTCCATACCTTCACTCCTTTTGCCTTCCCCTTTTTTTGGAGGGAATGCTGGCTTCAATCTGTGCCCATGGACAATGCCTCTCTCCATCCTCTGAAGCCTCGTACTGAAGGGGATCGTGATGGTATGGTAATGAAGGAGATCACTCTCATTTATTGAAAGTGGAGCAAGAACTCATTCAACCTTCATAGAAAGCCTCTTAAGGTATTCTTTCTATTACTATCTGGCAGATGAGGAAACTGACACTCAGAGAGGTCAGCTAACTTTCCCAAAGTTTCCACCGCTGACTAGTGGCTGAGCATGGATTCAACCCCAGGCCTGTTAGACATCAGAGCCTGGCTCTTGAAAATCACACTGTTCTATCAGAAATAATTCCACCTTCACTGATACCCCAGCTCCTAATATCTCTATTTCCTCTGAAAAAGAGTGCTGACCATCTGTGTCACCCAGCACAGCACAGAAGTATATACTGAGAGGTCATTCTGCTCTGATCTGAAGTGTGTTAGTCATCATTCTCCATAGCTAGACTGCAGACTTTTTGAGGCCAGTGATAGGTTCTTAATCTCCTTATCTAAGCTCCTACCATAATGTTTAGCAAACCACAAGTCTTGAGAAATTCATGTTGATGTGTTATTCTAAGATACAGTTACTGATTTTTAAAAGTACACACTTAATTTGTATGATGAAATGACAAAGTCATATTTGGCATGGTTTATAAAAGTAGAAGACTTAAATTTGGTGTTCCATTTAGCTACAGACTCTTAAATCCAATATATAAATTCCCAAAGGTCAAGTTTTGATCACTGTGAGTTTTTTTATGTCACTTTTTTATGAATTTGCTCTTTCATTCCTGCTGGCTTGGACTTACATTTTAATTTTGTGATTAATACAATGAATCATGTCTAGTACAGACATTATCTCAAGTTATAGGCTGCTAGCAACATGAGGTTGGTCCTTATGGTCCTCAGCCTTTTATTAGCTGTACTCTTAGGCCCTTGGAAATAGTTAGGTATTTGCACATTCATAGAAAGACACATTGGGAACCAGGCATATCATGACAAATATGCAGACATAGTTAACTCATCTTCTATTTTATGAGTTAAAAATCTTAGGATTATTCACCATCTGTGGGAGTCCTTCTCTTTAGCCTTTGACCTGAAATCTATAGCTAATAAGCTCAAGTTCACTGGCCACATCTAGCCTCCTAGAGTGAAGGGAAAGGTTGTCTAACTGGCCAATACTGGGCCCATTTATAAACCCAGTTCAATGTTTTGGGCAACTCAACCCCAGATGAGCAGGGAAGATAGTCTGAACTTTCTTTTGTTCATAGCACATATAGGCTGATGATCATAAAGCTGATAGATACCCATACACGAACACAACATTAATTTTCATGTTTCAGCATTAGATTTTGAGACTCTGGGAACTCCGCCCATAAAATTAAAGCCCAGGGATGCTTCAGTAATTTCAGAGGATAATCTGTGCTTGGCTTTATGCTTACCCAAATAGGAAATGTTTTCAGGAATGTAGATTGAAACAGAAAAAAAAAACTACAAGCATCCATAATCAAAGTCAAGTTGAGTTGGGTGATTTCTGAGAAAGAAGCACAATACTTCCCTGTCACTGCACATTTCCCTGATACCCATTTATCACCAATCTACTTTGCTTTATCAGGGGATTCAAAATATAGTGGCCAAATATCAGCAACACACAATGAAGTGAAATGAGAAAATCACTCTTGATGTAGAGATGATAAGCACCTATCAATGAAATCAGCATTGATTTCACTGCCTTCCTTCGTATAGGGTTTACTGCAGGACCCAGATTTTGATGTGTGCATTCAGCTCCTAGACTTTAAGTCCTGGATCTTTCCCCACTGACTTCTGAAAGCCTGGGTGACATTACTGATTGGAAAGGCCGAATGCTGAGAAATTGATTGGAAGTTTCTTGCAGCCCATTTCCTGCAGAGCTGGATGTACAATGCAATAAATACTAGTTGTCCTGAGATGTATTTCTTTGGAGGGTAGTTTTATATCCCAGCTTCCTTTGTGTTTATTCAGCCAAATGGAAAATTCCACAATGGTAGACTTTGCATTCTAAAAAATCAGTATAATGAGGGCAGTGAGGGAAAGAGTAAAACAAACCAAAATAACACTTGGGCACCGTTTAGTTTCCCATCCTCTGAGACATTCCTCAAATTTTTCATTTTTCTTGTAATATAAACTTCTTGAAATAGAGCTTAGTGCAGATCATTAGAAGCCTTTAGTGTCACACTTTAAACACTCTTTCCTTAGAAGCCCTATGACTGAGAAGAGTCACTTACATTTAGCATGGATATAATTAAACATGTTTCTGTTGAAAGGGGCATTCTCATTATAGCTAAGGACCACTTTAGAGTAAATTGAAATGGAAAGGAGGAACATAAATGAGGTATAGGTAGCAAGTAGTTATTTGCAGGGAGGCATAAAATGCCAAATGTATAACAATTATATTTTACAACCCCACATTCTAAAGACTTCATAGTATTTTAGTATATAAGAAGATTCAGCTGAAGCTTAGATTGCCCTACAGAACATTCTAGCTAGCGCATACTTTTTGCCCAGAGTCTTTTTAAAAACTGAAATTCAAACCACAGTAAAAATCTCTAGACATTTCCAGAACAAAGGAATTAAATATTTTGAAAGAGTCTACTGCTATTAATACCAAAGGCCAAGGCACCAAAAACATTCTAGTCTAGAGAAAATGCAGCAGGAGGACCTCTTCTGAACCTCCTCTGATTTTAAAGTTGATTTTATGTTCAGATTAGATGACAGCCCTCTTACTTCTCAAACATATTATTATGAACCAGCATGCGGCATGGTTGGAGGTAAACCAGAAAGCCTTGCCTTTGTTAAAAACATGGTATAGGAGACTCTGAATCATATGAAATTAAACTAGGTTGTAAGCTAACGCGGCTATATCAACGTAAGACATACTAACTTACGTGATTGACTTTTACAATGGAAAGAAAGGCTGTTTTCAAGCAACTGTTATTGCCACAATGGAAAAAAAAAATCAATGAAAGTGAAATGAACAAGAGATTTTGTCTGAGTTGCAGTTAATACCACTGAGGAGCTATGGATATTAAAAGGTCAACAAATAAATTAGCCAGAGTGTTATGAAATAAATGATTTGGCTCATAATTTTATTGAGTGAAAATTGTTCGCTGCCTATTAGACCAGGTAATTTTTATCTGGTGCCTCAATTACTGTCCCGTAAGCAATAATATAGTTGTAAGAGCTGTTGGTTCGATCGTGTGACCTCTGAGAAGCTGGCTAGGACAGCTGACTTTACTATGATGGATAACTAAGCTTGGGCTCCATGAGGTGCCAAGCTTCCCTTTCCTGCAAGGGGATCTCATAAAAGAAACATTACAGCTTGATTCATTTTACCAAAATGTTCGACTTTTCAAGTGTCAGCAGTTAAGTATAAATTGTGAAACCAGGTATTTCTGAGAAGAGTTATGACAATGGCTTTCCCCTCCCTTTTTTTTTTTTATTTGGTCTCCTGGCATTTTCTTCTAAATGGTGTCATGGTAATTGGTGAATGGGAGCCTGGGGTGCTTCCCGCCACAGATACAGTGAAAAATGGTGTCTGCACCCTTGTTGACTATGACCTGCTTGGAGGTACAGAGCTGAACTTGGTAACCTCTGGCGGGATCTTCTTATTCCAATTCATTGTACTGGTTTAAGACCAACGCTGTGGGTTAGGTCCTGCTGAGTGCCTTGGAAATCGACTTTCTGATCAGGATAAAAGTCTCTGCTTAAAGAGAAAGCTCTGGACAGAGATGCCTTTTTCAGGGGTAGGTTGTAAAGTCAGCACATGAAACAAAAACGGCCTAGAGTCAAAATTACCCTTGAAAATCTTTTAAGTCACCTTTAAGTCGCCAAGGCCTGGGCTTTTAGAAAACACAAAAAGCCAAAAATTAACTACTTCTGTTTCTCTTTGTCTTTTGGCTGTGGCTTCTTTCCCTCAGCCAAGGCTGAATAAATACCGAGCTTAAAAGTAGAGGGACTGCTCAGTAAACAAAGAGATGTATTTGTCATGTACACATACGTGGATGTGTTTGTATGTTTGGTGTGTGTGTATACAAATGCACGTGCATATTTATATTTTTGGACGTATACTATAGGGAAACTTGAGTGACACGTTCCCATACTATATAGATACATAAGGGAGGCAAAAATATAATTTGCTTTTGCTTCTTCAACTGTTGAGCATGAACATCATCGGTTATCATATGTATCTCCAGACAAACGATATCTGTAAATGATAATTCTCAAGCCTTTACAGATGGTCCTGAGTATAACTGCAATTAAAATCCACTGCTTCAAGACTGTTGGGGCTTGGTACTTATTACTCTAATGCTCCACTGAAGTGTTACTCAGGGCTGAAAATAGTGAGCAAGGCTTAAGACCTCCAAGCATCTCCATTCCTAAGGGCTTCAGTCTTTAAGGGGAGGATGTTGGGTGGCTGGAGGTAGAAATGAGTTTGCCTCTTGGTTCTCCTGTCACCTACCCTTGAACTAATGAGTAATTATGTTCAATGCCCCTGTATGCAGGGTATGATATGAAGTAAGTTACCCTTAGTCCTCCCCATCAAGAACTCAGTGCTAAAAAGGAACTCGAAAGAGTTCCAGCACTGAGCTATTGGATAACGGTTACTGCAAGTCCCTCCCACAATGACTCTGCAGCTAAAGAGGGAAAGCATGGTACCCAGGGTTTGTCTGCATTTACATGTGAATTCTTCCTGCCGCTTCCACCTAGCTCAGCCCTTTGTGAGCTAACCTCAGGTCTAGGCCACCACTTGCCTCCTTCCCTAACCAGGCTGGAAGGGTTTTAAGACTGATTTTGTAAATTGGCTTTTTTTCTTAAAATCTCTTAATTCTGGGAGGCACTGCTTAGGGGATATAGGCTCTGGATCTGGAGTCCAATAGACTTGGCTCAAATCCATGTTCTGCGATGTATTAGCAGCGTAAACACATGCCTCTGTGTCCTCATCTGTAAAACAGAGTTAATACCAACACCTGGTTTAGTAGATTATATTTAGTTAGTGCTTATCAGGCAATAACCAGCAATATTATTAATAATCCCCATTTATTTTCCAAGGAACTCTGGCAAAATATATGCATTCTTACAGTCAATGTGTATTGCGTGCCTTGAGTGCTATGTTTGAGATATAATCCTATTTTCAAAACTCTATAAAAGACTCTAAATGGATTACTGGTTAGGAAGTATGGGAAGTTAGGAAACCTCCACTTACTAGCTGCATAAGCTTGAGAAGGTTACTTGTCCTGTATAAATCTCAGTTTCCTCATCTCTAAATTGGGAAGGAAACAATAATGACAAGCAGAAGCATTTGCCGCAAAATAAGTCAGCTAAAGATAAATAACTTAAAGAGGTGAGAATTACAACTTTCATGGGGGTCATCGGCCTTTTTACTGAGGCTACAACTTCTTTCCCCAGATAAATTACATGTGCAGGCATTTGTGTGTGCATGTTCATAACGCACACATGCACGCACACACACACAGGAATTCTAAATGCAATTTCAGGGGTACACAGATCCAGGCTAAACTCCCTGGATAAAAAGAAATATAAGTAGTAGTGGATACCAAGCCCCTAGACTGAGCATATTATCAAATGGGGAAATGGAATCTGCCTGTAAGTTTTCTGGTAGATACAGGAGAGAGTGGGGGAAATGGACAGCATTCCATAGCTTGTGTTTTTGACAAGAGAATGCAGAGATGTTTCCTGGAATCAAACTCAGGCATGTTTTTTCTAAGAGCTGAATATACCATAAGATTTGCCATTTGTTTCTGTGTTTTCGTCTGAGGAGGGTCACTTTCATTTCAGGATATAATGTTAATCGAGTTTCCTCAAATTAAAAAAGTAAATACACGAGAAAGAGAAAGAGAGATAGTGAGAGTGAGAGAGAGGCTAGTGTCAGTGTGGAAGATGAAGATGTTAAGTCGTTCTTCATCCTTTGCTGAAACCCTTAGTCATCTCCCTTTCTGCTAGGAGGCAACGTGGTTATGCAAAGATATCTTATTTGTATTTTCACTGATGCAACTGCAGGTTTTGAATTACTGATAGTCTTTGCATAAAGACTAAAACAATAAAAGCATAATTAGAATACATTGTATACAGCCAACTCCAGTTTTATTTTGCCCCAGCTCTGTATTTATGATAAATCACTAAACATGAATGCTCTTTAGGGAGGGTGATTTTAGGTCTCGTCTCTCCACTGAGCAAAAACAGTGCCTGTGACTGGAGTCTGAATTTCAATTTTGCAAGTGTACAGTTGAAGTGAATAATATTTGGCACAATGCAGTGCACAACTGAGCCACTAAATGGCTGATTTACTAAATTATTATTAGATGAGCCCTTGCTGTTCCAAATGAAAGTGCAGTCACTGTCTTCCTTCATGGTGTGTTCAAATTGTTCTGTGTTTAAATATTCAGCATGAGGCTAATGTGAACTGATGAACTGAGACTATAAACATTCACTTTCAATATAGATAGAGCGACAGAGATGCAACATATCATGTGGCCAGCAGAGGTGAAAATGATTTATATTTAAGGATGTTGCTGCCTACTTCCATTACTTTAAGGTACTCTTAATTAGCCTGGTGTTTGAAATGACTAATTCACATGTACAGGGAGAGCCACTTCATAGAGACTGAGATTTTCGAATGCCAGTGAAGGAGAAGCTACCGTGAGGATTTGCTACCTCTGTATTTCCAAGGAAGCCTTGAGTTCCTTCACGGCAGGCTGGCCACACAGCACCACCAGAGTAGCATGTCTGCCAGAGATACTATGGTGCTTGACATTCAATGTGCTTTTGGAGACCCACCAAAAGGGTCCACAACCCCTCCTTCCCACCATCCACCCCACTGGTGTTCACCTCCCTTATAATTCCAACCTACTGCACAGCCAGCCACACTGGTACTTCAATCCCCATGTCACTGACTTCTTTACTGACACCTGCTGGAATGAACAACAACTTTTTGCTCCTTGGACAAATAGAACCCTCCTCTCTCTTCCCCTTTGAGGGCAGTTATAGGCAAGCACTTAAAATACTGTGATCACTTACAGTAGATTAGAATTTTTTATTGGTGCTGTGTTGCCATAACAACATGAAGACAGCAGATGACTTAAGCTAAGCTTGCAAAGCAAAAGGCTGCTCATCTGGCAGTTAAAATGAATGCAGTTCATTTCACAAGTTTCCCATATGGACTCTTAGTGTATGGTAATGAGGAGACCATATGGTGAGAGAAAATGCACTGAGAACAATTGGGTTCCACTGGCTGAGTGGGAAGTTGGGAGAGAAAACCCGGGTGAGAGATTCCGGTGTGCTCTCTGGGTTCAAGGTTTGGCGGAGGTTTGTTTGGGATGGTTGTTTTCCATAGGGGTTTCACGTTTCTTAATCCGTTCCTTAATATGTCGGCTGTGTGAAATGACAAACATCTTGCAAATTTTGCAATATCATTCATCACAAACTGTCAGCAGTGTTTGCAAATCTGACTTGCAAGATCTTTTAAATGTGTTGTTCTTAAAAGGCAACAGTACTAAGTTTTTAGACAAAGTGCAGGAAAATTTAAGCACTTCTGACAAGCAGAAACATTAACAGTAATCATTTTAAAAACACTCGCATCTTTTGCCTGCATGTTTAGCTGTAAATAATGCTCGAATGTATAAAAGCTTTAAAGTAAAAATGTAATAAATACTTTTTTTATGTTTCATAAAGGATAAAAAATGCTTTGAGCCATGTCTACGTGTTATCTATACCTACCAACATAGAGATGGATAGCTCCCATTCTCCTTACTACTAACCAGATTGGGGACCTAGGAGGACAGCTTGAAAAAGGCTCTGAAGTCAATTCTGTACTATACATGCTTCATAAAAGATGAATATAAATGCATTAGTTAGACACGGTGAGCTAAATTAGAAGGTCAGGCAGGGCTGGGAGGGCTGAAAAATCACACAACCAATGAGTGTAATTACTCTTTTTTAAGTCTATTAAGTGGTGGTGTTCTATCAAGGCTCAGGGGTATAGGACATGAAGAACAAGATAAAGTAATGTGTATTTATTACTCCCACTGGATCAATTTACCAGATATTTTCAGCTCCATAAAGCAAAATACACAAATGCAGCCTTTGTTACTTTTCCCAAACTGCTTTATTTTCTCTAAAAGAGGGGCTGGCTCTTGGAGAAAAGACATTGGCCCTGAGAAGGTCCCCAGGCCAAGCCTTCTCAGTAGGGAAATGAGAGAAAGCTGGTGAGAATCTACATAAGGATGGGGGCCAGGTGTCAGGTGTCTGCAGAGGAGACACCTCAAGGCAGGAGAAGTGGGAACTCAACATAGTGACGGCAGTGAGGCTACCGACCCTGAGGGCCTGAGTTTGAATGAATGGTAGTTTTCCCGCGTGCTAGCTGTGATGTCGTAGCAAGTCACTCAGATCTCTGGGGACTCTAACTTCTCATCTGTAAAATGGGGAACACCCACAGTGCAGGGATTAGTGGCCCCCATTTACTGGAGTCTTGCTAGATGCCAGGGATGCCTCTTGGCATAAATTATCTCATTAACACCTGACAACAATGCCGTGAGGCAGCTGCTTTACAGAGGAGAAACCTGAAGCATGGGAGGTTGAGTCATGTGTACCAAGTAGGGGATCATGTTTCCAAAACGCACATCCTTCTGACTTGAGAGCCCACTCTCTTGGCCTCTATGATCTTCGAAAACCTTAATAATGCAGTGCTGGGCTCACAGTAGGCATGAAGTAAACATTCCTTGCTTCCTAGGATTCACAGCTGACACGCCTGACGCCAGCTAAGCTCAGGGCTCACTCTCACTCACTGCCTTAGGGCTAAGGCTCACTGACCACTCACGAAGGCAACTAACAAACTGCAAGGGGGCGGAGACATTTCTGACCTTGAACACAGAGAGCGCTCCTTGCCCAATGTGTCTGGATTGCATCACTGCGGCCATCAGCATCTCAGAATTTCTGATCGACCATGTTCCCCATCCCCTCCACCTCTAAATTATAAGAAAAGTCAACCTTGACCTCAAAGTTGGTCACATGTTCCTCCCCTTCCTGCCAGGATCCAGAGAGAAAGGCGAAACTGTATGAAACAGAACAGAATGCTGTGATTTAAAAACCTTAGCCTGCCCTTTTCTCCCTGTGTATATGAAAAAGGAAACCAAAAAACATCTGGGGTTAGCATAATCACAGTATTTTAAATTTGTGTGTACAGCAACTATCACTGATGGTGACTTTCAGGGACAAAATAATTTACAGAGCAGGATTCCGCTTGCTCCCGTTTTCCTATTTGGTAAATGGTAAAGATGTCTGCTGCCCAGCCTCTCTCGCAGGAGGGACTCCAATAAAACAAAGCACGTCCAAGTTTTTTTGAAAAAGCACATGCCTGTATACAAAGGCATATTATTATGGAAAGCTGTCTGCTTGGTCTTTGGAGCAGTTTCATTTGACAGAATGTGTGGGTGGTTGTATGAATCTAGCTTTGTCTATTCACAAACACATGGGTTTAATAAAGAGGAGTTTGTTTTTTAAGGTGTGTGGTCCATAGCTCACTGAAACACTCCTGTTTGACAAACACTGACCATGATCCTAAGAAAGGCGCAGCCCATTTTTATCTCCCTAACAATGGACAGCAGGAGTATAAATCTCCCAAGTCCACAGGAATACCTTGTGCTGGCTCCATCCGCCACTTCCTGACCCTGCCCTTGAACTCTCGCTCCACTTTAACATTCAAAGCCAAGAGGACAGCCACTCGGCTCTGAGTCACACTGAGAGCTTCCTGGGGTGGGCTCCGGCCAGCCCTTGCACGATCAAGTGGCTAGATGCAAGCCGTGGAGTGTTTCCTTAACACACAAATCCATTGTGTCCTTGATTACTCTTTCCAAACCCAGGAAAAAAGGGTTGGGAATTTTACCATCAGGGACAAAGTGACACGTGCCTATGCTATTTGTTCAACATTTCTGAACATAACATGCAACCATAAAAGTGTTTTCAAAAGTAAGTACACAAAACTCAACCCTAGATTCCCATTTCTCTCCTTTCCTTTCTTATAAGAAAAAGAACTGTCTGGTTTCCGTAGACCTCAACCATTAAACCAGATTTGTCTTCTATTTTTCTTTGAGACAGGGTCTTCTGGCTCTGTCACCCAGGCTGGAGTGCAATGGTAGGTATGTCTCACTGCAGCCTTGACCACCTAGGCTTAAGCAGCCCTTCCACCTCAGCCTCCCAAGTAGCTTGGACTACGTGCACACACCACCATGCCTAGCTAACGTTTTTTTTAGTTTGTAGAGATAGGGTTTTGTGATGGTACCCAGGCTAGTATCCAATTCCTGGCCTTAAGCAATTCTCCCACCTCTGCTTCCCAAATTGCTGGGATTACCAGCATGAGCCACTGCTCGATAAGTATTTTTAAAGTGGCAACTATGGGCCAGATGCTATGCCAAGGGCACCCATGAGATGACCTCTTTATCCTTACATGATCCCCTATGAGTTAGCATGATTAATTATCCCCATTTTATCAATGAAGAAACTGAGGCACAGAGGAGAAATCACATGTTCAACTGCTCACCAGGATTAGGATTTCCTGCTCTGCAGAGATTGGGTGGAAGAGCTCTCAGAAGCAAGGGTCCCATTCTCACTCAACTGGCAAATCATCATAGCTACCTTTTGTTGGCTGCTAAATAAGTCATTGTAATAAAACTCGAAAAGGTACAACATAGCACCATCCACATTTAGTGGATGAGGACATTGAGGCACAGAGAGGTAAACAATTTTGACCTAGGTTGCATAGCTAGCAAGTGGCCAATGTCTGAATTCCACTTTGTCCAACCTGACTCTCCTCAATACCTCCAGTGGACTCTAGAGATCAAATGGTAAAGCAAGTGCTAAATATAAAGTGAATACAGTGCCCAAATGTTCCTCACTGGGAACAATGGGAAGAATCTGGCATTGTACCCCTGCCTTTGTTCTAGCACGAAGACAGCTAAGGCACCTACCATTAGTCAGACCCACATCATTTATATCATCGTGCTATAAAATTACCAGTTGTCCCATAGGAAATGCACGGGACCATGTTCTTGCTAGACAGAGGAACCTAATGGTAAATCTCTCCACAGACCATCTATACCATGGGTGGAGACTGCTGTTTATTATTATAGTTAGATTATTTAATCTACTAAATAATATTAAATAACCTGTAGATGATTTAATTGCTTACCAAGAATAAATTGGGGTGGAAAAGGAAAGGGAAGGACAGCACTTCAGTGGAAGTGAGGTTGTTCTTGGAAATTGAAGCTTGAAACTGAAGGCATCATCTCTGAAAACTGAAGGTGTTTTTCCCTCAAAGTCAAGATGCAGGACACAGGCCCTTGCTCATCACAGTCCTTCCTCTCCGGAGCAGTTAGCGCTCCTCCTCTCCATGCGCCTCACCTCTGTGTAGTGGCCTGAGGGGTGGATTTCTCCCAGACAGGGCCAGTTCTGACAGGTGGCCCTGCCTACAAGGGCAGCCAGCACACGGGTAGGATTTGATGACGAACTGATACTCCAAGGAGGTTCACCAAGCTAAGAAGGATGGCAACTTCATTTTTGCAAGTGTTTTACACGGATACATAAACCTAGAAATGGCATATCTCTAGACTTACTGTGGCAAGAAAGAGTCCTTGAAACTACTAATTCAATTTAATGTTAATAGTTTTCACTTGTGTAATAAATGAAGCTTTTTGCCGTCAGTAAACAGTGAATGCAAGCTCAACGAATTCTGTACTTTGAACTTCCTTCGCATTTAACTGCCCTCTCCTCTGAGTCCTCACAGAACGTTGGTTGCACTTTTCTTTAATGTGCTATTATTTTTATGATTAGTTGTGTTTGGGATTCTCTCCCACATAAAGCCCAAGTTCCTCAGGTACAGGGATGGGGATATCCCAAACATTCACAACAGGTATGCAATAGTCAATAAAGGTCAGTTTCCTTCTTTCTGCACTGGCAATTAATGATGTATTGGTGACATATATGACTCTGTCTTGAATTTTTGTTTAATTTCTCTCATATTTGTGCCTATTTTCCCAACCAGGTAGAATGCCTTAGGAGAAGAGAGGTTGTCTTTGCCCAATCTCAAGATCTACCAAAACATTTTGAGCTCTAACTATTCTCCTCTTGCCAGGACTAAGTACGGATCCTCGTAGACAGAAATTTGGTGCTGCTTTTTCTTTTGAGAATTGGTAAGATGTAGCGATTAAGTAGCCCAGACTCTAGGGCCATGCTGCATAGGTTCAAATCTTGGTTTAGCGATTTACATGCTATGTGACCTTGAGCAAATTATTATTTAATCTCTCCTTGCTTATTTTCTCTTCTAAAATAGGAATGGTAATAATACCAACATCAGAGCATTGTTGAGAGGATAAAATGGCATAACAGATATAAAAGTAAGCACAGTGTTGCCTGGCACATAAGTGCTTGCTACTTTTATTATTGCTTACCTTACAGCACCAAACACACAAAACACAAAAATATGAGTTGTTTACCTGTGAACTAATTTTTATCAGCAGCAGAGTTTTCTGCAAATCGCTCAAGTCCAAATTTTCAGGAATTACAAAAAGGCAGTATCCTCACCTTTGGCAAACGCTCAGGGTCACCAGGGTGCCGAGGAATGACCTTCTGTAACCTCTGGAAACCATAATCGATGGTGGGTTCGTTGAGCGCTGCAATAAAGAAGTCACACAATTAGTACATTTTCAAGAAATAAAGCTGAACATGGCTTGCAACACTAATGGTGTGGAAATAACCAGGAAGTCCAAAGTTTAACTGATACTTTTGAATTGGATCACAAGATGGTTGTGTGAATGATCTCTTGGCTAAACTTTCCACCATCTGCTTTATACCACGGTGGGGAGTGACCCGCCCAAAAGAACATTAGGAGTAGGTCTTGAACAGTGTTCCTTTGGCCAAATTCTACACTCCTTACATGATCATAAATAGAAAGTAAAATGGTATTTGATGTGAGGTTTTTAGTATCCACTTTAATTCAGTTGCTCAGGTAAAAGCACTCAAGGGCTTGCCTGGTGGTATCTATACATTGTAAACAGCAGGAGAATTAAAAGTATCTGCTTAACTGCAAAATCCTTAGCGGACCTCAGCTGATACAATATCTCAGCACAAATAAGCATGCAAGAGGCTGGTGAGAGTAGAGGAGAGTGAGTAGAAGTGAATCTTTGAGGTATGGAAAGCCAGTGCCACCCTTGAGAGAGTCTGCAAAGGGATGGGTATTGAAAATGCCCTGATTCAAAACTCTCACATCTGAAATGATAGATCCTTTCACCAACATTGATATTATTTGGGACCAGCATCTGTGAAGTACTAGCTTAGAGCAGCCGAGTCTCCAAGAATAATCCTTGAAAACACCAAAAGAAGAGCAAACCTGGAATAACATTTGGAGACAATGGACCTTGCTGTGTGCACATTGACTACACACTCTTTAAAGCATCCTTAAATTAAACACAATATTAAGTGGACTCTGGTCTATCATTTTCAAAATTTCTCCCTGGTATGTGAAATATCTTCAGGCTGTCTCACGTGAAACAGCGGAGATGGAAAACACGGCAGCTCCAGCTCCTATCCATAGCCTCCACATCCCTATATTCTCTAAGTAAGGGGTAGGTGGGTGTTTTTTTAAAATTTCTTGTCTTTTTTAGTGTAATCAAAGTGCTCAACCATGTATTTTCTCACATGCTGAATAAAAAAGACAGTCTGTGTAGTTCTGACATTTAGCTATACATTAAAAAACAAGTTGCCACACGTTTTGCTTAAAATGCATTTCCATTAACCTAAATTTTAAAAGTAAGATTCATACTAGTACTAACTTTAAAAAACTGTATTAAATTCAAATAGGTCCCAAGGCTAATGGAAGCAATTTGTATACCAACCCAAACTGACTGGCCCACTTTTCAAAATACAGGTATGATAATCTTGTGGTTTTAAAAGGACATTTAAATTGAAAGACTGTGAATTTAGTACATAATTATACCAATAGAACTCTTTAACTTGTCAACTTGTAAATCTAAAAGGCTATCAATCATTTCTAAAGAGGAAATAAACCTTAAAATTCCTTGATTGACAGTGCTTACTTTTTATGTAAGGAAAAAAAAAAGCTGCATAAAGTGGCCAGAAATCCATTTACAAAAGTACATTGTTTTACACAGGTGAGTAAAAAGCCAATAATTACACCTCCAAAAGACACATAAATCAGAGTAAGTACTTTTTCTTCACTTGTATATTTTAAGTTAGAGTGAACTTTAGGTAACTTTTTATTAGAAAGATTTTTTTCCCCCAAATGCAATGCTTATTGAAGTCATTAATAGAGTGGCATTTTCATTTAAGATAATGTAATCATTTTTGCAAATATGAGATTTAGTTAACCCTCCCCCCATTTCCAAACAGTAAACTTTCAACCTGTCTCTTGTGGAAATTAACTAAAATTACACCCAGGTGTATCAAATCTTTCTATCTATACTAGTATATGAGTTAAGGCACAATATTTATTATTCCTTCCATTTTATGAATTACTTTCTAAACCCTTGAGAAGAATTCTTTTTTCAAATTAGACTTGTAGAGAAAATGCCATAGAATTCTTTAGGCAGGGAAGCTGCAACTTGTAAAATCCACTGTATTTAATCAAGAGATGCATGAGAGAGACAGGAATGAGCACCAAGGTTTAAGTTATTTATAATATCCACCCCCACCCATAATGCTAATTGCCAACAAAAATGTTTAACCATAAATAGTAGCTTTAGACAATTAAATGCATCATTTTAATATCTGAAAACATAATTCAGCATCCTGAAAATTCTAATTCTTGGTTTTACTTTTCAGTCTAAGATACCAGTAAAATTTGAATTGTTGCCCCACCACTTCAATCATTAGCATAATGAATTCCTATTGTGTCTAGAAATTCATGGTTGTTAATTGAATGACTGTCTGATGTATGGCGGGGAGAGAGATGTTTCTCCGGCTATATGGCCAGCTCACAGAGGAATGACCGACAATATCAGCAATTAAAAGAACCAATTCAAATATCATATGGAACTAATAGCTAAAGAGCTGAAGAGAAGTCATTCGGCTGCCACAGAGTAATTGAATTAGACATATTAAACTCATTATTCAAAGAAAAATAAGGATTTACTCCATGGACGTGTACTATGAGAGAGGAAATATTTAAATAGTAAGGCAAGGGCTTTTAACTTATGTCCCATGCCTTTATGATTTGCTGTCTGTTCATAGCTTTAAACAAGTTAACCTGCCCTCAATACAGGTATTGAATATTACAATGGAATCGTCCAGTGCTGCAGACAAAGCTAACATTAAAGATGCTAGACAAAGCTCACTGTCCTAAATCCAAAGGAACCTGATGATTTATCTGATTGCATTGACTAGAGAAAAAAAGTAAACCAATTACTGACTGTGGGGGAGCCATCTGACAAAGACTGTTATTTTAACTGCCCCCACAAAAAATATATTAAACATCTGGGAAGTGGGGGATGGTTAATTTAAGGCACCCGCATGGAATAGAATATGATGCCATCCTCAAAAGCAATGCCATAGGAAAAAATATTTACTGATATATTGCTTGGTTAAAAAGTAGATTACAGGAGCATGTGTACAATATAGTTACTTTTTTTAAACAAACATATATAGAATAAAGAAAATATGTCTGTGTATAAACTGCCAAATAGTAGTTATTTCTAAGTAGCGGGTCTTAAAGTGCTTTTCTTCCTGTTCTTTTTGCTGTGAATTTTCTAAATTTTCCACAATGAACATATATTACTTATATAATCAGAGAAAAAGGTTAAGAGCAAGAGATTGTTGCTGAGATGGAATTTGACCTGCTTGTATAAAGTAATGACATAAGAAACTATGCTTTAAGAGGGGTCTGTATACCCTTTAATAACCTTGCATAGGTTATTACAGACCATAAGAAAAATAAGTAGTATACTTTTGGCCAGTTGTATAAATATGTGACTATTCATAAACTCTCTGAAAATCAACAGAGAGGGTAACAGGGAGGAATCATAAAGAATGGTATATTTATTTCATCAGTGGGGGTAGTCATACCTTAGGGACATACATCTACTCTGCAAGAATGTAATATAAAGTTAATCCTTCAACAAAGTGACCTCATTGTACCCAAGCGCAGGGCTCAGGAGGCACCAGAAGAAATGGGACTAACCAATTTTTTTCCCCCTCAAACTTGGGACAATTCCGAGAATCTGGTAGAGCAAGAAAAAAAAACTTAATTGGACACAATTAACTACAAATAAAGAAGCATGAGCATCTTAGATTGAAAAAAGAAAAACAGATGAAGCTGTAAACTGCAAGAGGAATGGAATGATGAGAACAGCTTGTGTGGCCCTGCTTCCAAATACCCAGTCCACACACTCTGAAAAGGGTCTGAGAGGGTGTCACCCTAAACCAGTTAGGTTTAGAAGAATCCATTATCCCAAATAGAAAAGCCTCAATGTTTATACCATGAGAATAAAATGGGGCCAATGTATGCATTTTAAAAATTCCAAAAGACATTAAATTATCCATTTATTCAGTAATCATTTTTAGTGCTTACCATATGCTCAAGAAGAGGGGGTGGCATTCGTAGGAATGAACTGTTTAGTGTCACAACATCATAAGCCCTTTAAAACAAACTTTCCGAAAGGTACACATAATCCAACCCCCAAAGACAGATGAAATCCTCTACTTGCAGAGCTGGGATGCAGCTCAGCATCTCAGCATCTCACAGCCAGGTCCTCCTTATAGTCACCTCCTCTGCTCCTCTTTCTGACAAAGTCTAGGGTCACAATACACTTAATGGGGATACATTAATTTAAAGAACAATCAGGCTGTTGAGGGGCCACAGCAATTGAATTCAAGCTGTCTTCCACTGACCCCTTCAAACTCATTTACTGGTAGAAAGATATTTACTGAACCCACATAGTAGGACTTCGTGGAGTTGTGTACAGCTTATGGAGGGGTACATCTGAAACGTTCCTGTAAATGCATGAAAAGCAAAATCAAATGCTCCCAAACAGGAGAGTAAGCTTGCAGGGCAAATGTCTCAGCTGAGATTTGAGAAGGATCCCCTCACCCACAGCTATGATGTGATACTGGGGAATGGATATTGGTGGGATGTATCTGTTGTATGCACCAGGATGCCATTTGAACTGTATCAACATTACTACTTTTGAAAAAAAAGTTAATGAAATGGTTAAAAAAATCAAACTGTTTTATTCTGGCTTTATGTTGGGACTGCTTATAGAGGGCTTTAGGTTCCTTCCGGATCTCATCATCTCAGAGTCCCCTAAAGGAAACCAGCAACTTTCTATTCCAACCGATCTCTCAGCCTTTCTCTTTATGGGCTTCAACCCAGGTGGTGGTCAAGACAGAACAGCTCTGGTTCTACAAAGCTATAATCTCTAATGTCCAAATGTGCATGCAGCATGAAATGCTATATGCAAAGAAAATCGAGATAACACAACTAGTTTTTATGCACTCATACTAATCACAAGCTTCTAAAATTCAATTGAAAACTCATAATAATGAGTGAATTCTAACCAAATATATATGTGGCCTTTTCATGCCTATAGTCTCTTTTTCTTTCTTAAAGAAATCCACTTCACAAACACATCAAATAAAGGAAATTCTCTGTAAGGGGGTATATTTGCAAATTAAAATCATATAGTCAAGCCAGATGCATTCTCAGTTATGAAAAATGATTTTTCTCTTTTTGGAGTTTCCTTTTAAAGAAGCCACTCCTCCGTCCCCGTTAACTTCTTGAATACTTATTCCTGGAAACGATGGAAATGAGAGGCTGCAGAGTTCTGTTCAGAAACACCAGGGGAAAAGTGCTTTGGGTGCCATTCCAACATTGGCTTACAGAATTCCCTGCTTTTATAGCTCAGCGACTCACTGCCGTGCTTTCACATATTTCTGGGGTTTTAATTTCCTTTTTTTAATGGTTGTGTGACATGATGTCATTTTGACTGGAAATAAAAAGAAATGCAGATATTAGGAAGGCAATATTAATATTCTATTGCCATTTAATGTCCAAACAAATATCTAGACTCTATGCCAAGTAATAAATAAAACCTCATAGCAGAGGCAATGATAAAACTAGCACCTGGGTCTCCAAGCTTCCCTGGTGACTACTCCATATTTGAACTAAAGGAGTAACAGCAGAGCATTTCCCTCCAAGGCAGATCCATTCTGGGCATGAGAGTTATTACATATGTGTTAGGCAGAGCCTTTTTGTTCCATAATGGCCCCATTTTTCCCTCAGTCACTAAATTAACAACCAGAGGTAAACAATAAAACAGCAAGTTATCTTCACAAATCTATCTTTAAGACTGAGTTTAAAATATATAAACCGAAAAATCAGCCAGAAACCTGAACAAGGCCAGAAATATTGTTCA
Source organism: Homo sapiens (assembly GCF_000001405.40). NCBI lineage: Eukaryota > Metazoa > Chordata > Mammalia > Primates > Hominidae > Homo > Homo sapiens. Next base: position 158,736,912 of record NC_000005.10, read on the forward strand.
CGAGGAAATTTGTTGCATTTCCAGCCATTTGGATATTTCATTACCTGCCTAGATACTTGATGCACAAACGGCACACCAGGTCACCTCTTCCGTGGGAGTGATACACTTCCTAAGAAACCCAACACCAAATTCCTTGCAAGTGAGCTCCTGCTTTCCCGTGAAATGCTTTTACAGCCTGGTGCCCCTGCCTCGGAGAGAGCGAGGCTCAGGAGGGCTTCAGGGAAGGACTCCTGGAACCACAGAAAGCTGTAACTTTCTGCAACAAGAAGGGTGTCAAGACGAAGCCAACATAGGCAGAATTAACCAATAGAGAAGCCAGAGGAAAATTTCCAAACTGCCTTTGAACATGCCCTGATTTTTTTTTTTTTTTTTTTTTTTTTTTTTTTTTTTGAGACGGAGTCTCGCTCCGTCGCCCAGGGTGGAGTGCAGTGGCGCGATCTCGGCTCGCTGCAAACTCCGCCTCCCGGGTTCATGCCATTCTCCTGCCTCAGCCTTCCGAGTAGCTGGGACTACAGGCGCCCACCACCACGCCCAGCTAATTTTTTTGTATTTTTAATAGAGACGGGGTTTCACCGTGTTAGACAGGATGGTCTCGATCTCCTGACCTCGTGATCCGCCCGCTTCGGCCTCCCAAAGTGCTGGGATTACAACCGTGAGCCACCGCGTCCGATCACCCTGATGTCTTATTTGTAGTCTTCAGGTCTCTTGATGTGTGACAACAACTTTGAGATTCAAAAATCAAGCAAAGGAAGCAAGGCCTCTCTACCACAGGCACAATCAGAGGTATTAGGTGCCTTGAGTGGTTACGTCCTTTTTACAAAGAGTGCAGCCAGGGTAACATGCAAAGAAAAGGCTGAAGACAGAAGGTCAACTGAAAAGCAAAGAGCCTAGGAGGATGAAACAAAGCAGGGGCACTCGGAGGAAGACTGATGAGGGAAGATCCTCAGGACTGTAGCTTGGAATGCAAAGAACTTGCATATGTTTGGAAATTAACAATTCTTGGAGAAGTAAAAGCCATCAAGAAGAGGAACAAAGAATTAAGAGACTTGCTTTTGTTTTTCAAAATGAAATCACCTTACTGTTTTTCTAAATCTAAAAGTAATGTTAACATAATTATTATATAAAAAATAGTTTAAAGGAGGAAAACCCCCATAATATCCCCATTCATGTAGAAGCATGATTGATATTTTAGTATGTATGCTTCCAAACATTTTCACAATACTGTTTTATAAAAATATAGATTATATACAGGCTTATACCTATCTCTTTCTTTTTGATGTTTGTAGCTTACCGTATTATACAGATAGACATAATTTATGTAACAAATCCTCTACTAACTGGAATGTAAGGTTTTCTTCCCAAAATTTTCACTGACTTAAGAAGCATTTATAATAAGCACTTCTCAGGATAAAAGAATATGCACATTTCAAGTCTTTCAGTATACATATTTCCTAACTATCCTTCATAAAATTTATGCCAATTTACATTTTGACAGGTTACTTTCAAAGGCATCTGCAAAAGAAAACTAATTTTTAAGATTTTGCATCTTGAACTCAATTATTCTCTAAGTTATAAGGACCTCTGAAGATTGTAGGTGTTAACAGTCACAATGATTCCTTGTAGAGGTGCCATTTTAAACATACCCTGAGGTCATATAAGACTCTTTTTCCAGTAATAACAAAGTGCTTTCTAGAAATTATCTCCTTGGTTCCTACAATATGCCCTTGACGTAAATGTTAAAAATTACTCCTAATTCAAAGGTGGGAAACTGAGGCACAGAAAGAGTTGGTTGCATAAATTAGCACAGAAGCCTCATTGTTTATATTTTTGTAGTCCTTTATTATTCCAAGATGACTATTTTATGTTAATATTGATGAACCTCAATTTGCCACACATTAACAAGTCCTGATACCAAATCAATTAAACTGCTGTTTTTTGTTTTTGTTTTTACTAAATATCCGTGAAACAAAATCCCAGCACTAACAGGAATCTCTGTGCCTAGGCTCCTGACATTTTACACATGAACAAGCCGTTTGGTGGCCTGATTTTTATTATGTAAGGCTCACCATGTCAACTAACACAAACCTTTTGGGGAGGCCACCCTAGTATTTTAAATTTGCCCCCAAATGCTCAAGAAACTGTTTTCTGTCCATCAGGTTCTTCTTATTGGTCTAAGCCTACAAGGAGCTCTCAAATGCTGATTTGACTTTAGAGAGAAAGAGACACAAATGCTGTCTCTGAGATACATTAAACCAATTTATACTACAACCGGTTGGCATTTTCTAGATGTGTGGTGAGAAGTTACTGGCAGAAGTGGAGCATCTCTTCATGAACAGACCCCTTTCTTGCCCTGGAGGGCTATACTGTGTCTAAAATGGGAAGTAGGTGAACCTCCAATAATTAGGAGAAACTGTATTGCTCTCTAAGTGTACTACAGTTGATGAGAAAAGCTGCCCCTGTTACTGTGTTTAAAGTGCTCTGAACAGCATGGCCGTCCAGGAGCCTTAATTTAGATTCCCAAATTTGATCCAACTTTAAAACTAAAATAAAATCCCTTGAGCAAACAGAAGTTGAATGTACACAATTTTTTTTTTGACCTTTCAATCTTTTTCATTTGGGTGTTTTTTTAATTTGGATCATTCACGATTAGGTTTCAAAGCCAAATTTGCTCCTTTAAATGAGAAGAGAAGAATAATTTCCACTTTGTAATGGATGATGGCGTTTAAATATTGGAGACCAACATATTCTGTCTTTCTTAACATTTAAGGATACGTCCATAATTCTCTTCCCTACTGGCATAGTTTCTGATATAACAAGAGTAATATTACTTCTATAATTGTTCTTCAGATTTCTTCCCAAAGAGTTTTGACATTAGCTGTTATCAAGGGGGTAAAATCACCCAGCCTGTCTGATAAACATGTTTTCTTATATCCCCACCCCAGCAAGTGCTGTGACACTATACTTTTATCACCCCGTGTGTGTTCAGAATGAGCTTAGAACAGCAATTGCCGGGAATAGGCAGGCGATAAACCGCATTGATTTAACACATCTTGTTTTCAATCATGCTTGGATTTTCTGAGCACGCATTTTTCCTGTACTCTGGCTTGTAGCTTTTATCTGACGAGCTGATCCCTTTTCACTGGAAAATGAAAAGGTCGCACAATAAGACACGGTTTACTGGAACTTGAACACGCACCAGGGAAAGTATTTTAGATAAATACTGTCAGACATAGTGGAGCTGAATTTCAACAACACAATTGCTAAACAACAATACTTATTACTCTCCTAGAACAAGCCTACCAGTGACTTATGGCTCTCAGCAGGGGACAGCACCGAGTCAGGCTCCAAGGCGAAGAAATCCTTCCCTGAGCCTTGTGCTAACCAAACGCGGAGTTCTGGGCTGAAGTCCTACTTGTGATTGTTAATATCATGGTTTTATGAGACAACTCAGAAAATGACTCCCACTGTTCACAGAGTTGTTTCCTCCAAACCAGTGGACAGGTTTCAGAAGAGTTGTAATGAAATTATAACAGAGCTCTGCAGACGGTCAGACTGGAAAGGAAAAAACAAATCCCAAGAATGGTGATAAAAAAGTGACTCCAAATCATCCACTAATTCCACTAATAAGACAGGAAAGTACTTGTAACTGGAAGATATTAGAAGATTAAGTGATTATTTGGTAACATTTTAATGGAATTACAGAGAACTTACAACAAGTATGCCATGCAGCGAGCTACAATGGCCTTGCAGATAAGCCTGGAAGTTTTTATCAGCCAAAGCTTCAACTTAAATAGCATCTTGATTTAAAAATAAATGAAGTCAGGCTTCTTCAGTATTGACCTAACCTAAATGATTATTTTTGCTGAGCATCTTGATCCTAAGAAGTCTCCTCCCCCTGACTATTATACTCTAGAACACTTTTAACACACATTTTGCTTATACATTTATTGTCTACTACTTCAGAGCTCCTCAAACTTTCTCTGTTCACAGTACCCTGAGTATCTCAGCAATCCCTTCAAAGCATCCCTAAGCCAAAAGCAATGCCCAACAATTCTGTTTATTAACTACTTAGATGCGAACAGCTTAAACTTTATGTTCCAGCAACTTAGTAGGACATACATATTTGACAAAAACTATATAAAGAAATGGACAAAAAATATATAACATTTTATTTCATTTTAAAATAATCACAATTTACTAGTGAAACATGTGTTCCTGGTGGGCACCACACAACTTTGCACACCTCAGAATCAGACTAAACACAGCCACCTTCATTTTTGATTCCATATTGGTTTTCACGTGGCACTTTTTTTTGTAACCACAGTAAATGCTGAAAACCAGCTTTGCAAAGATATGACACCATCAAAAGGATGCACTGTAAGGCTGGGCACAGTGGCTCACACCTGTAATCCTAGCACATTGGGAGGCTGAGGCAGAAGGATAGCTGCAGCCCAAGAGTTTGAAACCAGCCTGGTCAATATAGTGAGACCTCGTCTCTACAAAAGATTAAAAAATTAGCCAAGCATGGTGGTATATGACTGTGGTTCCAGCTACTCGGGAGGCTGAAGTGGGAGAACAGCTTGAGCTGGGGAGTTCCAAGCCACAGTGAGCCATGATTTCACTACTGCCCTCCAGCCTGGGTGACAGAGCAAGACCCTGTCTTTAAAAAAAAAAAAAAAAAAGCAGTATAATGTAATATTGAGTTTTGAACTACCTTAAACTGGTAGTTTATACAGTATCTGATGTACTTGAAGTATCACTGTTTCCCTCAAGTTTGAAATATCTCATAGCATCCCATTAAGTTTGTAGGGACACCTTGGTTGATAAGTTTAGAAAACATGGATTCACTGAGAAGCATAATATTAATTAAATGCTAAGTGCCACAATGAATTACATTCATTCATGTGTATCTTGTCTTCTTTTAATAATTACAACAGCAGCAACAGCAGCTCACACTTCCTAAGGACTTACTGTGTGCCAGGCACTTTATATGGATTAACCTATCCTTCACAACAACTCTATAAGGAGGTACTATCATTATTCCCATTAGACACAGAAGAAAATGGAGGCTTGGAGAGTTCAGACTTTGCCTAAATCCACCGAGCTAATGAAAGTAGGGGCTGGGATTCAAACCCAGGCAGTCTGCCTCGAGAGCCCTACTCTGAACCTGTTCATTAGAGCAGCAAGTTAGGCCAACCAAGGGCTCCTCAGAGCAGATCTCTAATAATTTTGGCTTCCAGGACTTTTGTGATACTGTTTTTGCTATTCATGTATCCTTCTATCTACAATCTGTTTTAGTCCTTTCCTTTGTCTCAATTTATATTCCATGAAAACACTCCAGAACCCATTTGACTTCCATTTTCCTAATAACACATTCTTCTTCCCTTTGTCCCAACCGTCCTGGAGTAAGACTCAGCTAGACTGCAGCCAGGCTACATAATTGACAGGATATATGTTCCTTTTGGAAAAGTCACTTACATTCTTTAAGTATTCCTCAACTGTAAAGTGAAGATTTAATGTGCTATTATTTGTACAGTGATTAGCACATAAATACTCAATAGGCAGTTGTTATTACTATTAATAGAATATAGGCCATGTGCTAGAAACAGGGGCAGGTGCAATGAATACAGGACTAATTAGACATATTTACATATTCCCCACTCTCAAGGAACTCCAGAGTCTAGAGGGGCAGAAAGACACAAACAGAATTCTAAAACAGTGTGGCAAATACAACAGCAGGAAGATGTGGGGTTCTAGAACAGCGGGTGTGTTACACTTGTCCTTGGGACTCAACCTTCCCCATCTCCTTTATGCTAACTTGGAATTACAGTTTAAAAAATTCTACCACCTCTGGTTCTCAAATATTACCCTGAAAATGAGCTCCATCTGGAGTAGGACACAACCATTTTAAAACAATGTAAGTTCTGTGAACAAAGGAGAAAAAAATAGGAGACACCTAATTAAGACAGGATTCATTTCCAGACTTGGGGTGTTTTATACTGTTTAATTAATTAAATAAAATTGCAGGCTTGCTGTATACAAGGCCCCATGCTTAAGAAGATGAAAAGAAAAAGATGTACAACATGCAAGTCCAGTGCCCTGTGAGTCCCCAGCTGGAAATGATTGATTCCATTTGAAAAACTCTTCTAGGCACTGTGCCATACCCTTGAGAAGAACATGGTCCAGTGGGGAGACAGACCTGTAATTGGCTACCCAAAAATATACAAAACTGTAGCATTATTAATGTACACTGCACAAAAGGAGGAAAAAATTAATTCTCTGTAGTAGAGTCAGGGAAATACTTAGCTCAAATATCTGAGTTGGGTATGGAAAGATAAATAGGATTTTTCTACGGAAAAGGACAGGAAAAGCATTCCAGGCAATAGGAACAGAAAGAGCAAAGGGAGTTATACAAAAGATGTGTTCAAGTAGGGTTGGATGTTCCAGTTTGGGCAGAGTACAGCTTAACATGTTGAGAGTGAGGTGTTAAAGGTTAACCATAAGTAACAGTATTGGCCTTGGTGCCTTGCTAAGAGCAGGTAGAGAGCAAGGAGTCATTTAAGATTTTCCAGATCGTAGGAGCAACACGATGTGATCAACATTTTAAAGAGCCATAGAAGTAAAATGAAGGTTGGCTCTTAAAGGCAGCATTATTGTAATAATCCAAATGGAAAATAAAAGACCAACTAATGATGGGGTGGTCATGGAGGAAAAAGTAGATTTCAGAGAGATATTTTAGAATAAAATCTACATGAATTCAGCAACATGCCAGATGTAAGGCAATACGAAGAATGGGGGATGGCTGACATTTCTAATTTATCTGACTGAGTGGAAACAGTGGCCATTTAGCAGAAAGAAAACTATATACAGGAGGAAAAAAAATCATGAGTTCAATTTCAGACATGCTGGAATTTAGGTGCCAGAAGATCTAGGTAAAAATATTTAGTAGACAGTCGAGAATAAAGAACAGAAGCTCAGACTGGGCACGGTGGCTCATGCCTGCAATCCCAGCCCTTTGGGAGGCTAAGGTGGGTGGATCACTTGAGGCCAGGAGTTCAAGACCAGCCTGGCTAACATGGTGAAACTCCGTCTCTACTAAAAATACAAAAATCAGCCAGGTGTGGTAGTGCATACTTGTAGTCCCAGCTACTTGGGAGGCTGAGGCAGGAGAATCGCTTGAATCTGGGAGGTGGAGGTTGCAGTGAGCACTGCAGCCTGGGCAACAAAGTGAGACACTGTCAAAAAAAAAACCAGAAGCTTAGGAAAAAGATCAGTGATGGAGTTAATTCTATCAGGAACACCAATATATAGGTAATAGCAAAAACCACATGTGAAAAGAGAACCCAGGGCAGACACTACGGGGAACACAAGCAGGTAAGGAATGGTTAGAGAGAGATTGAGAGACAAAACAGGACAAATACACGTCAAAAAGGTATAGAAAGAATACCAGGAGAGAATAGTATCACCGAAACGAGGAACTCAAAATATAAGGTGTTATCAACACCATCTAGTGCAGTCAAGCAACCAACCAGGAGAGGTCTGAGGAGAAGTTGTAAATGTAAGCAAATTTGTAAATTAGTATATTAGGAAGTTGTAAATGTTATACTAAGATCATTAGCATAAATGGCACACACAGTTTCAGACAACTTGTGGATGCTTTAATCCTAAAGTTCTGGTTTTCTTCAGTCTCACTCTATAACTCCCAGTAAAAAGATATGAACCTAAATGAGTAAGTGAGGTTGGCAAACTTGTTTGCCCAATTGTAGCTTAGCTTATCATAAGAGCCATACAAGAAAGCGTGGAGGACACTCAGTCCCAGATCAGTCCCCAGTCCTAAAGAAAACTGTAGAACTTCAGATGCCTCAAGGCAAAAGCTGTCACATTCACCGGAAACAACTATGATGATAAACCTTGAGCTGACTTTTAGATTTGGTTAATTCCTGTTAGTATATTTGGAGCAGTGAAGATGAGGGGATTTCCATGGTTCTTGATGTTTTCTGCTGACACTCTTAATGCCTGTCTTTTAAGAAGTGGATTGAACTAAGTTAATGACTTAAGGTACCCAGTGAAGTTCTACTTCTTCTAATCTACCCTAGATTTGGACTTGTGCTCCGTCTCCTCGCCACAAAATATTGACAAAATATAGTGTATAATAACTAGAATTTAATCTTCCCCTTTGGATGTTGGTGGTCTTAATATTGGTCCCCAGCGTCTTACAATCAATAGATGTTTAGTTAAGCAGTTCACTTGTTTTGGAGTAACAGTTATTGTGTGGGCAATGGGTATGTGGCCACTTCCGCAATAACCCCGGGTCTCCTGACAGAGTGAACATTACAATCACATATTTGTTGCTATTAGCTCGTGAGATGGTGGAAACCAATTTTGAAAAGCAAGTAATAAAGCACCACATAAAAAATAATGGTGTAATTACTTCTTGGTCAGGTAATACCTACTGTGACGATAAAAACCAAAGGGAACACCAAGCATCAAAAGTGGGTTTGCTGTAAATTTGACACTGGTTCTGACCTTCAGCAAGGAAAAGGTTTGAACCCACCCACCTAAGCCAGGTACACAGAAGACTCTTTGTGTCGTGTATCTTTACCAAGTCTCCATGTAAAAGCATTTTAGTGAATTTATCTCATTAGTGCCTACATCAGTTCTCAAGAGCTGAAGAGACTAGACCAGTTGCTACATTACTGACCCAAAGGCTTTCATAATCTCATTTGAATTTAGGCCCCAAAGAAAGGGGTCTGGTAACTGCATTAGAAAGAAATTGCCATGTGGATATAATTTGTTGTCTAAATGTAGAGGATAAAGAGGGAGGGTGGGGGTTCTAATTGGAATATGGACCACACTGTCCAGGAGAAAGTGAAAATAATGTTGGCTGTTGCTGTTGATCTATAAGCAAACACCCTGGTAATCCACTAACCTAAGTGGAAGAAACCAATCAGCCTCCACCTTCAGGCTCTGATTCTTTCTTTCACGTGCCATCCCAAGTGCTAGAGAGGCTTTCCTAATTCCCATGGAATAATGTGGGTGAGTGTAGGGAGTGAAAGAGAGGCTTAGCTAAAGTTATGCCCTGAACTTTTAAGGATAGGATAGCACAGTCCATGTTTCAGGACATCATGGTTAAGTTTTTATTACTACTGCTTTGGGTTATTTCCAGCTTGGGGGAAGACTCGTGGTTAATATTTCTGTTTAGCTTGTCTGAGAGCTGCAAATGGTTCTCCTAAGGTACACGCATCATTAGAAGACTTTATGACAGGACGCTGTTAGAGCATAGCATTTGTCACAGCACAAGATGAAGCAAAAGTAGGTTAGCTTTTACTAATAAAAGTGACAATTGGTTAAATTCTTAATAACAGCAACTTTAATGGAGATAATGAGAACTCTTATACCCAGAAGGTTGGTTAGAAATCAGTACAAGCTTTCTGGAGGGCAAACTGGCTATTTTGGGTGGGGAGGATGAAAGAATTTTAAGCTTAGAGACTGGATCTGTATTAAGTTCAGAGGCATCCCCAAAAGTAGGCCCAGTGGCCACATAAACTATTTTTCCAAGTGGGCAAAGGCCTTTAGAAATGCCATCTAGCGTTACCAGAAGCCCTTGTTCTTGCTAAGATTCCTCTGGACCTCTTTTTCCTTCTAACTGGAATTAAGAGACTGAAGTTCCCCAAACTGAATCTTGCATTTCTCTCTATATTGATGGGTGGAATGGACCTGCTTAAAACCAACAAGGAAAAAAAAAGTGACCTTCCTTCTATACTCTCTCTATAATCTTCCTGCTCCTATTGAAGCCTGGTGAATTTAGAGGAAATAAAAATACATATTTAGCTCCATCTGCGGAATTCACTTTGCCTGAGACCAATATGTGAGATATTGTTGCTGGCTTTTTCAGAGGGCTGGGACATATCTACAGGAGCAGAGATCGGCTTGATAAACTGCTGACCTATTCTCAAATGGAAAATTTTTGTGATTATATTGGGACAATAGGTATTGTGACCCTTTAAGGACAAAATCAAATATACTGGATTGCATTTTTCAAAAGCTACCAAAACAACTTTTAGATACGAATACATTCTTCTAAGTCTCCCTTCTAACTCTAGATTTAACAGTGTGATCTTGATGTGGTCAGGTAGAGAGGGGCAAAGGCACATCTACTCAATCAACTTCAGAACTTTATTACTGCAAAAATCTTCCTTCAGCAAACACAACCAGGCTTGGAAAGCCTAAGTGACCAGTGTAAGATCAACAGCTAGTCAACAGCTGAATCACAACTAAAACTCAAATGTTGGAGCCGAACCAACCCCAGTCCTCTGTGTCATTCCTCCATGTAAGCCTGACTTAAAATAAATAGGATCATTTGTTGAGAAGCGGTTCTGAGCATTTCACTTTTGCAAACTTAATTTTTTCCTTTGGATACCCCAAAAGGTAGATATTCCTATTTCACAGATGAGAAAACTGTGGCTGCTAGTCTTGGGTGAAGGATTGGTAGGCAAAGAAATGAAATGTGATTGAATTGCACCTATGGAAAAAGACAACATCAAATCTGTCATTCAGATGACATCTTCATATACATGATCTATCTCCTATTACTGCTGGCCATTTCAAAGCCAAATAGACCTGCCACTTTATAAAACAAACACCAACTAAAAGGAAGACAACAAATGTTCCCAGGACCCTGAAAGTATCATGGACCATGTCTACAAAGCATCCGCATGTTTTAAAGCCATTGCCAAGCTGTCCTTTAAAGGCTGTTTTGCAAAAACCTCCAAGACTAAAAACAACATGCTGTGACTTTACCTACATTCTTGTAATGGAAATGAGATAAGAATAGTAGTTCATAGTAATTGATGCACAATGACCTTGTGCCAGTGACTGTGCTAAGCACTATCTTACAAATCACCAACTCTTTGCTGTCTCTGTGAAGTCTGTACTGTTATCATCACCATTTTACAGGAGAAAGACCCTTAGGACGATAGAGGGGTGACGGATCTTGCCTAAGTTGCACAGCAGTAAGAGCTGAACCAGGGCAGGCTGTCACTATTGTTCACTGGCTTCTCTGTGATGGACTGCCCCTGTGGAAGCATTTAGCTAATACATTGGAAGTAATGGTGTTATCTTTCCCTTCAGGACAACACAGGAGAAAACAAATAGTAAAAGATGCCTACAGTAAAAATATCTGTCTTAGACTTGAAAAATATAAATGTATATCCACATATGCTACATAAAGACTTGACTTGGTTAAGACATATGTTTTAAAAGGGAAAGTTGCCAGAATGGATCACACTTAAATACAAAACCAGTTTCTGTGCGGTGTGTGGTGGTGACATCACCCACAAAAAACATGGGAAATGACACACGCTTCTCCATGACCATCGTCCAGCTTGTTTAATCTCAACTGGCAAGTTTCCCCTCATCAAGTAAGTTGAAAATGGTTATGGAATCCAGAGGTAGCTCCGGATAACACGGGTGGAATTCTGGTATGCCTTCTTCATTAACTGCTCATAACCCAGAAATGAGAATAAAGCTGCTCTTCCTGGGGAGTCTTTTAACTGAAAAACCAATCTTAATTGAATGCACATATCAGTTAACTATCTTCGGATTCACAAACCATTAATGCCCCATTTTCACATAGTGTCTTCTTTCTGGCTTGTCTGAAGGCTGGCATTCTCAGGGCTGTGCTTAGAGGAATGTGAGATTCAGCAGGAATATGGAAGGGACAGGAGAGAAAAGAAGAGAGCATATTAAGTGCTCATCTTCACAACCAAACGAGCGTTCTGGGACTGAGCAGTAAGAGCGTCAAATAATGCTGCCCTTGCAAAATTGACGTCCTCCCATCACTGCTCCGAGTCAGTGGCAAAGGAATCACAAATAATGCCATTCTGCCCTCTGAATACCAGTTAAGCAGGCTTCAAATGTGCCTACTGAGGGAAGAGGAGGCTTGTAAATAGAGCCTGGCAGATGTAAAAGGATGGTATAATGATCAAAGGAGGGGGGAAGAAAACTAATTGCAGATTTCTCTCTTGAAATATTTGGCCTGTTTGAAAGTCCCACTTTGTCTCTCCAGAGCAGAAAAACCTAAGCAGGAGTTTGAGGTGTGTCCCCAAGGCAATCTTGTCAAGTTGTGGCCCACAGCATGGCAATTCCCTGTGGAAGAGGGCCTAGATTGACTGCCCTTCTATGCCAGGAGAAGCAAGCTCCTTGAGGAAGCACATACCTCTTCCCGAGTATGTGGCCTCTTAAAGTGACAAGGGTGCAAGAGTATGTATCTCTGCTAATAAAGACATCATTTACAATTGGACTTTGTGAAAGACAGAAGCGTATTTAAGTTCTTTCTGAATTTGGAACTACTTGGATCCTATCAAAAACAATTTTCTAATTGTCATTAAAATACTGGAAACCATGAAGAAGATCCACCTCCCAAAATATGCAATGCCATCTCTTTAGATTTCCTGCTTTTGCTTTGGAAATAAACTCAGAATCTAATAGTCTTCCCCTTGGCCAAGATTCTAAAACCAACAGTGACCATAATCCTGTAAACACAGAAAGAGATTCCTAACTCACTATATTCCTGGCCTTGAAACTTTGGTGTGGAAGGCACCACCAAATCAGGTCACTTGAGTCTAGGATCAACCACGCTACAGTGAAGTCAACACTTGGTAGAAAACTGTGAAAGTGGGCTCTAGTATACCTCCTAGCAATGCCATTAGTTGTGACATAAGTCAATAAGTTCCTATAGAGTTTAGGATTTGGGGAAAACAGGTAATACTTTTGTATTACACGAGGGAGGTGAATATACACTGAATAATAGCAGTGATGAGTTTCTTTTACACGGCAGGAATATTTTCTTGGCTGTTGGATTTAGCATATCAACAAGGGAGGCTGGACATACCTTTTCTCAGAGTTTCATTAGCCTGCTAGAATATTTAGAGGTCTGGGCAAGGTAAACTAACTCTCCCATGTTTGTGCTGAAGTAGAGGTACAGGTCCCACTCTGAGTATTGAATTATCTTTTCTCATGATGACATCAACATTGAAACTACAGAGAGCCTCTTTTGTAGTCAACAGTATGGGACACTGGATTTTTATCTCCCTTTGGACAATGAGATTGTGGTTAGCATAACACTGGTAAATCTAACATTAATGCTCTGTCAAAAATTGTTTTATGAAGGCTAGAAAGAGGTTGGAGAGAAAGGAGGTGCATCCAGGAATAGATACAAAAACATTGAAAGAGAAACTGAAATCAATTCTGTAAACAGCAGAAGTCAAAGCATCGTAGTTGTCATTAAGCACCTACCATTATAATATTCAAACAATAAGATATTTCCTGAAATATCAGATCAATTCTTAAAGGAGAGCTGTTCCCAGTGGGGTTTACTTGTGGTCCTCTGTCCGACATCCATTAGACAGGGTCCCTGTCTTTAGTAGCATGGGTTCAAACAAATGATAAGAGAGGAAATAGATTCCATTCTCTCTGTTTACTTTATTACTATTGATTTATGAATTCCCTCTGATCTATTTCCTAACTGGGCAGATAATATACATTTAGTACCAAAGGTAATTATCCAAAATGAATCTAGTTTGCAACTGGGTGATAAAAAAGAGAGAGGAGACTGATAGATTAAATACTTATCATTAAAAAGTATGGCTGATTGTATTAATATAGATACAAGAGCTTTAATATTCTCACTTTACGGCTAGATATAATTTCCTAGACTAATTGTGAGTTCATGTGGACACTTGGGCATATTTTATTTCTACTCTATATTTTATAGCATCATTTTATAGTGCAAATAATAAAAGCATTATATGAAAAAATTATTTCAAAAGTTTTTTTTAAAAATCTACCACTTGCAAAAAAAAATCATTTAGGGCATTTAAAAAAAAATCTTCATAAAGGGATAGAACATTTAGTTACCACAAATTACTATGGTTTTTAAAGCATCAAAGTTAGAGAAAAGAGCAAAGATTGTATCATTATACGAGTATAAATAAAACAACTTAAATTTCTAGCAATAGTGAATGGATAAATAAATATAGTAAATCCACACTGTGGGAGATGATGCAGCCTATTAACATGTTTATGAAGAAATTTTAATGCGTGGGAAAATGCTTATTAGGCTATGTGAAAAAAACAGGATATAAAACTGTGTGTGTGTAAACACATATACAGTATAACCACAAATACGAAGAAAATGTTCATATATATTTGTTATGTATAGAAAAATATGAAAGAAATATACAAAAATCTTTTTAGTGGTCAACTCTGGGTGATGGCTATTGGATGATTTGAACTCCTTAAATTCTATCCTGTTTTTCTCTAAATTTTCTAAATTAGCACATATTATTTTTATATCTAAGCACGTATTAGAGAGACGGGCGAATGAACAACTTAGAATGAATGGAAGGTAGGACACATGTTGCGTTTGCCCCTGGCTCATAATGACCTGAGGGCCATCACATGCCAGGGACTCCTTTACTGATGCCTCTTTGGAACCTCTCCACTTACAGGCAGAGTAAGCTGTCTGCAGAATCCTACCAGATGTGTCCAAGCGTCATACACTCAGGGATCATCACACTTTTAAAAGACATACGTAGTTATAGAAATACCAAAGTACTGAGGAAAGAGTACAGTGGAACAGTTAAGAGGATGAATTCTGGAGTCAGACGGTCTGGCCAGGTTCCTCCACTTGAGTAACTCTGGCAAATGCTTAATCTATGTCTCAGTCTCCTTACCTGTTGAATCAGGACAGTCAAGTGCCTTCCCTATAGAGATGTTCAGGGATTCAATGGGCTAAATATTTGTAAAACACTTAGAAGACTACGTTATACAATAAGTACTTATCCATTAAATGAATACATCTTTAAAATTCTGATAATATTGATCAGAATCAACTTACAAATAAAGAAATGGACATGGCCAAAATATTTATAAAACATTTGAGCATTTGTAAGTTGCTGAGGCAAGGGTGCAATTTCAGTTGAGCTTAAGTCGAGACTCAGGATTGTAGTGGTTTTAGATGGTTTTTTTATACTGCCAAAGATCTGTCCATCCATACATTTTTATCTAGAATGATGTTGATGATGCTAAGGTTCAAGGGAATAATTACTATGTGCAGTACTATTTGTAGTGTTTTGTTCCCCACTCTATATTTAGATTCTAACAGAAGATGTGAAACTAAATAGATACTCAATAAAAGTTTACTGAATGAAAACACAAATGAATGACTTCACCACAGCTGCATCAAGTTGTCTAAATATGATTATATTTCCACAAAGGAGCCATTGTTAAATGAACTTTCCCTCTATTAAGAACTAGGATTGAAGTATCAAATTTCTTAGAATCTAAAACTTTTTACTATTATAACTTAGAAACAATTAGATGGCAAGATTAAAAGGGGAAAAAGTATTTATTCCAAAAAAAAAAAAAAAAAAGCACAGCTTAGGACTTGAATATCTTCAAGGATCCATTTCTTAGGAAATCTATAAAGATGCAGAAAGCTTTAGAAATGGAGATACCAAGACAGCAATGGCAGCACCAATAAACAGAAATAGACGGTTCATCTCACTAGTTCTGTGGTTTTCTCCTACCCAGTAGAGCGTGACAAGAGAATGTTAAAGTAACTGAAATCAAGAACAATACTGGAAATAAGAACAGTCTACAATGGCAAATTTTTACTGTAATACATTTCGTTACTGAGTGAGGGAGGAAAACAACTGTTTTTAGATACTGTCCATTGTTTTCTATACATTTCAAAGCTCCTCTTCACACATGTAACTTTCAAACTGACAGTGGTAACTTTCAGCATTTTGTGGAGATCTTGGCTCCAATGCAGCAAATAAGAAGTGAAATGTCCCACGGTTGTAAAATCTTGATAAGTTATCCGTGTCACATTTTTCAAATGTGGAACTGCTCACACCACACAGATAATTATAGATGACCAGATTGTAACTGTTTTATTGCTTCTTTTTCCCCATAAATTTTAATTTTGGAAAGTTAAGTGAAAAATGTGGTTTCAATTTCCTACAAATTGCACACAATTTGGTTTTAACAAGAAAATAGAAAGAAAGGGTATGTTCTTTAAAGTGAATTATGAACTAGAGTTTGTTTTCGCTCGCTCAACACCGCAAAAATAATAAAGCACAAAATTTAGAAAAGATGCCTTACAAAATGGAAATCATGAACTATAGTAAGAAAGCAGAAAGTAATTTTTTTTTATCTAAACATGATTTAAGCAATCTAACAGGATAATATAATTGAGCTAGTCTTTCTCCCTCTGGTGAAGCAAGCTAGAAGGAAAGGATACCGGAGTAGAAGCCGACAATCTTAATACATGTATAACAGGAAATCTGTTAATAAGAAAAGGCTTTGTGTATCTCCATCTTACTCTCTCCACAACTGTCAGCAACAACAAAAGAACTATTAAAAGCAATCAATTTTGAAACCATTTAAACATATACCTAGAAACACAACAAAACACAAGAATTTATAAAGGAACTTTTAGTGGAAAGAAATTCTAGCCCTCTGATGGGTTCTGGCTATAATCTTAGAGTTAGACCAACATGCTTTCTTGATTCAAGGTAGTGGTCTGCTACAACTAGCATAACTAAAGGCAGGAACCCCATGAAGTGTCTCGACCACACCAAAACCACCAGCTGGAAAGCAAATAAGGAAATCAATCAACCAGATATTTTTTCTCCTTTCTGCCAAAAACTTTGAGTGAATGCACTTTTCTTCATTAAATTGACCACTGCTTTCACCTTTTTAGCAATGTAGACTGTTAGGCAAAATAAATTATTCATTATTCAGGCAAAAACTATTTCATCAAAGTTGTTGATCTTCATTGACCAAATTCTCCATGGCCTATGTTACTAAATAGCACCACCATAGCTTTCTCAAATTTCTACTTCCAAAAATGTTTACTTTCAGACAGATTGTGACGACCACAAAACTTACCTGCATGAGTATTCTATAAACAAAGTTGTTGTAGACCAAATGTTAACATGAGTCCCTGGTAAAATGTTGTAGCCCTAGATTTTTTTTTTCTGGCTAAAATATAGTATTTGCTAATTTTTTTTCTAACTAGGGTTTAAAGTTGCAAGTCTAGAGTGCTTCTGACTGTTAGAACATGAGGCTGGCTTATGAAGGTCCAGTTATAAGCTGGGACTTGGCAAACTTGAAGTATTACCCATTGACTAATACTTCTATTAGTCAAAACTGTAAACTTCTGGTCAACTACATATTTTACATATTACTGCATGAAGCTCTAGCAGAAGTTCACCATCCTAAATAGCCTTTAAAGGCTTCACAATTAACAAGAGATGATTTACTCTCTTGAAATATAAAAGCTGACTTTTCCCACCCAAAAGCCAATAAATCTTTGGTGTTGGTGAAAGGCCATTCTCTACCTGTAGCAATCAAGTTATGCAACCCTCAGGCAATGACTTTTCATTGAACTCAGACCTGACTGACCACAGCATTCACAAACATCTCAGTCCCCAGTGCTCAACTGACAGTGCAGCCTGATCGCCACGATGTTGCAATAGAAGGAAAGAATTTCCTAGCAAAATGCTCCAAAGCTTCAATAACATAAGAATCCACACAAGGCCATCTTGAGAAGGAAGCAAGTGATATGGTTTACTCTTAAATCCAGGCTGGAGTATTCTTCATTCATTCATTTATTTATTCTGTCAATAACTTTTCCAAAAGAGCCTCCTCAACCTATGCCACTCACCAGCCTTGATTCCAAATCTATGATATCAGATTGGATTTTTTTCTAGTTAGAAAAAGTATTAGCAAATACTACATTTTGACCAGATCAAAAACACCATCCTGACCTGACAAAGACCCCCAAATATTTGACTCATTGTAATAAGCACCTTATTTTGCTCTAAACAAAAGTATTTAGATGACAATGGATGAATATTGGAAACTCTACTCAATTCAATGCAAACAATTTTAATTGCAAGGAATTTTTCTTACTTAAAATTGAATTCAGTTGAGTGCTCAGGCTTTTCCATAGCATGATAAAGAAAATGAAAACACCCTAAGTAACCTCAAATCTCTCATGAGAGGTCGGGGAGATAAGGTATTAAGAGGACAGAGTGGGACAATGACAACAATGAGTTTGGGACATCATTTGTATAAGGTCCTGGACTATTGTAGAACATATTATGGCTGAGAAGTAAAATTAAAAGGGGGATAGATGATGATGGTGTAGAGTTTTTCTTATAATTTCTTATAAACTAATGTTTATTGTTTTGTTTTTTTTTCACATATAAAGACTGCCCATTGCCCAATTTTAAGAAGATGGAGCTCAGTAATTAGGAAAAAAGTAGAAAACACACATTTAAAGTAATCTTTCCTACCCTGAGCCCCCTGGCCATATCCCCTCCCCACTTCTCTAGTTCCCTGGACTCCCAGGTTAGGCTGTCTTCTCCCTAGCCATTTACCCAGATTTCTACCAGAGCATTTTGTCACTTTGATTTGCATCATATGCCAGCACAGCCTGCCTCCTGTTCATCCTTGCTCTGCACCTGTCTCCTATTTTATCTTAGTGCTTTGTACCACACTTTGCACATAGTTGACATTCAATAAAAGGCAGAGAATGAAATTCAAGAGACGAATAGACTTCTACTTTAGGAAGTTCATTTTATTTTCAAGCTCCTAAATCTTTATTGGGATTAACTAGCTGAAGGCCTAAAAGTGGAAAGAAATACAGGGATTGGGAAGGCATTTTGAGATATTTGATGGACTTGGAACTCCCACAGAATTTTAAAAAAGAAAACAAAGGCTGAGGCCTGCAAGGGCCTTGGTACAATGCCCTTGGAGGGAGAGGGGCTTCATGGAAAATGGTTGCCATGATAGGATTTGGGGAGAACCTCTATGTTTGAGGGAGTTTGGGTCAGGACCTATCCGTGGAAGCAAAAACTAGTGCCCAAATATTCAAAACATAGTTTGGTGAAAGATCACCTATGATTCTGAACGAAATAGTGTAGATAAAGACATCTGGAAGTTTTCCTATTGAAAAAAAGAAAGTGTGAAATCAGATACTTTTGTTTTTAAGGCTCTCTTTCTTAAATTTCCTAACTTGGCCAAAATGTCAATGGTACTTTAGCAGCTTAAAGAGCTCAGCAGCAAACCTTACTAAGTTCTGTAGTTGGCCCTGGCTGCTAACTTGCTGAATGTGTTGGGCTGTTGAGGTGAGTTCTACTGGAGTCTTGGTTGAGCCCCCCAGATTCCAGGCTCTCATTCTGGCAGGCTGTTTCCCTCTGGCCAAATCTCAACCACAGATCAACTTTCCCAGCCTCTGGAGATGAAGCGTTTTGGCTGCCTTCTGACCAAGTGTGAGAATTTTTTTTTTTTCTGTTTATGAGATAGACTATAGCGTGTTTCCCAGGGTAATCAGTCATCTTGACCTGTGATCACAGGAAAAGGCAGACAAAACTGGGAGAGTCTAGATCAATGGATTTGTTTTGTAAAATCACTGAACTCTGTTGGGACAAATTTGATTTTTTCTTTTGCCCCCTTTATTTTTTTAAATTGAGTAACTTACTCATTCTTCAAAAATTACTTAGAATATTTTACTTGAATCCATTCCTGATTAAAAATAACCTCTTGAAGTATAAACGTAATGGTTTTTGAATTCCTTTTTTATTCCTTCATCAATCCACTTATCTGACAACCATTACAGGACTTTAACTCTCTGCCAGTCATTGTGCTTGTGGTGCCTAACATGCAAACTCTATCCTTGCAGCTGCCTTTTTTTTTAATTCCCCAGTAAACATTTAATAAAGAAATAGATGAATGAATGAAAGAATGAACAAATGAATTAACTAAATAATGAAGAGGGCAAATTCAAACTGGAGAGACAAGCAGAACAGTGTGAAATTCATGCATGTGCCACGGTTTGTGTGTGCCTATGGATTTAGGACATTCTACCACAGATTTAAAATGTGGACACGTGGGCACTAATTCCTGTAGCCTTGAAGTTGAGGCACTGGACATAAAAGACAAAGTTAGTGGAGCCTTTCTGTAAAATAACATGACTTCTCACCCTCATGCTGAAAAAAAAAAAAAAAAGAAAAAGAAAGTGGGCTCATTCCAAATACCCCATCACCCTTCACAGGCTGAGCCAGGAGCTTGCCTCCTTGTGGCTAAATTGGAACAATGCTTTGCTCAGTTTGGACCCAGATGTCAGTGTGGTGGTACAGATGGCAAGACCACACATCTGCTTACAAAATTTGAGAGGAGAAAAGGGCTTCAGTGGCATCCAGGGCTTCAAAAGGCATGCTACATGCATACATCCTAAAGGGAAGGCGGGCTCTCTGCTGGGTAACCCATAGTGATCAGTACAATACCACCCTGTTTCCCTTGTAGGCTTACCCCTGCACTCTCCTTCCTGCAAATGTTTATAGCCTCCCTTCTACTGCATCAAGTCAGACTTTAACTGTCTCTCATTACAAGAGTCACTGAGGAAAGTATGGAACAAACTGAAACTTGAGGAAATCAGACTTGTTAGACTATAATTTCTATGAGGGCAGGGATTATGCACATCTTTGCACATTATGTACGTGGTATCTCCGGTAACTAACATACTGAGGATGATTAATAAATATTTGTTGAATGAATAAATGGGGCACAGTGCAACATTTCCATTACCTTTGTGCCTAAATACTGAAGATCATGTTATACGCACAAGAGCCTGGACTCTGAAGCCAGTCTGCCAGTGTAAAAGTCCTGCCTTTGCCACTTTCTAGTTGCATAACCTTCAGCAAATGCTGAACACCTCTTTGACTCAGTTTCTTCATTTGTAATACAGCGATAATAATACTACCTGTCTTGTAGTGTTTTTAAGATTAGATGTCTAAAAATATGTTGAGTGCTTAAAACTGTGTGGTAGAGTAAGTGCTTTGTGAGTGTTAGCAGCAGTAGCTGTTTGTTATTTATTAATAAGAATCGGGGGCTTTGTTCATTCAGCAAGCACTTTTTGAGCATCTTCTAGACAAGGCATAGTACGAGGCACTGGAAATACACTTGTAAACCAAATGGAAGTAAACTCTGAGATAATCACAGATTGAGAACCACTTAAAGTCTTTAATAACAGCTACCATTTTTTGAGTTCTTCATGTGCACCTTTTATCATGTGCCAAGTACTTTACTCGTATTATTTCAATTGTCACAACAAACTAGTGAAGAAGATATGCTTATTTATTTTCTCCATTATTGAGGTAAGAAAATAGAGGTTTAAATGATAATGTAATCTCTCTATGGCCAGAGGGCAAGGTCTTGACTCTTGATCCATTCATTTACTTAACATCTACTGGGTACTGCTGAATACAAAGCTCTGGGCTGATGAGAGAGGACTTATACACGTAAGAAAATCACAGTGACAGTCACAAGTTTGTATTTCAATAATCAGCCTGTCTCAAATTAAAAAGAAGCACACAACAGAGAAGGATTACAATAGATTAGCTAGGATATGACATTTATCTTCCTGAATTTGAGACTACACTATGAAACAACCAGCAGAATGGCCAACAGTTGACTTTTGACAATCTGTTTGCCCACAAGGGAAAAACTAGTGTTTTAGGACAATTCAAATGCACCTGCCCTTTATAAAACATCAATGACTTTTTTAAAAAAACATATGAGCTATTAGAAAAGTAATCTTAATATTCTTTTTAATTCAGGCACCAAGAAGCTAAGTAATCATTGTTGCAATTAATTGCTTTCATGTTGCTTGCCACTTTCTTTTCATTATGAGAAATTAAAAGACAGAAGCAAATTATACAATATATATTTATTCAAACTGAGATGACGTGACATCATTTACTGTATTTGTACTTCCCAAACATGGCGTGGTTATTCTTTTAAAACTAAAATTCCTCTAGCTCCAAACTGACTTAGCATACTCCCTGCAGTGATACACTTGATAATCATGACTCAAAAATGTGGAGCTAGAAAAGGCTGAGATAATATGTTGTCACTCCCATATTTATCACCACATTTCCTGAATCATCCAGCTTCATAATGATGATTTCTTTTCATTCTTTGCACTGTTTGGCAACTACATGTTTTGTGAATACCTAAAACGCTTATAAATATTCTCTTCCCTTGGAACCAATAAATCTTGAAAATTAAAAGACAAAGTTAAAATGACTTGTGCACTTCACCAACGTCTCCATTAAATGTACCATACATCTCACAATTTCAATATTCACAGTTTAAGACTCAGTGACGACTTTCAATCTTACTATGTGGATAAAGAAGGAGGGGTGTGCTTTGCAGTTTATTGAAAGCTATTTTGGGAGTTAGTCTTGATAGTTAGATGTCTTATTCTTTCTGCTTCTCCATCCTTCCCCCTCTATTCGCCTTTATTGTCACCAGGCATGAGCCTCTTGTTCCATGGACCTATTTTTTTAGAGTCAGAAAGGGAGAGACAGATATTACAGAAACAACAGTTTCAAGGATCTGCTACAATGACATGAATCAATGTTTTTGAAATTTCAGGAAGCTTGATCTACTGAGAACATAGTCAGCTGGTACGGCTCATATTTCTAGATAATGATCACAGAGTGGCTGGGGGATGGGATAGGGAGAGTGAATCTTCTGGGCAAATGATAGCATAGCGTGAGCGCTGGGGAAAGTCCACAGATGCTTGGAAATAAAAATAAGTGTACCTGGGTGATGCTGTGAGGGCTTACAGTGCTATCCATTTGTATACTGTACAAATTCTAAGGTACACATGGCTGTCTAAAGAAGTCCTCTAGCTCCCCTCATTGCACTGTACCAGATCATCCTCCCTATTTCTTTCTTAACACTTTTGCCAATCTGATTATTATCTTCTCTGCCTCCTTGTGTATTGCCTGCCTTCTTTCACTGGAATACAGGTGTCTTGGGGGCAAGAACCTCACCTTTCTGGGTTACAGAACATAGAAAATGCCTGGAACATAATAGCTATTCAAAATGTTTTAATTAAATTGGAATTTGAATATTATTGCACCCTCCCCTCCAAAAAAAAAATAATGTGACAACAAAATATTCATGTTTCCTCAATACTACTTGTAAGATCATCTTAAAGTCTGAAAAGAACCTAGAATTCTTCGGGAATGAAATACAGTCTGCCATTTTAAGGCCTCACTGTGATGATAGTACATTGCCAAGTAGATTTGTCCTTTAAGACTTTAGAAATTCTAGGTGAATTAATAAATTCACGGTTATCACAAATCAGAAATTCATGACTTATGAACTTGAATTTCAAAGTTTCAGGCCAAATTTATTTAAAGATTTTGCTCAGGAACCATCATAGTCCTGCTGAGTCCAAAAATTGTCTTAAAATGTAAAACAATGCCCCATTAAAGCAAAAGCCAACATTTTCCATGGCCCAACGTGGCATAAGTGTATTGTTTTCAATTTAGTGACTTAACAAGAAATACAACAGCCAAGACAGGAATTCCTTCCAAACATGAGAACCCATTATATAAGATGAAGATCTGTTCGGCCCCTAAATGAACCACACAACATAGGAATTGTCATTAGCTACTATAAGGCAATGAAGAACTTATAAAACCAGAGCCAATGTGTTATTAAGACCAGGCATGGTGGCTTTAAGGCAATATAGATTTCTGAGCTATTTATTTATTTATTATTATTATTGCAGGTCCCACTCTCCCAGCCGCAACTATTCCAACTCTGCAGGACCCATGTAACAAGGCGATAGTATCTAAGAAATAATGAGCGAAGGAATGCTGTTCTTTCTTTCAGAGCAATCTCAGGTGCGATCTTATACCGTAAAGGACTGGATCAATACTCCCAGCAGCAAGCCGCTCGATACCCCCTGAATTATTGCTTCATTTTTCTTCTTATTATAGATGAGTTGTGTTATTATTTTCCTCAAATCGATATTTTACAACCTTTTTTATCCGCTTCTCCATAAATTTTGTGATTACTTTAAACTGGGAATTCCGGTACACTAAATAAGATGCAGTATCTGAAAGGGACAGAATGTACTGACATGTTTTTTGTTTTTGTTTTTGTTTTACTCTTTTAGACACAATGCCTTGTTTAAAGCACGTCATAATCAATAGCCAAAGAAAAGTTTAACATAACCCTGTGCTTGCAAAATAAAAGTGCAAATCCTTTAAAATAGCAACAGCCCAAACAGCACAAAGCTGAAAAACACAAAAAGAGGCAGGATTGATCAGCACTTTGCATCTGAAATTTCATTCCTAATGCTTTTTCTCCCCTCAGTTAAAGGGCCAATGCAATTCCCTTAAATTGTTTCTCACAAAGGAGATAACTCTATGCACCTTGGAGAGATTTAATTGGCTTCTATAGCTGTCTCCTGCTAAGTGTTTAAAACATCAGCAAATCAAATCATGTAAACTCATATCCTGTTCTGCTGTCGGTTTGCTCCAAGCTTGATTATTTCGATGTTAACATTAGCAGCGCCTACACTCAACGAAAGAGATCAGGAATATACTCTCTCCCCGAGTTCCGGGATGACTTGAGTTAATTCTATGCTTCCTATGAAATAATGTGTGTTATTTGGCAGAGAATGCTCAGTGGTAACTAAATAATCATTACAGTGCAGCCAGTGGTAATTACATGGTAATTCACATTAACTTCATAATAAGCACTGTATTTTTCACTATATCCATCTGAGAATGAGGCAGAATCATAGTCTTTCATTTCTTTTTAATGCTACCCAAAATAAAAATAAAGTAAAATCATTTGAAGGGCAGGAGGACAAGGAATATAATCCTGGTGAGTTAAGCTAGAGATTTCATTAAAGAAATACTTAAATCCATTAAGTCTAATTAGACATGACATCCCAGGATTCACAAACAGTGGTTCTAATAAACTCATTAAAAATTTTTGGTGATTTCTTTAGAAAATGGGAGAATATTATATTATAGGCTGTTTTATTACATTAAGGTTTTATAATTTTATACGGGCTCTTCTCTTTTTATGTAAAAGCCTATGGAACTTTATAAGAATAGTTCTACTTAAATCAATGAGTCTTAAACAACAATGTGCTTCTTGTAACATGTACTTAATAATGCAATAAACTATTCTAAGTAGTATAGAATAAAATGGGGAGTACTTTATTCTGGTTGGCTAAAAGATAGCAGGATATAGGGGCTCAATTCCTTATAGCATTGCAGTGCACAATTTATACCTCAACCCCCATTTACATACATATTATTTAATTTGGGCAATTATGAAGTCCTGAAAGCACTTTTCTATTACCACCTGGATCCTTAGAAGGATTCACACCATAAATGCATCATATATAAATGTATAAAGCAGCCTTCTTAGAAGAAAGCAGCGGGAACAACTTTAATTGAATACTTATATTAGAGATTAAATTAGGTCTGTTTTTAAATGAGCTACCCTTAATTAGCTGCAGTTGGAAAAGGGGAATAGATATGTTTTACTTTTTACTCTACTCATTACCTGTAGCATCAATGGACAACTGGCCCTTTTTGGCTTTTCACCAATAATTGAGTGCCTTTTTAGGAAGGCCTGGAAACAAAATCTTTTCTTTGAATCCTAACACAAGCCCCAAATAAGGTTTAGAACAGAAATCCCTTATATAATACAATCTTGATTTTTTGTTTTGTTCTGTTTTGTTTTTGGGACGGAGTCTTGCTCTGTCACCCAGGCTGGAGTGCAGTGGCACAATCTCAGCTCACTACAAGCTCCACCTCCTGGGTTCACACCATTCTCCTGCCTCAGCCTCCCAAGTAGCTGGGACTACAGGCGCCCGCCACTGCGCCCAGCTACTTTTTTGTATTTTTAGTAGAGACGGGGTTTCACCATGTTAGCCAGGATGGTCTCGATCTCCTGACCTCGTGATCCGCCTGCCTCGGCCTCCCAAAGTGCTGGGATTACAAGCGTAAGCCACTGCACCCAGCTAATTTTTTTATGAATTGGGATATGCCATGGAAAAATTGAATGATACCCTCCTCACCTCTAACCGCAGTATAATCCTAACAACACTTTCTGGACTCGTTCATTGTTAGCCAGTCAACGTTCCTGTCGGGCATCAAACAAACAGTAACTTCACTGGGCCAGGAACACAGCACAGATCTCTTCTCAAACAGGTTTTAATCTTATCCCTGATGACCATCATCTTGCAAGTATTTCTCTCTCATTGGCCCTTAATGATTTGCCTCTAAACCCACTAAGCAGAAGATCACCGAATAAAGGCATTTACATCTTATCTCCTCAAGGACCACCAGGGGACTGAGGCACAAAGGAGGGTCCACAGACATTTTGTGGCCAAGAGGGAATTTCACCAAAAGTCTCCACTGGGCATTAAATTACAAGAGTGCAGCAGGGGACAGTATATTTGGGTGGACCCCACTAAGTCCCTCCCCAAATGGACCCAGGGAATATGATCCACCAGTTCCAATGAGGTCTTCCAACAATGTGCTGGTGTCTGACATGCCCTGCTCTTACAGTGGGCTCCCACAAAAAGATGAGATAAAGGACATGCCTTTAAATTGCGTAACTCCACTTCACCCACAGTGAAAATGGCACTTGGCTTTTCTGTGGGGCTTTGATTTACTCAGAGGTCAAGAAAACCCCCTTCTTTTTTGTCAACAGACAGAAAAGCATGTAAACAAATCAGAATAATGATGTCCATGACACCCTTTTTGTAAACATATCACATATTGGAAGGTCCAAGGAATTAAGCGTCTATACCACCTCACCCTTTCCTTGAGAGTTTACTGAAAGATTCATGAAATTAGAGAAATAAAGAGTTTATCAAACGACCATGGTGATGTTTGTTGATTGATTTTCATATACATTCAAAAATTTTATGTTTTTATATATTTGCATACTTGGGAATCTATTCACAAAGTAATTAGTAAATCCATTTATATGTGATCTGCTCTGGTTTTGTAAGCAAATACATCCTGTGTTGGTTTGGGAAAGACCCTTCCCTTATCTGAGCCTCAGCTGCCTCCTCTACAAAATGTTAGGATTGGTCCAGGCTATCTCTGAGGACCTTTCCAACTCTAAAACTCAAAATTACAGGCAACTGTTCTCTTGGATGCTCTTTTGATAAGATCCACCATTAATCAGGCACTTACTGTATGCCATGCACTGTACTAAGCTTTTTATATGCATGACCTTATCAAACCCTCACAGCAGTCCTGTGATATATTCTCATTCCTATTTTGCAGATGAGAAAAATGGAGTCTCAGAGTGGTTAAGAAACTGGCAAGAATTTGGGCCAGGATTCAAACTGGGATCTGTCATGATTCTAGAGCTCTATAGTCATACAGTTTCTTTATAACTAGGTGAGCCTAAGGAAAATATATGTAGTGTGGAGACAAGCTCTTGGCTGATAGGTGGAAGAAAAGGAATCTGGTGTAAATATCTACCACTAACTGACAGACTTTAGCCAAGTCTTTAAAACTCTGTAAGCCTTGTTTTCACCATCTATAAAGACATCAACAACTTGGACAACTAGATTATCTTGAAGACTCACATCCCATATATTTAAGGTCACATTTGTCAGTCATTCCTTCACACATTTTTTAATGCATTGATTTGACTAATATTTATTGCATCTCACTCCGTGCTGGGCACTGTGAATACACTGGTTGAGAAAGACAAGGACACGGCCTTCAGGAAGCTTATAATCTAGTGAGAGACACAGGCTACACACAAGGAAGCAAAGAAATAATTCAGATTGTATCAGCTGGTGATAGCGCTGTCAATAAAAGAACTACATGTACTCAAAGTGTCAATGCTGGGGAGGCAGCTTGAGGTTCTAGAAGCCCCCAGTCTAACTAGTGAATTATGTTCATAGAAAACTAAAAAGTGGAATAAAACTGGGATAAGTCCATTTGGTAGGTATAAAAATCTAAGATATTGAAAGGTATAATCAACTAGTTGGAGGATACAGATCTGATATCAGACCCATCACTAGATGGCTTAAATGACCATAAGTGAACCGCTTCACTTCTTTCTACACCTCATTTTTACACCTGAAAATGGGGCTAAAAATACCTGTCTTTCCTCATAAAGAACAAAAAGGAATTGATGAATGAGAAAGGCTTTGTCAACTATAAAAATGCATTTAAGTACATTTACTTGTTTCTACAAACATTATGATGAAGAAGAGACACATAGTGTCAGTAGTCAGACCTGTACTTTGACCCCCGATACAGAACATTCCAGTAAGTCACAACAATTTTTTTGCTTTGATGCTAGTAATTTTATTAAGGAAAATTTCTAAACCTTTAGATAACCCTCCTATGTCTTCTGAGCTAACCAATGCAAATGTTTCATTTTTCTAGTCTTAAAAAAGTAGAGAATTATGAGAATTACAAGCTTGCTGAAAACAGATTATTCAGAGACACTCCTTCATCTAAACCTCGCTACAAGCTCAAAGAGTCATCCTGGCCTCATTGACTATTTTAAAAATCAATTAAAACTAAAAGGAAATGATGAACGTGTGTAGAATGACTGGGAAGGCCATATTTTGTGCAGATATTTAAATGTGAATATATTTTTGGCATTAAACAAAGATCTAAATTAACTCCATAATGACTGGGAGTTGGTGCTTCCTGCAGCTAACCACCGAGGCTGATCCCAGGTGGCTATGCCTAGCAAGTCAGGCCTTCCACCCGTGATGTAAAGAAGTTAACCACAGTTGATGTTAACAGGAAAAAGATGAACAATTACATGTGCCAGGTTGAACAGCAGTGGGTATGAGGGGAAGTCGCTCTTCTGTTGTTGTTTCTGCTCATGATTTAGGGAGTGCCAGTTTCTGTCTACCTCTCACCATTGAGAGATACTGCAGAAAAACTCAGGCCTGATATTAATGGGATGGTTTCCACCTGCACTCTCAGTACCTTGAATAATATGAGGTCCATGTAAAAGGGTGAGCCTACTTTATTCAAGTCAAAAATATCTGACTTGTGGTACAGATAATTCAACTCATACCAAGGATTGCACAGGGCTGAGGACCCAGCAACGGGAAAGAAATATCAGCATGCTGAACTATATATGGGCAGATCCCCTGCCCTCCAAAAAAAGTTATCTCATTAAATATTTGAGTATTTTTAAAGCAAGATGCTTTCTCAATTATGTTACTTTAAATCGGTAGGGGCATGAAATAATCATAATCAATGGTGGTTTAGTAATGCTTACGGAGGTGCAGAAGTCAGTCAAGACAAAAAGGATTAGAAAGTTAATATAAATGTAGTATCTTTTTAAGGAGGATTGACCTCTTATCATTACAAGCATTCCTCAAAACAAGCCTTTTAAATATCGGTTTTTAAAATATTGCTAATGGTTACTTATGGCTGAGAAAAAAATCTTCCAGTGAAAGCACCATGCATAGATTTAAAAAGAGGTGTATCACAAACAACTTAGAAGAGACTATAATGGGAGAAAAATGGCTCTGGCTTTGATTTTTTTAAAACAACTGATGGAAAAAATGACTTGAAAAAGTTTGATTAAGGGTGGAAACCCAAAATGCAGAAGTTGTATTTGTAAATGTTGTAAATTATGTATGTGATATTAGACATGTACAAGTAACAAAATTTATATGTGAAATATTGTAAGTAGACATTTGATAATGTATTGGTATCTATAAATATGTATATGGTTTACTTGCTCTGGAAGCCCTAAACTTCACTAGAAAAAAGGGAGAACACCAAATATTCAGAATCACACTATATTCTGGCATAGCTGATGTTAAAAATTCTAAAAAAAGACAAGATATGGCTGTCCAATGATAGAGGAATGATGAAGCAAATTATGGTGCAGCCATCAGATGGACTATTATACACCCACCAAAATGCATTCAGGGAGAATTTGAACTAACAGAGGAAATGTGTAGTGTATAATATAAACAACAAAGCAGGACGCAAAACTATATAAACCTATTGTGACTTGCTGATAAAAATATAGGAGTATTTTTTAGTACCTTCTTTGAATACCCTTGAATACTTCCAAATAGTTTATTGGCTTTGAAAAGCAAATCATGTTATATCATACTAAAAAGATTAGAGGTTCAAAACTTTACAGTCTTGCATTACATTGGCAAGAATACATATACAGCTCAGTTCCTACTTTTATTGTTAATAGCTTTCTAATCCCTTACCAGAAATTTATAATTTAGAAATGGCAACACATCTTAAAGATTAAAGCCATGTGATAAATAGTTCATGTCCCTTAATAACCAAATCTCATGCCTTAGATTGTGAGAGCTTATCTGTCTCTTCCTTCTATATGGTTTCTATATTAGAAGTAAGTACTCAAAAACATTAACAGTGATTATCCCTGAGGGATGAAATAATGGATAATCATTATTTCATACTTTTTTGTATTTTAAAAATCTTCCATATAAGTATGCATTATGTTCACAATTATATAATTTGGTTAAAATACTTAAGGCTCCAGTTCCTGTCAGAACTCACGTGTCCTAGAAATACCTGCCACTCTCCCATCACCAACAACTGCATTTCAGGGAATCAGGTAATTCCATAAATTAACAAGGTAAAGTAGCATGCCAGGAGGCTTACTCAGTGCAGGCTCTGGTACCCTTCACCAGGGTTCAAGTCCTGGCTCCTCCACTTACTAAATAACCCAGGAAGTCACTTCACCTGAGTTTTTTGGTGTTAAAAATAGGCTAATAATAGGGCTTGTCTTACACAGATTCTCAGGGGTGGCACCAGGGGGTGGGGGTGGGGATTGCTTTACATTTAGTAATTGTAGAGAACAAGAAGACTGGGAGAAAAGATAGAGTTAGGGTGAAAAAAAAGGTGTGGAATAGGAGAGAACAACAGGAGAAAAGTCAACAAATGTCAAAAGCCCACTGAAGTGGGAAACCAGAAGAGCAGGGAGAGAAAGGAGGAGCTGAAAGCTCTAGCAAGAAATGCTGCTGGCCTATGGAGGATCAGAGAGGGGCCTACATTTACCTATTTTTTGTTACAATTTTGGATTTGATTACATTTCAGATATCGTTAGGGTTTTAGATGAGTTCCATTTTAACTTACGAAAAGTACAGCACGTGGTGGGTCCCGGGAAGCAGGGGAGCATGATTATGGAATTCATTTACCTTGGAGGTTGTTTAGCTTGAAAACAGAAGCAGTGCCACACTATATAGCTAAATGCTTTTGGGAGCCGCTCCCAAGCTCTCAGGACACTGGGTCCTTGGAGCAACACACACCCACTCATTTGGGGATGGCTGATAAATTTCAGATCCTGACCCCAAATAATCCAGGTGTAGGACTTATTGACCCTGTGCTGTGGGTTTTTCAGAAAGAAAAAGAGAGGAGAAACCAAATTCCAGGGGGCTATGCTTTAACATGAAGATAATGATATATCTCAGTATAAGGTTCTGCTAGGGCATAAGATGATTATCAATGACTAAAAATTGTTTTAAATTCATAACTCCCTGATATTTATGTATTTTTAAATGAAAAAAGATAAATAATATGATGTAAGATATAATTATTATGGTAATAAGTCAGATATATGCATAGGAAAAATACTGCAAAATATATATCATTAAACAATATTAATAGCTCACATTTATTGAGTGTTTATGTAACAAGAAACCGGTAGGAATGTAAGCAATTTCAATATTATTTTAATTATGTTTTATTGGTGCTTCCTAAATGATCTGAAATCAATATGCATAACTTTGCAGTAAAGAATGAAAAACAAAAGTGAATGCCCTAGCGGGTCCCACGTCTCTTCGTTAACTTTAACAATGAACAGGACTGGCATCCACATCACTGCAAACACAGATAAGTAAAACGAATAATCCTCCATCAAACATTTGGAATACATCTTAGGAAAAGAGGAAAAGAAATTTAGAGTTCCACTTCCTACTCCTATTCCACAATATTTGAGAAAATTTCAAGATATACAGTCAAAAGCTGAAGGGTTAATTTATCATGATGTTCGGTTTAAAAAAAGTGAAAACTTGAATACTTCCAAATAGTTTATTGGCTTTGAAAACCAAATCATGTTATATCATACTAAAAAGATTAGAGGTTCAAAACTTTACAGTGTTGCATTACATTGGCAAGAATACATATACAGCTCAGTTCCTACTTTTATTGTTAATAGCTTTCTAATCCCTTACCAGAAATTTATAGTTTAGAAATGGCAACACATCTTAAGATTAAAGCCATGTGACAAATAGTTCATGTTCCTTAATAACCAAATCTCATGCCTTAGATTGGACCAGCTTATCTGCTTCTTCCTACTGTACGGTTTCATTGGTAGGAAATACTTCATATCCCTATTACATGAATGATGAATGGGACCGTTGGTTATGGTCTGTTATTTGCTTGGCTGTAGTCAATATGTTTTCTTTGGACAGGGATTTCTGTGATTTATCTCTCTCCCGGCCTTATCACTTATTAACTCTGGGTAGACAGGAAAAAGCCAAGGTTGTATATAAGGCCTCGTGGCCATTTAGACCTCTAATGTCAGTGAAAATATCCCTTTTAATGATCCTGTTATACTGGCTACTCAAGTCCTGATTACACTCCACTCCAAATAGGAAATAAAGGTCATATTTCTTGGAAAGTATATTTGTAAAATATGCAAAATAATATGCTTCCTTCAGATCAGCTTTATTCTTTGCAGAAATGGCTCTCATTTTATAGCTGTCACGGAAGTACAATGGTTACTTTCAGTGACTTTTGTTGTTGTTGTTGTTCTCATTATGACACCAACAGTATTTAACTGTACAAATGCCAGCAGATTCAGAATCACTGATCACATCAGCATACATCTGATCAGGGAAAAATCATATGTTGTGGAACAAAAAAAAAAGGAGAGGCTTGGGACCTACCCTTTGTATCACAAAAGCAAAAAGAATAAACACTCCCTCTGCCTTGAATTCTTTTCTTTGTGTGTAAATGGTTCATTTGGAGTAATATTTAAGACATGTGGACAGGAGCAGCCTGTGAATTTTTCTTTCTTGTTGGGTCTATTCCAATTAGGACACTGCTAAGGCAGAGCTGCTAGTCAAGTATTCATTACCCAGCCCTCTTTCAGCTGAATCCCTAAGTGAAAACAATCTGACAAAAAAGAAAACACATTCTTGCCTTCCTTTCTCCAATTCTTTCTGAGTTTGCTTAGGCTTGTCTTTATAACAATTAACATATGTATAGAATATTACGCTATGCAAAATATTTTCATGGCCATTTTTTCATTGATATTCACAAGATCCTTGGGATGCACAGAAAAGTGATGGCCCTACCATCCCTTAAGTTGAGGGAGACAAAAATCTAGCAGCTTTAACCCCTCTGTCTCCCTCATCCCCACATCTAACCCATCAAGTCCTTTCCATTTTTCCTCTTAAATTCCTCTTGATTCCTCTCACTCCATTCCATCTCCACTGATTACCACCCAAATCAAAGTCACCAAATCTCTTTCCCAGACTACTGCAATGACCTCCTAAGAGGCCTTCCAAGATACATTCTGGTCTCCTATGCTTCTTGAAGCCAGAGTTAGTTTGTTCCCAAAATGTAAACCTGGTCACGTCCACCTGTCATTTCAGACACTTCAAAACTGTCCATTGTTCTTAAGATAACAACAAAACTCCTCCCCATGGCTTATAAAGTTTTGCATACCCTTGTCCCTGACTACTTCTCGCAGCCTTCTGTCTCACAGTTCTCCTCCTCCCTCTTGATTTTCCAGCCTCACTGCAATTCTTACAGCCGTCCAAGGTACCGTGTTTCCTCCCACCCAGGGCCTTCTCATTTGCTCCCTCTGCTGGAAGGCTCATTCCCTAACCCCATGCTACCCCCACCCTTCACTGGTTGTTGGGTTAGCTCTTTGTCATCCTTCAAACTTCAGCTTGTGCAATTTTTCCTGTAGAGAAATATCTCTAACTGACTGGTCAGGGCTCTTTTATTATGTGCTGATCAAAAGCGCTGTTTCTTTCTGGACACGTACCAGGTTTGAAATAGTAAACTTATGAACACCCATTTTCCCTCTTAGTCTTTAGAATAAAGAAAACAGGGATTGTGTCTGGTTTTGCTTAACACTGTTTCAGGACTTGGCCTAGAACTGGTTTAGAACATTGCCTAGAATAAGACAGGCAATCCACAAACATTTGTGAGGTGAATGAATGAAGTAACAAAAGGAAGTGGTAAAATCAGAACAGAACACAGGTATTTTTATTCCTATTCTAATGCCTAGAAAGAAACAATGTCTTTACTCATAATCAAAGCTGACACATACATAACATCAAACTCTAATGACAAATTCTTTGGATTTTCAAAAATATATATACCCACTATCTGCTTTTCTCACTTACTTTTGGGGAGCACTCATACTGGACCAGGTACTCTCAGGATTGCATTACATACATTAACCCTTTTACTCCTTAGATGAAGGTACTATTAAAATAGCTCCATTTTACAGATAAGAAAATGAAA
Organism: Homo sapiens; assembly: GCF_000001405.40. NCBI lineage: Eukaryota > Metazoa > Chordata > Mammalia > Primates > Hominidae > Homo > Homo sapiens. The sequence continues at coordinate 158,771,351 of NC_000005.10, forward strand.
TTCATAATATAAGCCAAATCCCATTTTTTCATTTAAAGAAACTATGTTCTATGTATGTAAAACTTCAAGTAGAAAGGGACAGATTCTTAATTAACAGCTCTTATTTACATTCCATGTTATCCAGAGGACAAAAATCAATGAAGACCCATTGATCCTGGGCAATATGTCAATGATAGCACCTATTGCAAGTAAAATGCTGAGCCAAATCCCTTCAACATAGTGTATAAAATAAGATTGAGGAAGAGTTTCTATTTCTTCATGAAGCTTGTGGACTTTTTATGATTTGTCTACCTATGAACAGAACAAGAGAACTAAGGACAAAAGGAAGTGAATGATGAATGGGATGGTTTTAGCACCTGGGACAAAAGAGATTCAAGGACAGAGACTCTCCCAGTCAATCAAGATGAGTTACAGGGAGCACCAAAGTCAGTCCGACTGACTCATTTCACAATGAAGAGACTGGAGTCCAGAGCACATAAGCAACTTGTCTCACAGCTAGCGAGTAGCAAGGCTGGGATACGATGCAAGCCTCATTGCTATCAGCCCAGGGCTCTGTCCACTATACCACAGCGGTCAGAGAACACTTCAGAGAGGTAAGAGTTTGAACTGGATCCTTCAGGTGAATCACCATGCCCAAAGTAGCTAAAGTGAGCTGGAGGCACAGCAAGGAAACTGGTTTGACTGGAGCATCATAAGCCCTAGCCCCAGAGCACAGTGAGCCAAACTCGGGACTTGGGCTACGTCTTACATACAGTGAGCAAAGAGGGAAGGTTTCTCTGCAGGGTAATGACATGAAAGTGGCTATTCAGAGCGTACTGTGACAAAGAATTTATGTAAGAAAAGACTAAAGTGCAGGAGATCCATTAGGTGCAAACTCTCCACTTCTTCCCTAAAACCAATGACTTTGTTCAAGCCCAAGGTGGCAGCCTTTATTTTGTGGAGGAGGTTTCCAAGAATGAGAAACAGAGATTTCTGGTGAAAACTCTGGAAGCTGGAGTTGAAGCTGATTATAATCTAAATACTTTTGAAGACAGTTGGTGATAGGCTGTACTCCTGTTGCTAGGACCTCCAGAGGAGGGGCTGAGATGGAAATAAGAGAACAAGCATGTGTTGTTCCCTAAAAAAGTTAACACCAGAGAACTTTACAAATCAGGAGTATCTGATTAAAATATTAGCTGTGTGATGCATTCCTGCAAAAATATTTGTTTTAAGCAAATTATTACATTTACACTTATGCATTTCTTTTTCTTGCTACTTTATTTACACTTTGCTCCTTTTATTTGGGGTTGACAGGTGTTACTTGTTTCTTTAAACTGATGCCTATAGTTGTGTTACTAAAAATCCCAAAAGACATTTCTTAGATTTCTAGGGAGATGACAAGGATGATAAACAATCCATGGAAAATAGTTACTCCTGGTAGGGACTCAGAAACAAAGGAATGAATCATAATGGCCACCATTTATTAATGGAAACTACTAGTATCTAGCCTCATGCTAAATACAGTTCCATGATTCTAAAACTTTACATATGTTTCCCTGATCCTAAAAACAACCCCAGCAAGGTATTATTATTATTTCCTTATAAAGATAAGGTGACTGTGGTTTAGAGGCATCATATGATGTCCCAAGGATAACCTCTCTAGTAAATGGTAGATCTGAGAATTCAATCTATATCCATCATCTTGAACCTAAGCAGTCAATCAGTATGCGAGGTACTATCCCCTTAGGAGGGAGGGAGGAAAGGATGAGGGGAGTAAAGAAAAGAGAGAGGAAGGCGAAAGGGAGATAGGAGAGATGGGAGAGCAAGAAGAAAATAAGAGGGATAGGGAGAAAAAACGGAAAACTTAAAAGTCATAGTAAAAGATGTCAAGTTCCACAGAGCATATGCAGACAAAATAGCCCCTCCTATGTGCAAAGCAACGTGTTATGCATTGGCAAAGGATGTGGAGTTATTCTGGGCACAAGGTACAAACAGGAAGTATTTCCACGAAGAATTCTCATTTCGAAGTTAGTTCACAGGCTAATACACAGGAATGTGGGTTAGTCCTTCCACAGGAACAGGAAATTGGGTGAAAAATGTTTGGAATTGGAAAAGTTAGTGGTAGAAAAGATCTGATAAGTGACCTAACCAGACATCTGAGTTGTTAGATGATCATTCATCAGGGTTTTCACCAACTTTTGGGGGGTCAGGTGGTGTACAGCTCTCAGGGTACCCCTAGGCTGCTCAAACCTTGTCCTGGTGTCCCATTCTTTCAGTCATATATTCCCCGAGAATATATGAAAATTCTTACAGAAAATATAACTAGAATGAAGGCAACACATGCATTTGGAATTGGCCGCTTCTTATCAGGAAAACCAACTACAAAAACTTTGAGGAAGCAGCTAAAGGTGCCTAAGAGTCTTTTATTAGCTTCCAAGGCTACTTAGGGATTAGCAGGAGAGATCACGATTCGAAAAGATCCAAGCCACTTAAAGATGTAACACCTGCAAGAAAACAAGCTGTGAGAATAATAAAGGTATTAGGGAGAGCCCTTACATGGCAGTGAGGTTATAGTGGATTTAATTCCCACTGGACTGACCAGAAACGATAATAGGGCTTTGAAATCAATCCTGTGATTAGATAGTGTTTTTGTTTCCTTCTCTTAGAAAACATTTATTGAAAATTAAAGTCAGCCTTGCCCTACATTTACATAAGAATAACTGGACACAATAAAGTAAGATCTAGAAAGTGCTATTGAGCTTTTCTGCTTCTAATCCAGTCAGGATTCACTTTCCAGAGTCTGTGACTCTGATTGGACAAACACAAGGGCATGGCACATTAGCAGCTATGGATTCCTCGTGCGTCTCTGGTCTGAAGAACCAATGAGGGAGAGATGTACGCTTGCTTACCATCCTTACAAGGGGAGCCAGCTTGCAGGCAATCTGTGCTTGGTCAGATTCTTCCCTCCCCAAAAGGTCTGCCTTTATTAGTATAGATTAGGCCATGCTGTTCCTGCCTTTTTTCTTTTTTTTTAATGTTATGGACTTTTAGAGACATTTACATCTACAAATGCCAACTCTCTCTTGCATACTTTAAAAACAGCAATAAGGCCTTAGTTTGGGGTGTTACTTTTCAGCTCAATAATATTTTTCAAGGGAAAAATTCCAAGTGATATTTCACTAACAAATAAGAGGGTTAGCTCACCCAATCCAGAAAACCAAGCCTCACATCTTGAAATACTATGGATGTTAAAGAAAATGAAGTGTGAACTTCTGTGGGTGGACAAAGGAGGGGGCCGTACATTTGCAATGATCTGAGCAGTTGTTTGGATACAAAGAACAGAGAGGTTTTATGAGCCATCTCTATACCCTTACTATTAAGTGGTGACAGCAGAGGTAAACTGAGTAAATCACAGAGGCCAGTAGCCCCAGCCATGAACAAGCAACGCATGGTAGAGGCATTTAATGCTAATGATCAAAAGGTCCATGTGTAGGTCACCAATGAACACAGATTCCCTTTCATCAGAAATGATGTGATGTCACAATAACTGTTAACAGCCAAGTAACTATACCAGAGGGGAAATCATTGTGCCAATTTCTTCAGATTTTTATTTTTCCGATATGGGGAGAGGTTAGAACTCTCTTCTAGAATATTTAAAAAAAAAAAAAAAGGCTTCTTGTCTGGTGCCCACAGTTTGAGGCCAGATCACCAGAAGCATTTTTTCATACCTTAAATTTCCCACAGATGTATACATGTGCATATGCGCCAACTTATTGCTCTTACCCTTAACTACTTTTCTAGGCTTGAAAATCCAACACTTTTTTCTTAATTCCAGTGTGATATAGATTTTCTAAGATGTGATTTCTTAAACTGATGGCAATTTTTTTTTTTAGTGTTTAAAAAAACTCCAAATAATGATGGATCCCTAGCTCTTTTCTCTTGAGAACTTAAGTAATTTAATGAGGGTGATTTTTTTTTCTAACTTTTATGGCCAGGTGGCTCTAGGGGATATTTTGTTGAAGACTGATTAAAAATAATTTCTTCTAAATGAGACCTGACCACAAAATGGAACCATTAATGGGCAGGGACGTTGTCACCAAAGCGGAAACCATGCCTGATTGCCTCCTGTACCTCCCACCACACAAGCATTTTCTTCTTTTTCTTCTCCTTTTCTTGTTCTTAATAGCTGAGTAAATAAGCAGCCAGCGAGGCCTAATGTTTTCGGCCAAAAACAGAGTCCAAACTTCTCAGAGAAAACATTTGGCCTCTGTGGTTTTGAAATATGTTCCAGAACACCGAGTTCAGTGGGGGAACATTGTGAAAAACTCCCATCCATTGGAATGATGCTGGGGAATGTTACAGTATCAGAAGTTTCAATTGGTCCTTTTCCTGCAGCCCCATAATGAGACTTGTAAAACACACACACACACACACACACACACACATGCACACAGACACACACACACACACACACACACACACACACACACACACACACACTGCTATGTGGAAGTTCTCATGGGAAAAATGAATGGCAAGAAATCCTAGCTTTAAAAGAAACAGCTAATCTGCTAGTTTGATTATTCTTCAAAACTTACGCTGAACCAATGAGCCTAATTAAAAACACTTGGCCTACTTCTATAAAGCATCATAGCTTTCTCTACGCTTCGTTTGTATACACCACAAAACTCCAGAAAGACTATTATTTTTTCAAGTGCTCACTAACAAAGTGCTGACTTTGTTGGGATGGCTGAGCTAATTTCTTGAACTCAGTGTGAAACCTTAGCTAAACAAAATTGTGGTAATTTTCCTTAATTTGTAAAAGTGATTGGAGTGCAAACAAAATTTTCCTCTTGGGTCAATCCTATAATTTTCAGTTAACTAAAACTAATCGTCAGGCAGGCACCAAACCTGCATTTTGTTTAAAGGGCTGGGAGGCATTTCCAAGGGTCAGGATGCATTAATTGTTTTTATAATTTCGAGAGAGAGAGAGAGAGAGAGAAACTGGGTGACTAAGAAGTATGTTTGGTTTTACTTCTAATATTGAAATACAAGGGAAAGATGCTCTGAAGTAAAATGTCACAGAAAAATAAAATTCGTCCACTTAATTGTATGGTTATAATTACAATTTGTTAACTGTTATCCCTTCACTGCTCTGTTATCTCTTTGTGTGAAAGCAACTTCCGCTCTGTACTTAATCTGGTCTTGTGGTCTTTTACTGAATGGAAAAGGAAACCTGGGACTAGTTCGTGGAGACAGCTACCACTATCCAAGGATGACTGACACTAAGCAGAGGGCCCAGAACCGCACTCCACCTGTGGTTCTTTGAGCAGCAGCATCAGCCTCACCTGGGATTGCTTAAGAAACAGGATCTCAGGTTCTACCTAGACCTACTGTAGCAGAATGTGAATTGTAAAAGATCCCTGGGTATTTGGTTTGCACTTCACAATCTAGGGATCTCTTAGCGTACACATTGGGCACTCAGCCTTTATACTTGATGTCATTCCACAGAGATGCTGCCTGGTTCTCTCTGTCTGATGGGAGGGAATTCACATTCACTCTGAAACCCTAGCTTCTTGCCGCAAGGCGGATCCATGTGCCAAGGCTGTTTTGGGAGGACAAAAATGCAGCATACTTGGAAAGAAGGCACCAACCCAGAATTAAATATGAAAACTACCAATTGTATGTAATACAAGTGCCGTGAACAGGCTAGAGGAAAGACGTACTGTTCATGAAAGCACAAACCTACTCCATAAAGCCAACAAACCCTAACAAGGTGGCTTAACATCCAGAAACTCAGGACTAGCTACACCTCTTTCCCCTTCTCTTATTTTTCATGTGGCATCTTTAGGTATCCAACCAGTTATTTCAACAGAACGCGCCATTCAACATGGACACCTAGAAGAATTCTTAATACAATAATAAAAGCACCATGTTTGGTCATACATATGGTAAAATGAAGAAAGAAAGCAGGCTTTAACTAGATTTTAAAATAAAATACATGCTTTTATACAGACAAGATAAGGGGAAAGACCCCACAAGACCACGGCAGTTCTGTGCTCACCATGTGCTGTGGTTCTTACCTGTATAAATGAATCTGCCTGGTGTTCCTTTGCAGAACTGCTTAGATTTGTAGGACAGTGTGACTTCCACAACACCAGGGATGTGCCGAGGAGGGGTCTGCACACGGATGGCATGAGGAGTGATCAACTGGAGGAGACATTTGGGGGGAAAAATTGTCATTGCAATAGTTAAAACTTCACAGTCTTCCTAATAGCTCTCCATAAACAAAGCTTTAAAACACATAATTAACCTGTCTATGTTTAAATCCAATCTTGATGGAACCTGCGTGAAAGACACTGACAACAATATTTACAAATGCTCTGAGTACAGCCATAACAATATTATCTGGGTTTTCCTACATGGCAGGCCCTCTGCTTCCTGGTTTGAACAGGGAACCTGGCCTAATGAAATGATTTATCTACTACAGGATATCCTTTGGAAAATCTCTGAAGCAGACACCCAAATCAGAGCCGAGCTTTGCCGTGACTCTCCAGAAGCTGATGGGCCTGGTGTTTGAACTGAGCCTGTCAACATGTGGAAAACACAGAGGTAGGGAAACAGCAGGCCAAGGCACTGTGATTAGCTGCGGAGTGCACGTATGAAGTACCCCTGAAGACCATTTGGTGTATTAACTACCAGAGGCACAATCAAAGAGCTTTACAGGGGAAAGCAAAGAATCTGCCTCCCTGGAATAGCTTATGGATCTAGCAGAACTAAGGACTCTCCATAAAAGGGAAAGGGAAAGGGAAGGCTGGGGAGGCTGCGGAATGATCACTGGTCCATTATGCAATGCCACGTGCACAATGAGAAAGTTCATTTCTGAACTCTGTTGGCAATCAGATTACACCATGAAGCAGAATTTATTTTGTATTACTCTTATCTTTGTTTACATAACTAAAATGTTATTAATGGCCATAAAACTGGCATTATCTGGTTCTTTGAAAAATCCAGCCCTGGTATTTGACTGGTTGACCTCTGATGGTGCTGGATTCTACATGTTCTCTTTCTATGGGATTCTGCAATTGTCTACTCTTTGACTCCTTTCAGATGCAGTTAGCTCAATATTTGTGGTATTGAGTCCACTGCATACAGTGGATAATTTATACAGTATACATGAGTTTAAACTAACATGCTTGTTCTGTTCTCATGGGGATAACTTAGAAAGGGCTCTTATATCAATGTGCAAACCAGGCCCAGTTTGAGTGTTTTGCCCAGAGAATCACAGATAACACCATGAGAGGCTGGATGCGGCCAATGGGTCCCTGACTGGATAAACTGTTCTAACACCAAGTCCTAGGGAAAATAATTTGAGAAAGTTGTTATTGCTAAAGCCCACAAGTAATTTATATCAAATGTTCCTTCTTGAAACAAGAAAAAGTCATATCTGCATAAAAACCATTTTAACTTAGCAATTACAAATACCCTGTATTATATCTTGTAATATAAAAAAGCCCTAAATGACTGTTGAGGTATGAAGAACTATTTATCCCTGTACTAAATGGCTCCAGGTTTCTAAGATTTTGAAATTATTTCTCTTTTATTCCGCTTCTTTGTCTTTTTTTTTCCTGTTGTTCTTAGCACCTTCTAATTTGCTCTTGTAATCTGTGAGCATGGAAATCAGGAAATCGAGTTTAATAATGTAGAGAGAATAAGAAGAAAGAGGCTCTGAAGGGCAGTGAAAGATGATCTTCCCCAAATCAAGAGCATGTTAATTGTTGAGACACTGTTACTGCAATGTTGGGAACTAAAACTTGTAGAGTACCCAGGAGGTATCTACCACATTGCTGGATATTTTACATACAAACACTAATTTGGTCAGAACAATGACTGTATTTTTATCCTTTTTTTTTTCAGGTGAGAAAACAGAATCTTAAAATTAAGTTGTTGCATAAGCAACTTTACCCTTGTCATAGCAAGTCAGAGCAAAAGGCAACACTGATGCAGTTCAAAAAAGTCACGGGACAAACACTTCCTTTGTAATCATAGAGAAAAAAATTGTTCATATAGAAGCTTTTTAAAGGTAGTAACAAACTCAGTTTTTTTCTGATCCAAAGACTTTGTGTGTGTGTTTTCTGTACCTATGCTCTCTCCATTTTTCATTTATTGCCTGGAGCTTTGCCATGCTTTTGGTGGTAAAGGATGTTCCATGTTGTTATATTTCAAATAGAAGGTATGCTTCTAATTTTAACACGTACTTGGGATATAGAGTACCATTAACTCACAATAATACTGATAAGAACTTTCAGCCAGTTAGAAAACACTTCACCTGCTCTCCTTGTTCTCAGGGGAAATAAATTTTAAAAGATGGAAAGATATTAGTAAATAGATGGATGAAGATTCTTTTTAAGTATAGGGACTTAATATGTATGAGTTGCTATACCGAGGAACAAAATTCACGGGCTTTATAAATTGATTAGATATGACTGCAATAAAACTACAGACTGAGAGTGAGGCTTTAGCATAAAGCATTAGGCTCAGGAAATGCAAACAAATTTTCATTTACAATTTCATTTTCAATTTTAATTAATTGCCCTAACTAAAGCAGAGATTCCTTCTAAACAACAATCCTTCACAGATGAGGTAGAATCTGAATCATAATAGAGAATAAATTTGTTGATGTTTTCCTAGCTGTGAATATTAGTCTGGGAAGAATCTCTAGCATTGACACATGATATTGATGCTTATGGAGGAAAAACATTTTAGCTAACTTTGATCAATTTGAAAGCACAGGCTTATTTACTAATCACTCAAAGAACTGTAGAATTTATTGCTGGAAGGAATGCTAGTGATAGTTTAAAGCTAATCTTCTTATTTTGACAGATAAGGACACAAAAATCTAGAAATGTCTGGTGGCTCCGAAAATTGACCCAACATGCTAGAGGAGGGACAGGGTCTAGATCTAGGGTGTAGAACTCCGGACCCACAAATCACAAAATAAATTTCACACATTGTTCCAGCCTGGTTGAACCCAAGGCAGCCACTCAAAGCAACAGAAGGAGGGAGGGCTAGTCTAAATTTTTCAAACTTTCATCATTGGAATATCACTTTCTTAGTTTTGTCATATCTATATACCACCTATACAATTACATACTTAATAATTTAAAAAGTGATTATCTTTTTATTTAAAAAACTTATTTTAAAAGAAAACTTTATGTCACTACCATAATTGGAAAACTGATATCAACTGCAAAATAAGAAGGTATTGTAGATATTAATCTTGAAGTTAATATAAATTATAGCTAGATATTGTTGACAACCTGAAGGAATTTATTGAAAAGGGTGATTAGCTAGTGTTAAATATTAAAGACTTTTTTGCCCTGAGACTTTATCCCTTTAATAAAAATCATAATTATGGAATAAAACAAAGATTAAAAGAGAAACAAAAGGAGTGATGAAAAGAGAAACCAAAAGGAGACTAACTTTCTCACAGTGTGATTCAGTTCTATTTCATGTCTGTGTCAAATCTAAAAATGTCTCCTGTACTACCAAGGACCCATGCCCCATTACTTTGGTAAATACTGTTCTAAGTGATTAGAGAACAGATTCATTCTTTGACTTAACTTCCTTAAATTACAAGCCAAACAATTTGGGCTAGAAATAAATATTCTTCTGAAACTCTGTAGCATCTGCCACTACTCTTTCCCTTCCTTGGAACACTCCATTTTCTTATGAGACAATAATCATAAGACGTAAGACTTGCAAAGTGTCTGATGGTTTACCAAAGCACTTTCATGTTCACTAATTTTTTAAAATCATGTTTGTGGTTTATGTATTTCAGATGAGAAAAGTTGATGGTCAGGCAAGTTAATATTATTTAAAACACTTGGATGAAAACCAATCTCTTATACTTATAAAGAAGTATTTTCCAGATATCTTCTCTTATTCATTGATTCCTGATTATTTTGGTTTTCTTCATTTGCTCCACTTTTCTGTCAACTTGTTAGTTGTAGAAATATCACAAGTTTTGTCTTCTTTTTTTTTCTCTATTTGCCTAGCACTTCTTGATTTCACTCATTAGCTCAGCCACCTCAGCTAAACTGATTTCCAAATCTACACTTGTAGACTTGATCTCTTTGGCTAAGCATCAAATTTTATTAGCAACAGAGTAACAGAATCTCCCCAAATAAGTCTTCTTGCCATCTCAATCTCAACATGACCCAAGCTAAATTTATCATCTTACTACCTGTAAATATATTTCTTGTTTCTGTGTCTCCTGTCTCAGTTAAAGGAATGTTAGCCTTTGAATTACCCAAAACAGAAAACTTGAGTTTATCATTATTTCTTTTTCTTCCTTTATTTTTCTTCAGTCATATTGATTCTGCCCCAAACTGGGCCCCACTGGCTCTTCTCTGCTTCTTCTCTTTCTCCTGTTCAGGCTGTCACTGTTTCTTACACTATTACAACAGTAGGAAAAATTGCCTTCTAAATGGTCTCCCTCTACTTCTACTTTTTCCACCATAATTATCTTCTTCAAATACAATCTCATCATATTATGCCCTGCCTCAAACCAAACCCTCAGCTGCCCCCTTTGCCTATTACATAGTTCAAACTCCTTGACAGAATAATATTTAGGGTTCGCCAAGGCCTGATGGCCAGTTTCCCTTCCTAGGCACACTTCCCACTTTGCTTTACCACATATTGGAGTAAAGGGCATGTGGATACACGAAAACACCATTCCCTTGCCCAACAGTTTTGCTTTCTCCATGCCATTCTTTCCTAAACATTCTTCTACTGACATTCTACTTGTTCTTGAAGACCCCAATCATACGTTCCCTCTTCCAGTAAGTTTTACCTGATCCTAAGGGTGAAAGTTGCCTGCATTTTTGAGGAATTTATACTGTTATGATATTGATACTATAATACTTAGCAGCCTATTTTGCTTTGTGCCATAAATAGTGTCCTATACATCTTTCTCTCATTAGATATTTCCTGAGATCAGGAACACAGTCTAATTCACATTTGCAACCTCTAAAGTAGTTAACTTGGCCTGGTGTGGTGGCTCACATCTGTAATCTCAACAGTTTGGGACGCTGAGGCAGAAGGATCACTTGAGCCCAGGAATTTGAGACCAGCCTGAGAAACAAAGTAAGACCCTGTCTCTACAAAAAAAAAATTTTAATTAGCCAGGCATGGCAGCATGCGCCTGTAGTCCCAGCTACTTGGGAGGCTGAAGTGGGAGGATTGCTTGAGCCCAGGAAGTCGAGGTTGCAGTAAGTCGTGATTGTGCCACTGCTGTCCAGCCTGGGCAACAGAGCAAGACTGTCTCAGAAAAAATAATAAAATAAAATAAAATAAAAAACAAATTAAGTAGTTAATGACTTACATACAAGATATTTTCAAAATATTTCTGGAATAAATATTTACATAAATTAGGCCAGAATTCTACTAAATCATTGACTCCACTGGGTATCATAATCATTATCCATGAGTCCAGGTGAGTCTACTGTTCTTAACCTGATAATACTCAACTCTTGTTTTCTACCTAAGTTGCTTTTAATGTTAGTTATCTGACTAGCTCGACACTCAGATCTCAATATGAGCTTGAGACCACTGCTTGTATATCATGTAAGTGGTAAAAAAGAAAAGGATGTCTAAATGTCTGTAACTCCAGTGAGAAATGATAAGATGAAATGAAAAAAAAAAGGTTTAAAAATTAATACTTAAAAAGTATGCCACACAAGATCTTTGCTAAATGGTAAGAGTGTTTATTTCTGGACTGATAACATTCAGTGTGATTTGTCTTCTCTGTCTGCCTCTTCCTCCTATGTGTATGTATTTCTGTGTGTGTAAATGTCCCAAACTTGCACTGGATCATGTAAATAATTATGGAATAAACCTATTTGTACATATAAAGCCATTATTTTTATTATGAGAAAAATGTTATTTAAAAAGTAGAATAACATCAGTTTGGGGCAATATGTATTACATGTGATTATATAAGAATTAGATGCGTATTTGCACAGAAGAAAGGAAAAACTTCAAAATGTTAATGGAAGTTACCTCTAGATGGTAGAGGTATGGGTAATTTTACTTTCTTCTGTATGCTTCTCTGAATTCTCCAACTGCTCAACAATAAAAATGCATTAATACTATATTCATAAGAAATAATTTTTCTATGTGGCAGTAAGATGAAACACACATAATCTCTGCAGGCCTCCAGGTGAGGCTGTCAGCATGCCAGGGACCTGCCGGCAGCAACACTTCTGCTCCCTCTAAGCTGCCTGTGTGAGCATTTTCTCTTCTCCAGACTCAGACCACAGAACCTGAAGAATCCTGTGGGGGTTAGCCAGGCGAGATATGCCCACTGTGGCCTCTGGGTACAAAGTAAAGCCACTGTGGCCATGACAAGATGGAGCCAGACATGAAGGTGGTTGAATGGGGCCTCTCCTTGACAGAAGAGCTGAAATCAGGAGAGAGAATGCATGGTAGTTCATGCAGCTGTGCACGTAGAACTCCAAAGAGGCAGCCTGCAAAGTCTGGAAGCCCAGAAGAGAGGCAGGGAAGAGGACAATCTTCTACATGCGTATTAGACAGCCTCCCATCATATCAAAAGTATGGCCCACATGGTAGGTAAATGAGAGTATCTAGTGTTTAAAAATATGAGTGGAAGCATGTTGTAGAATTCCGCAGCTTTTATTATCTATATTGTTCTAGTTCTCACTAAATTGATGATGGTAATGACCTTGATAACGACTTCAACTATAATGACCTTTTGTTGTCTTTTTCCCATATGTCAAGCGCTATGTTAAACTCTTTCAGTGATTTACATCCTGTAGTATTATGGGGTAGGTATGATTATTAGCTGGTTCATAGATGAGAAAAATAAGTTTCAGGAAAGTTAAGAAATATGATCAAGAAACCAACTGGAAGTGGCCAGTCGGCCTGACTAATGACCATCATTATACAACCATGACTATCTGTTCATATGACTGTTCATTGTTTTTCCATAATTCCTGGTACATGTACTTTGCATCTGACCTCTGCCTTTGAAAGCATGGATTGTATCTGCAGCTTTTCCCATACCTTGAAATGAACTGGGAACATAGTGGCCACTCAAAACAACTTTCCTCACTGGTGAAAGGCAAGCTGAGAATGATTCCCAAGGAAAACAAAAAAGCAATTCCAAGATAAGCCTTTATCCATGTTTTCCAACCAATAGGAGTAGGTAAAATAAATGCAAGTTGAAGTTGCAAGCCACAAAGCCAAAAAATAACTGGGGTTACTAGAAAGCACACCAGCGATTTCTCATTACTAGGTTTAGGACCTAATATTTTAACCTTAATCACCTTCAACACTTAAAAGTAAAGAAAAAAAGTCCAAAACAAGCAAAGACTCAAAGAGAAGGGATAAAAGGAAGGAAATGTTTCTTCTCTGGAAAAATAATGAGCATTTGTGGCTAGAAAAAGCCTAAAGTGGGCACTGGCAAGGTGGTTTTTAGATGTTACCCATTGAAGGGTCTGCGTTCTAAGGCATGCTAGCCCATTCACTCATTGACACCCTCTGTGCCTCAGTTTACTAATCTTATACTGCACCAGCTCCTATGTGCTCTGTGGAGGTGCTGATAATAATATTATACATGCTTTATGTTTGGGTAGAGCTTCTCTGGGGACCCTAAAGCACTTTCCAGATTAATTTTTTAATTTATGTATTAATAATTCTCACAGCATTCTCCCTTCTCCTCAGTTAGGATAATAATATCCATCTCTTTTGAGATAGGCAGGGGGTACTGAGTGATAGACATGAAGCAGACACTTAAATAAGAAAACTGTAACATAAAAGCATAATTAAAGCTCTAGAACCAAATCAAACTACGGATTTTTAAAGAGATACCAAGGTGTTAGGGAACAAACAGGCAAACTTGTTTTCCCTCCACTACTCTGAAACATGCATCTTTTTGGAGTTAGACACGGCATTTAAAATATATTATTTTCAGGGTTGCTAAAGGAAGCTGAAATATGAAAAGTATATATTCTTGGCGACTGTGCTGGCTGAACCTCCATATTATATCTCTATTTCCCTGAAGTGGCTACCACATAAATCAGGGGATGCCAGCTCTTCTTCTGAGTTCCTTGGTGTGTTTTGGTTTGTTCCCTAATCAGAGTTCTCTGGGTTTCATAACACAGATTCTTTCATTCCCAAGAATTGCCTGTCTCAAAAGCAGTGTATGATTTCTCAGAGAACGTGAGAAAAAGCCAGAGGAGGCATTTACTGTTTCACAAAAATTCTGGTTTCCTTTTGTCCTTTCAAGAAAATAACTTTAAACCGATGTTTACCAAAATATGCTGAGTCACATGAATCCTTAAAGATAAACTTTATGTATGAATGTCAAAGGAGACTTTTGAAATTAAAGTCTCAGGAATTGAGTTAAATGGGGGACTTAAAATCTAGCTTTTGAATAGTCAGTCATGTTACTTAACACTGAAATTTCTCTCAATATAGATATCGACATAGACTCAGATGGATGGTAGAGAGATGTAGATATGCTTTCCTATTCATTGTCCGTGTCCCCCTAAGTAGAATATCAGCCCCATAAGGATATGACCTTGGCCTTCTTTGTTTTTGCTATGTTTCCAGTGTTTAACAAGGCCCTGGAACTAGTAGTCACTCAATAAATACTTGAACATTGAATGAATAAATATCGTGATGCCATTAGCCACCACTAATAATTAAGATAAAGATTCACTAAAGTTTCTTATGAATCTACAAAAAGGAAATAATCAACACCACTCCATTCAGAATTCTTTTTACTAAAAAATTCCCAAACAAACAACAACAAAAAAAAAACTTTTTACTTTCCACCACAAACTTCCTGGTATCCTCATTAAGCATTCACAGAAATATACTGCCCAGTTCTGACCAGGCATCTAACCAGGTCCCGAAATCAATGCAGTTAATTGTACAAAACAAAATGGCAACAAGATCATCTTTCAAAATAACAGATTTGGGAGAAAAAAGACTGAAGTAAATACATTATGCTTCCACTACCTCTGGTTTTGTGGGTTATTTATTTATTTATTTTGTAATTTATTTTTTAAATAAACTTTCTCCAGCTCTCTTCCCAGGATGTAGATCTTGTGCCAGTTGGGCCCCATTAAAGACTGGATCCCATCCTGACCATCTGGGAGCTGGAAAAGCAAGGGTGAGTTCCTGAGGCCCAGGGTATTCCAGAAGGAGAGCATCAGACACCAGCAACGCCAGCCCCTGTGGTTTGAGGCTGCACAATGAGCTCTTTCTCAAGGCTTGTTTTTCTAAATTCAGTCAAGAAGGAACATCATTCCCTACTCAGGCCTGGCTCAGTGTCCTATGTTCCTTGCTTGTTTGTTTGAAAATTAAAATATAAAAGGAAAAGGAAATCAGAATGCATTTATGGAAGGGGATGAATGCTTGTTATCAACATTGGCAATTCACATGGCAGAATCTTTGCCTATGGAATTAGTAAAGAAAAATATAAAAGCCAAAAGACTGATAAAGTAGTCAGGGAATAAATTCACCTTTCACCAAAAGACTTGTAGAGTCTCTCCAAGCTTAAAAACAAACAAAAAAAGATGTCAAAGCTTTACGATACAGAGACTCACTCTAACATTTTTTGTGGTGTTTGTCATATCTAGATATGATATACATTGATACTAGCACATGCAACCAGTAATTCCTCACTTAACGTGTTCATTCAGGAACTCAGAGATGTAATAAAAGTAAGCACTACAAAAAACTGAAGCCAAACCCCTTTTAATAATGTGGCTGTACAACTGCTTCTGCTGAAAGTCTTTCAAGGTTGCCTTATATATATCCTGCTGTTTTAAATAGAATATACTAAATATAATTGCCAGCTCTTTTTTGATTACTCAGGGCCACTGTCATTAATGAGCTGCACAGTAATATAGTTCTGTGTTTGCTTTTTCGGCTTTCCATTTCTTCCCTAGACATCAGGCCATCAGCTGTCACTGAGCCTGTATCCAATAGCCTGCCTCCACACATGATCTTCCTCTAGTTTGGGCCTCCTAATTTGCTGTGACCTAGGAAAACAGATAACATAGTTTGTTAAGAAGTATTGTTCTCATTAACCCAAAGCTTTTTATTTTATTTACTTTTTTGGCTTGCTTCTGGTTTCATGCTGAATTTTAGGGAGTTGAGATTATTATAACACATCTCTGGATAAATGAATTTTATTACATTCATATTAGATAGTTAAGAGATAGCTATGGAGTCAGGTGGACTTTGATTCAAATCCAAGCCTTGTCAATAATCAGCTGTGGGACCTTTGGAAAGTCACTCAACCTCTGTGACCTTCAGTTTCCTTATTGGGGAAAGGGGGAGAGAGTAGGATGGGACTTGTTATCTGATAGTTTATTACAAGGATTAATTGACACAATTCCTGTAACAAGTGTAGGAAAAGGCATCACTTGTATCAATCAGTCAACACGTGTTACTTCTATTACTACTCAATCTTCACCATCACCAATAGATTTACATTAAGACATTTATGTGCATACTTATTACACAACAATTATATCTAAATATAAACTACCTACCCATACATGCATTAGCAAAACCTGGACCACAATCTGTCTAGTACTGACACTTTCAAGCATTGTCAACTACAACAGTTGCTATTAGGGAGCATTTGTTTGACTGAATGAATGAATGAATGAAAGGGGAAATAGTGTCATTCAACAAATTTTCACTAATGCCTCAGAAGTGCAAAGCTCTGTGCTGGGCATCACAGAAAATTAAGCTGTATTTATCCTGGATCCTGCATTCAAGGAAGAGGGAATGCCCTTAAATCAGGATAATTAAAGATGGAAAGGTATAAGGAACACAGTATGGTAGAAATAAGGCAACATAAGAATTTAGACAGAAGAGAAAATATTCTATACCTGGAGTCATATGGGAAGATTCCAGAGAAAAAGGTGGTATTTTACAGGATCTTAAAGGGCAGAGGGATATGGGCACAGAAAGGAGGGAAAAGGATCCCATGGAGAGCAATGGCACCAGCAAGACAGGGAGAAAAGTTACTGCAGGTACAAGGAGCAGCTAACAAGTCAATGGAATAGAACATAAATTAAAATGAATGTTGGTTGAGGATGTTGAAAAGAAAGGTTGGAGTCAAGGTGGTGTGCTTGAATCCCAAAGAAGTTGTGGCTTTAGAAAAGAGAAAGCCAGTAAAGGTTGTATAAGGTAGAAGGCTTTATTTAGTTCAGGGTATCAGGGAGCCAACCTAGTGATCAGCAATCAGCAAGAAAGGAATACAGCACTATCTAGATATCCATAAATATTCATTTTCTTCATAAAAGTCACATGACTGCAGCCAGGTGTGAATTCTGTCATTGATTCATATGAAAATTAGAAATTCATCACACTTCTGTGGTTCCTATTTTCAAGTTACAGACACGTGTACCTCCTGAACACGCTGTAAATAATGAGCTGAAAATGTCATCTTAAAGTCTTTTTTTAACTATTTCATAATTATCAACATAGAAAATAGATTTCAAGTGCCTCAGTCATCAAAAATAACAATATAGACTAAGGCTTCTTAGGAATAAAGTGAGCATGGCTGTAACTATGTAACTATATTAAAAAGGCCATTAGACCATTTTTATCTGTTTTTTTTTTAATATGCTGGCTCATTTAGAAATGATTTCTCATAAAATTACTTGGGCTTGAAAGTTGTTCTTCAAAGTCATATTCAAAGTTTAATGCAACTAATCCAGACTGCTTTTAAATTTGTTAACAAATAAAGTTTATAATTTTGCACAAAGCAACTTCTATATAATAGATGGTCAATAAGCACAGGTTAAATATAGGACATGAAACATATTTAGAAAAAAATAGGCAACTAGGAGTTATTTTAAATCCACACATTTAATCAACTTTGAATTAAATTTATACATGTAAGCCTCAATATATGTAAAATAAATGGACACAACTATTTACATTGTATTACATTTCTATCATGACATTTTGAAAGAGGTAATATTTGACATAATGTCTTTCTCCGTCTTAATTTTCTTTTTTATTTTAGTGGAGCTGTATCTCACATAAAAGGTGGTATAGATAAGTCTTCAGAGTGTTAGGGCAATTATGTATAAAATTTAGGAAGGTTTGGTAAATTTCTGGAAGTATGTTAAAAGCCCATGGAAATTTCATGAGAAAATCTGGTATAACCAAAAGCTGAATGGGGGTGAAGCTGGATGTCAAGAGAACTGGGCTCTGAGCCCAGCATTAAGTAGATAATATGCTCCCAGGACAAGCCACCCTACCACTGTGAAGTCTCTTTTTCCTCACAAAATAAGAAACTATACTTGACTGAAAAAAGGTTTCTCAAGGCCCTTAAAATGTGGTGACTCTACATGTGGTTCAGTAAGAGTCAAGGCCGGGCAAAAAGGCCTGGGAAACTTCCGGTGGAATACCTGTATGCATCTTAGTCAACCACTCTTGAATATCATAGGGAAGCCAATCCTCTTGTTTATTGACAATCATTCCTCTGAGCTATGTGTACAAAGGAGAATGGAAAGTAGAGATAGATAGGAAGAAAGAAAGAAATGAAGGACTGCATTTACCACTTGGTTTTCCAATTTTTTGATTTAAGTGGCAAAATTGCTTCTGAGCCCCTAAACCACCATTTACCCAACTATATTCACTCACAGGTCTCCCCCAGAGGTTTCTTTTGACTTCATGCCCCGTGTCTGGGAATGTAGCTGAAGAAAGCATGCATCTGGATAAAGACAACGAGGAGAACCTGTGTGAGACTAATTGCTTCACACACGAGGAAACTTTGGCTTCATCCATCTGAGCTAAGTGGTACTGGCAATCTTTAAATATAGCTGCCCTACAAAATCATATAGCATCTAATGCCAAGTGTGTACTGACTAAAACCAGATGCAAAATATGAGGGAAATTTTGTTCAAAGCCTTGCAGCATTGGAGAATAATGGCTCTAAACATTCCTGGTCTAATCTGAATGATATTCTGCAAATATTTAAGATGGTTTTCTCACATCTATCCCAGTCCAACCACTTTGTGATTGAATTTCATGACTTGGCTCCATTAACATGAAATCAAAATGCACTTCAGCCATCACCAATATATCTCCCTGTAAGGTGATCCTTGGGGAAAAAAAAAAGAGTTCTGCCTTCACAAAAGTTTGGGACATGCTGAATACTGCATCTAAGTATTTGCGGTGCATGCTAGTACCTCAAACGTTGTGCAAAGCCCTAGAAGAAAGACCAGCAGAATTTGACTCAGCATTTCCCAAACTTACCAGGAAAAACCTCCCTCTCTCATCTCCCAATGGGTATCTATTAATATCCTGAAGAACTAGTCTTCCATAACATTATCTAGAAGACGAATTAGGCCAACACTGTGGCGTAAGTCTCAGATTTATATCAGATACCAGAATCTGAAGCATAGAGAGTAAAAATATTGACTAAAGACCTATCAATAGGGAGATGCAGTTTTGTGGCCAATTAAATTGTTTTGATGAAGTTTAAATAATTCTTTTGCAAATCAACATCACATCTGTGTATTGCAAGTGTGCTCTGAAAGAAAAGAACAATAGTGGAAGAAAAGGAGCAGTTTCCACCTGCCACCACTGTCCCCTTCTGACTGTGGGAGGATTCTCAGGGGAATAAACTCTAAAAGGAATCACTAGGCTGGGTGCAGTCACTCATGCCTGTAATCCAAGCACTTCGGGAGGCTGAGGCGGGCAGATCACGATGTCAGGAGTTTGAGACCAGCCTGGCCAACACGGCAAAACCCCGTCTCTACTAAAAATACAAAGATTAGCTGGGTGTGGTGGCACGCACCTGTAGTCCCAGCTACTTGGGAGGCTGAGGCAGGAGAATCGCTTGAACCTGGGAAGTGGAGGTTGCAGTGGGCTGAGACCATGCCACTGCACTCCAGCCTGAGCAACAGAGCAAGATTCCATCTCAAAAAAAAAAAAAAAAAAAGGAATTGCTAGAATTGTAGCACTGATTTCAAAGAGGATATAGACTAAGTCTTTCATTTTCAGATGAGAAACTGAGGTCCAGCGACCAACAATGACTAAATCTATATCCTCTGATTGGGCAATGGAAGGACAATCAATACCCAAGTCTCTCAATTGGTTCCTTATCCACTGCTACCCCATGCAATCTCAACCCTTGCAGCCTGGAATATTATTCTCTGCTCCCCACGAAACCCACCATTGTACTTTTTTTTTTAATTGACAGCTTAAATACTCTAAATTGTATAAATTCTG